>NT_187601.1:906666-1208888 GCF_000001405.40 Homo sapiens
AGTGATATTACAATTTCTAAAACTTCACCTGTGGCTAATTGGAATGAGATGCAGGTAGAAAATAAGGCTTTATGAGATCAAATGGCCATTGCATTTGGGGTTAAGTGGCTTTTTCTGATGGTATTGGAGGTATTGCAAGGAGAAAATGATAGACTCAGGGAAGCTATCTACCAGCGTAAGGCATGCTTTGTAATGAAAACTTTAAGGACGCTCCTGACATCTACAAGACATATTGCACTGAAAATTAAGCTTGGGGGCTCATTATAAGGGTGGCAGAGCTGAAAAGGAGACTAAATGTGCAGCCACATAGATGTCTTATGTCCAAGTCAGAGCTCTAATAAAGAAAGGATTGGAGCTGGTGACCTGGAATGGAAACTTTCGGGTAAACAAACCTGAAAATCTGGACCCCAATCTCCTTGAATCCTCTGAAAGGTAGAAGCAAGAAGAACAGAACAGCTCTTCTTGGCCTGGGGATGACAATGACCTCATTGAAGCAGGAAACTTGCAAGATAGTACTTGCTTTAATGACAACAGCCTACAGTAAATACGCGAGATGCCAGAACATTTTTTTGGCACAATAAGAAGAAAAGGACCAGAAGGCTCAGAGGTGTGAATATTAGACTCATAAGACCTGAGAATCCACCACTGGCCTATGTTCCCTGGGATGGCCCAGAGAATCTTCCCTTCATTGAAACAGAAAAAAGAAGTCCTAATGAGCCCATCAGCACCTTTGAGAAATTCAGTGGTGGCTGTCTTCTGAAGCCTGGGTTCAATGATGGGAGATGGTGGGGAAATGGACTCTCTTGGATCAGTGGCAATCAATGGAATGGCAAAGGCCAGGTGGCATAATGTCATGCCGGACAAAGTGGGCATAATTACCATAATGGGCAGCAAGGCCAGAGTGGCAACCAGGGTGCCTGGAGCCATAGGAATCTATGTTTTTTGTGTTTTTTTTTTTCTTTAGAGATGGAGTCTCGCTCTTTCGCCCAGGCGGGACTGCAGTGGTGCTATCTTGGCTCACTGCAAGCTCCGCTTCCCGGGTTCACGCCATTCTCCTGCCTCAGCCTCTCGAGTAGCTGGGATTACAGGTGCCCACCACCGCGCCCGGCTAATTTTTTGTATTTTTAGTACAGACGGGGTTTCACCGTGTTAACCAAGATGGTCTCAATCTCCTGACCTCGTGATCCGCCTACCTCGGCCTCCCAAAGTGCTGGGATTACCACCGCACCCAGCCAGGAATCTATGTTAATGACTGACAGATCATGATGTAATTGGGGGGGCGGGGAGAGAAATGGGGAGCTAACAGGGGTGTTGCTTGACTTGTATAAATATATAAACTTTTAAAATAAAGAGTGTAAGAGCAGAAAGATGACACCTACTGCAATGGAAATTATCTAAGGTTGTTCATAGTCCAGAGCCTATGATTAAAGGGGAGGCTGGATTTCTGAGGCATTAGGTCGGCCATGGACAGTGGCAACCCAGCATGTGATAGAAGTGGTATGTATAGGACGAGGCTCGAGCAGGTCTAGAAGGAACAGGAAAATTGCCTAAACAGCTGGTCCAGATTCTCATGTCACCCACCTCTGTTGAAGCTCTTCCTCAATATATATGTTTAGCCCCAAATGGGAGTTCCATATGATAGTCTGATGGAGGAGGAAAGCACCAGGGCCTCTTTTACACCCAGGTCAACGTGGTGTATTGGTGCTAGTTGGGAATAGATGACTGCTGTGTTACCTCCCATTCAAGGGTAGGAGAGGTGGCCCAAAGTGCAGACATACACTCTCCTGTGCGGGGTAAACGACTGGGCTAATCATTTAGGGACATGGAAAGAACAAAAATGAAAAGCCAGGGGCATGGAGGTCAAGTAAACAGTAAATGATGAATTCATGGGAGTGAGCACAAAGAGTATGGGGCTTTCTGCCTCGTGCTTGTCTCTCCAGAGAGCATCTGTTGCCAAGGAGGCTCCTACAGTCAGCCGGACGGGATGACCCAGCCCCTCTTTGGCCATCCTAGGGCTTCCCTGAGTGATGAGATGGTCTACTGAAGGCTCAGCTGTGACATCAGCTTAGAGACAAGAGCTGGTGGGGTTGGGGCACTGCTCTCCTGGATATAGTGTGAGTCAATAGATGTGTTTCTGATAGTTAGAATATACAAATCTAGGAACCAAGGAGTGGAAGTAGGATTGGCTCCTCTGTCCGACTGCCAGCAAGAAACCTGCAGAATCTGTGCTTCTTGTTCCTGCAAACTTAGACTTAGAAGAGTCAGAGGCCCTGGCTTATAGAGAGTAAAACTTCCACTAGTGAACACAGTAAGGGTTCTACTAAACTGGAAGCTGTGACTGTGACCTGGGTGCCTTGTGCTCCTCTTGCCAGCGGAGCAGCAGAGAAAGGAGGATTTGCTATACTGATGCACGATAGTACTTCATTACCATGAGGAGCAAGGGCTGGTGTTACATAGTGGATGCAGGGAAGAGTATGTCTTGTGCTCTGGATTGAAGTGTTTCCCCCAAAATGCATCATTGAAGTCCTACCCCCAACGTTAGGGGTTATTTAGAGATATTAGATATGTTTAGAGAGGGAGTCTTTAGGGGGTATTAAGGTTAAATGAGGTCATAAGCATGGTGCCCTATCCACTAGGATTGTTGTCCCTCTAAGAAGAGGAAGAGAGACCAGAGCTCTCTCCCTCTCTCTGGGTACCCAGAGGAAAAGCCATGTGAGGACAAAGCGGCTGTCCACAAGCCAGCAGGAGAATCCTTACCAGAAACTGGCCCTGCTGAACCTTGATCTAGAACGCTCAGCCTCCAGAACTGTGAGAAAATTGATTTCTGTTGGTTAAGCCACCCAGCTTGGGGTGTTTTGTTACAGCAGCCTGAGCTGACAAATACATCTGGTCGTCTGGGATTTGTGGGAGATTCTCTGCTCAGAGATAGCCGTGAACAAGCAATTACAACATCCGAAGACCCTCCAGGTGAGAACCTCAGACCCACTGAAGAGCTGGCCCTAGAAATCTAGAATGGGGCTGGGCATGGTGGCTCACACCTGTAATCCCAGCACTTTGGGAGGCCAAGGTGGGTGGATCACCTGAGGACAGGAGTTCGAGACCAGCCTGACCAACATGGAGAAACACTGTCTCTACTAAAAATACAAAATTAGCCGGGCGTGGTGGCACATGCCTGTAATCCCAGCTACTTGGGAGGATGAGGCAGTAGAATTGCTTGAACCCAGGAAGCGGAGGTTGCAGTGAGCCAAGATCATGCCATTGCCCTCCACCCTGGGCAACAAGAGCAAAACTCCGTCTCAAAAAAAAAAAAAAAAAAAGAAAAGAAAAGAAAAGAAAAAAAAAAGAAAGAAAGGAAGGTCAGAGTGGATAGAAGATGATGAGTGTCAATTATGGCCCTAGGACCAGCCACAGCAGTGGGACTCTAGCTTCCTTTGCTAATCTTTTTATGCCGTTTTAGGAAGTTGCAATTGATCACTTCAAAAATTGGACTTGCACCTTCACTCTCAAACTGATGGCATTTTGTTCTCAAGTTAGATCCAAATATCACAGGAGAATGGGGTGGGGGACTGTGAAAAGCACAAGGAGTGGACTGTACTGGGCCCCATCCATACATTTCCTGGGTTTACTTGGCCTTACCTGCTTCCCCTTCTGCTCAATGGAGAGGGCAGCCAGTGCCACCACTGTCCCATCTCCTAACGCCACTGTCTTTTGCAGCCTCCCCCAGGTAAGAGCTGAGCTTCAGCCCGGCCTCCATCATGTACACCATGAAAGGGGCCATGGCAGCAGCGGGGGCCAGGCCCAGATGACTGGAGTCATGGAGAACCTGCAGAATCTGTGCTTATCCCTGCAACCTCAGATTTAGAACAGTCAGAGGTCCTGGCTTGTAGACAGTACAACTCCCACTAATGAACACAGTAAGGATTCCACTCTACTGGAAGCTATGACTCTGACCCGAGCATCACAGAATCCTGACCTAGGACCTACCACCAACTGTATACTCAGAGGATTGAGTATACTCCCCACACCATGGGGAGGGGGTCTGGCTTGCCCAGTAGTTGTCAGTGGGGAGCAAGGACCATGACCTGAAAGTGGAGGAGGGTGTTAACTTCCTGTGGGATGAACTTTGATCAATGACAGGATCTGAAAAGATCTGGTGGATTATTTATCTCCCTTTCTCCATCCATATGGCTTACTGACATATGTCTTGTGTGACCGAACAACTGGCTGTGTTCCCTGGCAAAACTGTGGCCACTTCAGCACCGCACATGATGTGCTTTCCTTCCTTCCCTGCCTTCTTTCCTAATTTCCCCTGCTCTTTCTAACCTGGGATTGCACCCCTAAAATGTGCTGCTACATGAGCTTTGCTTCAGGCCCCCTTTTCTAGGGAACCCAGGCTTAGACAGGTTCTTAGAGGTTTCCTGGGCTCCAGAGGCTATGACCACATGCATCAGATGAAGTGGAACACCATGGCAACCAGGATATTTTATGCCCGAAACATCTGTATAACTGTGGATAATTGAAAGGGGAAGCTCCTTAAGAATCCAGATGGTTTTCCTTGGCCTCCACTTTTCCGTGAATACAGGTGGGTTCTAGGTGGGGAGAGTTTCATGCTGGTCGGGAGCATGGACTCTTGAGTCATAGTGCTTGGTTCTCACTAACTACACAATCTTCGGGGAATTTCCTAAACTTTGAGGCCTGACTCTTTTCCCCTTTCTATTAGGGATTAGAATAGTATTTATTAGATATAATTAGATCACAGAGTTCCTGGAAGGATTAGCTGAGATATTTCATATAAACACTTAGCCTGGCACAATATAACTGCTCACAGAAAAAAAAAAAGTCTATCTCTAAATATTTTGAAGGATAGAGGGGCAAAGATGCCTCTCTTTTACATGAGTACTAATTGGCTTCAAGGATCTTGATGAGCAAAACACAAAGAAAGTGACTAGTAAAGGAACACTTATTATTAAACCTTAAAGTTATGAAGGCTGATTTTTTTAAATGCTGCAAATAAACAGAGTTATTTTAAAAGACATTGGTATTATCCAATTTGTTCATTTCCTGAACTTGAATTAAAGTTACTTGTCAGTGCGCGTTTTGTAGGTCAGCTGTGAATCTGTCCAGACAGGATATCTTCCTTATTGACCAGGTGTGGGGGAGGGGGAACCCCAAGTCTCTTCTAGGATTCATCCAAGACGTCACTTGTCCTTCTGAGGTTTGTCCCTCACCTCCGTCAGTATTCTAAGAGCTGAGCAGGATTCATTACCTGGGGTTGTGTGGACAGATCTGCCTTGCCCCAAACTGTGAGTTAGTTCTTTCCCCAAGAATACTTTGGTCCAAATCTCTGAAGCTAGATATTTGGACAGGGAGGTGGGGGGCAGGGGAGTCAGAAAGAAGCCCAGATTTTTAACTTCCCTTTAAAACCATCCGTGTCTCCTCTGTCTTGCCATCCTTCCCGAAACCCTAAAAAAAGGACCAACATTTTGAAAAAACTTATCAAGTCTGGGCTTGCTTCGTGGCCACAGCCTGGTCGTTGCCATTTTCCTACGTCAAAAGAGAATCCAGATAGATCCGATCCAAGAGAGCATTTGGTGGAACTGCTTGGCTAGCCTCTCCTTTGGTCAGAACAGTCAAGTCCAAATGCCAGCCCAGCCGGGAGAGCCAGCTCCGTCTCCTCGATTCCGCCGAGCACCAACACACGCTGGGTCACGCAGAAGCTGTGGGAGGAAGGAGATGGGTCCAGCTCCCCAAGACCTCACCTTCTAATGGAGGAAGGAGAAACAGACCTAACCCAGAAAATGCCAATAGGGCCATTTCTCTTTCTTGGTGAAACCTCCCAGAAGTCCCAGCCTGGGCAACATGGCGAGACCCCGTCTCTACAAAAAATAAAAATAAAAAAATTAGCCAGGTGCAGTGATGTGTGCTTGGGAGGCAAAGGCAGGAGGATAGCTTGAGCCTGGGAGTTCAAGGCTGCAGTGAGCTACAGTCATGCCTGTACTCCAGCCTGGGTGACAGAATGAGACCCTGTTTCAAAAAAATTAAATTTAATTAAAAAAAAATCTTCCTGGACGACTCCCTAACACAGCACAGGAGCACCCAACCCTGGCACTCCAACCATTGCCCCGTCTACCTTGACCTGCAGTTCCCCGCTGGCACCCTACTGTTTCCCACCTCCCTGCCCTTGCTCCCCTCCCTAGATCCCCTTCCCCTCTTGTCATCTTGGCTAATTGCCACACAGCCATCCCAGACTCCCTTCTCTGGATCCTCCCCACCCCTCCATCATGGCACCTTATCACACTAGACTCTGTTATGACACCATAACATATTGTTGGCAGGGAGGTGGCAGGCTGTGGTGTTAGTAGAAAGAACTCTGATTTAGATGTCACTTGAATCTGGGTCCAATCTGGGACGTTCCCTTAACCTCTCTGAGACTCAGTGTCCTTGACTGTAAAATGAGGAGGCTGATATGTGCCTTGCTGGGCTGTAGTGGGAAGTATTAGAAGTATGTCAAACTTTGAGCCCAGCAGGTTGGGGGAAATCACGTCCACTTTATCTAATTGCACTTCTGTCTCCTTTCCTAACTGTGAGAGCACTGGGGTAGGGGCTTTTTAAATTTCTCTTTGAGTTCAGACATCTGGCAGCACCCAACGTGTAATAGGAGCTCCGTAAAGAATTGTGAGCAACTGCTGAAGTGTTATTAAATGAATAAGGCCAGTGCTACCGGACCTCTAGGGAAGGGTCCCCCTCACCTCTCCAACCCCACCTGCTCCATATCTGCTATTACTCCTCCTCTAGACTCCTTGCTATTTCTGAAACCCTCAAGCCTGAGTCTGCCTTGGGACCTCAGCCTGGGTGTTCCCTCCTCCTTGAATGCTTTTCCCCACAGATCAGCAGGGCCCTCTCCCTCCCTCTTTCAAGACTTGGCTCACAGGTCACTTTTTCAACAAGATCCACCCTGACCATTCTATTTAAAATCTCAGCCCCCACCACTGGCCCCATTCTCCTTACTTTATTTTATTTTTCTCTCTAGTACTTATTGCTTCCCAATTACATACTTAATTTTACTCATTTCCTTTGGTTATTATGAGTCTGCCCTCACTAGAATGTAAGCTCCATGAGGGCAGGGGCTTCAGGCCCCTTTGTTCATTGCCTGCAGAGGACGCTTTGCATTCCATGGCATATGCCCTCCCCCCACCTCGGTTTTGGTGGCAGCCATGATGGGCAGTTCCTCTGGAGTCCCCCACCCTAACCTCCTGCCGTGCCTTCTCTGCTCTTCTGCCTGAGAGCTGAGGAAACCCGCTTAGCAGGCGAAAGCAGAAATGTAGGAGGCGACACCTCCAGAGTAGTCTGAACAATAGGGCAGTATTGAGGGGCAGTTCTACGCCTCACTCTACACAGTGATTTGGGGGTCCCCCAAAGGGGACTGAGGTCCCATCACCCACAGCAGTAACTGGCTCCTTAACGCAAACTGACCTGGCCTCCCCTGCCCTGGCTTCTTCTCCCTTCTTCCTGCTTCTGGGCTCACCTCCCAAACAAATCACCTACACCAAAGTCCTTGTCTCATGCTCTGCTATTGGGAGAACCCAAACAAAAAGGCCAACCACCATACTCCAGGAGCCTAGGGCAGCGCCTGACCTACGGTGACCGCCTGGTACATATTTGTTGAAGGAATGAATGGAAATAGGGTAATTTACAAAGTTCTACATTTTGTGTCTTGCCTTGTGATTACATGTTTGAGTGGCTTTTTCATCACAGGGAGACCTTGCTGAACTCTGTGTCTTTTTGTTTACAATAGGATTTTCACGGAATGGCCTCTGCCTGGAAACCTGTCTGGCTCTGAGCTTTGTAGATATTTCAGGGAATGAGGGTTTTGCCATTTACTTTAGTCAGAAATGTCAGAAGCTTCCAGGAGCTTGAAGATCTGCTGCTCACACCAGCACTGAGCAGCCCAGCACACAGATTTTCTTTGTAACTTTTCCAGGAGCACGCCTTTCTCAGCGCCTGATGTAGAAGGATTCACTTAGCCGGACAGTCCCTGATTTATGGTTGCAATAACTTTGCTTATTTAGGCACTCAACAAACATGGAGAGAATGCAGATTCTGTGCCAGGCTGTGGGTACTGGGGATCAGAATTGCCTGAAACAGGGGCCCTGCCCATTCTTCACTAGCTCCAGTCCAGTGGGGAAGACAGAGAAGGAAAGAGCTGCTTATAATATGTATGGTGTGGGACAGAAGTGAGCACAGGCAGCAAGCACACCGGAAGAGCCCGATGCTTTCAGTGTCCTGGTGCGATTGTACTTCCTGCTTGAAGTTGACCAAACTTCAAGCAGGAGTAGGGAGGCTGATGTTGACCAAAGTTCAGCAGGAGTAGGGAGGCTGATGATTTAACACATTTTGCAGTTGTCACCTCCTGCCTTTGCATGTGCAGTTTCCTCTGTCTGGAAGACTTTGCCATCTGCCTTCTTGGCAAAGTCCTAGTCATCCTTCAAATCCAGCTCACATCACTCTGCCCAGGAAGCACCCCCTCCCCTAGCCCAACCCCACACCAAGCCAACCCCATCTCCTCTGCTCTGTGAGCAGTCTGTGTCTAGGCACTCGTACAGCTGCCTTTTTCAGCCTCCTGTGTGATTATGAAATCAGTGAGGAATTGGGAGGCTGATGATCTAAGAGAAAAATATGTTGACTCTGGCGTCAAACAGAGCTGGGTCTGAGTTACTCCTAGTACTGTTATTTCCTGGCTGTGTTCTTGGACACACCTGGAGGACAGAGCAGGAACATACAAGAGATGAGGCTGCAGGAGGGGAAGACTCCACCATAGTGGGCCTTGTGAGCCATCCTCAGAAGACATTTGGAATGATTCTGGGGGCAGAGGAGAGGCACCGAGCAGGTTGAAGCAAGAGAGTGGCATTGAGTATTTGTGTAAAGACCATGCTCGCAGTGTTGGGGAGGAGGGGTAGGGTGAAGCGGGTGTGATAGATAGAAGGCAGATGCGCTGAGTGCTGGCTGAGAGACTGGACTTGGAGTCACATGGTCTAGGTTTGAATGACAGCTTCTGTCTAGGCATATGATCTTGGGCAATCCACTTAAATCCCCTGGACCTCAGTTTCTCCATTTGTAAGATGGGAATAATAATGTTACTTGCTTTGCCTAGGAAGATCACAAGAGAACATAAATAGGAATGGGTTTTGTAAACTTTAAAATACCATGTAAATACCAGACATGATCCATAATGCCTAGAGGCTTAAACATGGTAGAAGTTTATTTCTCTCTCCGGTAAAAGGAAGTCTGGGGCTGGTGGGGTGCTTCATAGAACAGGGGTCAGGCTTTTTCTAGCTTGTCGATCTGCCATCCTCACCACATAGGGGTCTTTATACCTCATGGTCCAACATAGCTGCTCAAACTCCAGCCATCATATCCTCATGCCAGCTGGCAGAAAAAAGGAACAGAGAAAGGAAGGTCGATTCCTTCCTTTAAGAGCACTTTCTGCAAGTCTGAAATGACACTTTTGCTCACATCCTATTGGCCTGTGCACAGTTACACGACGACACCAAGCTACAAGGGAGGCTGTGAAACACATTTCCTATTCAGGGCAACCATGTGTCCAGCTTAAAATCAGAGGTCCCATTCCTAATGAATTACAGAGATGGATGCTGGGGACAACCAGACACCTAGCAATTTCTGTTGCATCTTTTAATGATTTGCACTGTGGAGCTTCAGTCATACTCCAAACAGAGACACTTGCCTCCTTACGGGGAGTTTTAAAAGGCCCATCCTGTTGACAAAATCATGATGAGCAAAGACAGAGAGCAGCCTAGTGGAGCTTAGGTCAAAGAGGCAGGGGGCTGAGGGCCCCACAGCAGCAGCTGGCCATGGTGGATCACTGGGAGAGAAGCAAAGGCTTTATACCAGCCTTCTGATGAGGACACTGAGCTCTGAGAGACAGGGGAAGAAACCCCTAATCAAGAAGCAGCCATCCCATGCAGACGGTGTGGGACCAGAAGACTCAGGACACACAAGGATGTCTCCCTGGAAGACCAGAGCCTTTCTCTCAGCCTCTCTGCAGATCCTTTGTGGATGGAACAGAAGGCTGGGACCAGACACCCCTAGACCTCCCCTGAACCCATGGTCCGTACCTGAGCATAGAGAATGTTTTTAAAGAGCCCCAGAGTAAATAATTCCATCTATGTATGTTTATTTCCAGGTTCTTAGAATGCATAGGTCCTACCAGGAGATAGAATTAAGATGCTGATACCTAGAGTAAGTAAATCAGCTGATCATAATGACTAATATTTATTGGCTGTTTACTAAGCGCCACGCTCTGTTCTAAAGATATAACACTATTAACTCCTTAAATCTTCATGGCAACCTTAGAAGGAAACTGTGATGATTGCCACCATTTTATAGATGAGGAAACAGGCCAAGGGAGGTGAGGCGGCGTGGCAGGCCCCGTGTTTGCCCCCTTGCTGCATCCACCCTTTGCCATGTGACTTGGCACTGCCCCTTCCTGTGCCTCGATTCTGGGCCCCTGGGCCCTGTGTTGGACCAATGGCATGTTGGTAGGTGTGATGCACACAGAGCTGGAGAGTGCTTGGGAGCTGGGTTTGCTTGTTTTTGCTTCTCTGTTCACGGCCATGTGAAGAATGTGCCCCAGCCAGCCTGCCAGAGGTGAAAGACACATAGAACGGGGTCGAGTTGCTCAGGTCATCCCAGCTGAGGCCACCCTAGCTCGGCCATGCACCAGCAGAACCTCAGACCTGTGGGCGAACCCAGCCAAGATCAGCAAAGCTGCTGAACCCACCCGCAACACCCTGCAGGTGCATGAGCAAGCACACCTGGACCAACAGAGCCTGCCTAGACCAAAGGGATCCCACCGACTTGTGAGCTAAGTAAATACGTCTCTTCATACACCACTGCAGTTTTGCAGCATGGTTGAAGCAGTAGATCACAGATGCAAGAGATGACATAACCTTCCAGCTAATCGTTGGTGTTCCATGATCTCAACCCAGGCAGTCTGACTGCAGAACCCACACTGTTAGACACTATTCTATGTTAGGAGTTGGCGACCTATGACCTGCAGGCCAAATCTAGCTTACCACCAGTTTTTATAGCCCATATCTAAGAAGGGTTATGACAGATGAATATTCTTTTGTTTGATGATGGAGAACATTATCTTTAAACCACAATTAGGCAAAATGCTATCCCATAAAAAAGAATTCCATTTTTCTCATTAGTAGACCTATATAATAAAATATTGTACTTAGTTATTATGTTTTAAATTTCATCAATAATAATTTATGGAAATTTGTTCTGTCTTGTTATGTAAGTGTCTGCATAATATCCTTGATTCTGCCTCTTGGCCTGCACAGCCTAAAATACTTACTATCTGGTCCTCTGCAGAACAAGTATGCTGACTCCTGCTCTTTTTGATGGGATATTTCATCTTTGAATTTTGTTCTCAAGCCAAGAAATGGAAGGAATCAGACTGTTAAGAGCTGGAAAGGCCCTCGGAGGTCTTCTAAACCAAACTCAGAAGCAGAATTTGACCCCAGACCATTGGTCCCTTGGCCTCCAGCTCTTCTGTTGCTCTCTAGAGAGTCTGATAACAGCTGGATCTGTCTAAAGGCCTCCACATCTTCAACTGGAGGGTTCTTGGATCCAAAGGTCTCCTCCCCTAGTCTCCCTTCCAAGAGCTCTCACTCATGTGAGCGTGGATGATTCACCATGTCTTACTCCAGCTCTGCCCCAAGCCATCTCACATGAATCTGTGCCGTGTGCCTCTGTGATAATTAAAAAATCTGAGCGTTTAAGACGATTTGTATTGGAGACGATGGAGAAATTCTCTCCTGAAGAGTTTCACAATCTGGCCTCATTAGAAAGGAGAAATGGAATGGGAGAATTAAAGAGAAAACTCATCTCTTCCCTGAGTGTGTTAATGAGCTGAGCCACAGGAGGCCATGTGTAAGTCGGGCTGCAGGCCGCTGTAAATTAAATTTATTACGTGCCAAGGGATTCTAATAAACATTACTTAAAAATAGCAATAGACAGTCATTTGTATTATGTCATGTGACCTGGTTATGGCGACACTTTTGTGCCTCTGCTATTAATCAGAGTTAGTTTGAGAGGCCGTCGGTAAATTCTTCTAGAGCTACTGGCACCTTCCACTTAATTAAGATTGCTCTGGGCCGGGCGCGGTGGCTCATGCCTGTAATCCCAGCACTTTGGGAGGCCGAGGCGGGCGGATCACGAGGTCAGGAGATCGAGACCATCCCGGCTAAAACGGTGAAACCCCGTCTCTACTAAAAATACAAAAAAAATTAGCCGGGCGTAGTGGCGGGCGCCTGTAGTCCCAGCTACTTGGGAGGCTGAGGCAGGAGAATGGCGTGAACCCGGGAGGCGGAGCTTGCAGTGAGCCGAGATCCCGCCACTGCACTCCAGCCTGGGCGACAGAGCGAGACTCCGTCTCAAAAAAAAAAAAAAAGATTGCTCTGGAAAAAAGCAGGGTGAGTCAAAAATAGTCATAGTGTATATCATTGCACCCTAGAGCCCCTCCTTGCTCATTAAGTGATGTTTATTAGACTTTCCAAGGGGGAAAAACCTAAAAGAAAAGTGTCACTTTGTTTAATAAAATCTCAGACCCTGGAAGGTGAGCATTGGAGGGCAATTTCTTAACGGGGAAGTTATCTCTGAGCGCCTTCTGGGAGAAAGTGGCGTTAATCACTGCTGGCCCCACTCCAGCCTCACGGGGGCGCTGCTTGCTCCATACGCCTGTGGCCCCAGGATGGACTAAGGTGCTTTCTCTTAGACCCTGTTAACATAGAATGGAATCTCGTTTACAGTGCTCAGAATTAGCTTTGGCAACTACCACATCTGAGCGTGTCATTCCCTCATTTAAACTCTCCTGGTTTGTTGCAGTCTGTGATCTAACCCCTGCCCGCTCTTACAGCTGTGTTCCCACTCCCCAACTGTCCACATGCACCCCTGACCCACCATAGAAGGAGATGCATTCTTCTTGGTGAGACCTTGGGATTTGGAATCAGACCTAAGTTTGAATCTTCGTCCTGTCATTTGTTAGCTGGGCAACCACAGGCAAATAATTGAACCTCTCACCTCCATTTTTTTATCTGCAGAATGGGGTTAGTTATCTCTGCCCCAAAATGTTGCTATGAGGATTATATGAAATGATCCATGTGAGGTCTGGGCACTTGGAAAAATTCTTCAGAAATGTTATTTATTTTTATTTTTTAGAGACAGGGTCTCACTATGTTGCCTAGGCTGCTCTGGAACTCTTGGGCCCAAGGGATCCTCCTGTCTTGGCCTCCCAAAGTACTGGGATCACAGGCATGGACCACTGCACCTGGCCTAGAAATGTTAAAAAAAGCAAAAAATCACAAACAAACAAACAAAGAAACACCAAATCCAGAAAGTTAGCTGGACATGGTGGTGTGCACTTGTAATCTCAACTACTCGGGAGGCCGAGATGGGAAGATCAGGGCTGCAGTGAGCCTGGATTGTGCCACTGCACTCCAGCCTGGGAAACAGTGAAACCCTGTCTCCACAAAAAAAAAAAAAAGAAAAAAAAAAGGAAAAAGAAAACAACAACAAAAAGCTGTAGCAGTAGTGCCTTAGCAACATTGTTTCATTTTATTTCTTTCAAGCACTTCCCTTGGACAAAACAACCTTACCCCTTATTTCCTCTCATTAATGAGTTTTCCTCCTTTGCATCTTTCAGCCCAAGCATCAATTTTCTGAGAAGACTTCCTGGACCCCTGTCTCATTTAGAGTCCCCTCTTCTGGGCTCCCGTCCTGTTCCATCCTGGGACACCATGCTCTTGCCCTCATCAATGCTCCCTAATTGCCGATGCCTTTGTCTGGGACTGCCAGGCAGAGGCTCAAGGTTTTTGAGGGCTGAGATCATGTCTGGTTTACCTTTGCTTCCCAGTGTCTGTTGCATATGAAGCGCTCAAAGTGTCTATTGAATAAAAGAAACAGCAGAGCATGGCATGAATCTAGAAAATGAGGCCTACGAGCAAGGTGGCTGAAGCTCACCGTCTTAGTTTGGGTCCCCCTGAAAGTAGAGCCTGAGGCAAGACACTGGGTGAAGGGAGTTTATTCTGAAGGTGAGAGAACAGGGAGAGAGACAGGCAAGGAGAAAAAAAGCAAGAACGAGTGCTTTCTTGAGCTGGCTATTGCTGTGGGCAGCTGGGCTTCAGTTACTCTGGGTGCCCCCAAGGAACTCTGGGAGGGGAGCCTAAGGCATGGATTCGCTGACTGCCATGCCGTTGCTAGGGGTTGTTGACCCCTCTGCACTCTGGGCTGCCCTACATTTGGGCCAAGCCTGCAGCAGGCAGGGAAGCCAAGATGTGGCTGGTCCTGGAGGTGGGACTCTGCCCGCAGGCTTGGGAGCTGTCTGCTATAGCTGCAGCTGACCTCAGAGGTGGCTGAGGGGATGTCAGGCAGACCCTAAAAGACCCAATGACATTTACTCATTTCCAGTTTGGGTTCCATTCCAGGTGCCTTTTGTGTCAACCTCAGTCTTACTTCATGTGGTAGGCACTTTTGTGGGGTCCCCCCAGTTTAGGAGAGTATGGTTGGACATCTGGATGCCTCTAAATCTGAAACTTAGAGACGGATGTGGCCTCTTCTCTTTGGCCGCCAATTCCACTTCCACCTTGGGAATGTTGCCTGTGGGAACCAGCCTCCAAGATGGCCCCAGTGATTTTTGCCTCCTGGTATTCATGCACTTGTGTAGTCTCCTCCTACACTGAGTCAGGGCTTGCCTGTGTCGCCAACAGAATGTGGTGGAGGTAACAGTGTCTGACTTCTAAGGCTAAGTCATAGGAGATATTGCATCTTGGCCTCTTGGAGATCTTACTCTGGGGGAAGCCAGCTGCCATGCCATGATAGCACACAGGCAGCTCCATGGAGAAGTCCCTGTGGAGGAAACCCAAGGCCCCCTGGGCCAACAGCCAATGCTGACTTGCCAGCCATGTGAGTGGTCTGCCTTAGATGACAGCCCCAGTAGATGTCTGCCTGCACCTTCATGAGAGACTCCAAGCAAGAACTGCTCCACTGAGCCCTTGCCTGATTCCTGACCCACAGAATCCATGAGCATAACAAATGGCTGTTTCATGCTACTATATTTTGATTTGCAGCCATAGTAACTAGAACACCCTATGCTTCTTGGAGGACCTCAGCTTCTCTCTAAAGGAATATGGCTTTTCTTATGTAGCTTTAACAAGTAACCATGACTCAACATGGACCTTCCCAACTGCAGCAAGAGACATACCTGTGATGTTTCCATGTGATCCCACCTTTTATAAAGGCTCAGAGGACAGTGTGAAGAGGTGAACTGGGGAAGCAGCTCAAGATGCTGGCAGTCACCAAGCCAATTAAAGTAAATGATTGATCAGTTATTCGGTGGAGTTCATCACCGCGAGTGGTCACATAGAGAATTCATGTCCTAACCTATGCAGGCTTGGCCATGAGGCTGACTGGGAACTCAGTCATGAACTTGAGGAAGGGGAGGAAACCCAAGCTGCACTGGCCTGCTGGGCTGGCCCCCAAAGGGCAGTTCCCAAAATCCACACCAGGCAGCCAGGTATTATTAGAATGAACCTGGAGCTGGTGTGGGCAGTGTTGGTGCCCAGGAGAATCTAACTTGGTAGGTAGACCTGGTGACCAGCAGCCTCAGCTCTGGAAGGCAGGCTGGATGCGGTCCTAGGTTCCGTCCATGAGGGACACAGTATTTAGTTGTCTGACTGGGGGCTCACAGTCTCTACCAGTGGACCGGTTTTCTAGGACTAAATCTTAATTCCCCAAACTAGTATAGGGATCTTGCCATACAAAATGACATATACCTATGAAAAGTGATCCAAATAGGGCCTGACACATGGTGAGCTCTTAATAAGGGTTAGCAATGATGGTGACGAGGAGGAGGAGGAGGAAGAGAAGGAAAAGGAAGAAGTGGGGGAGACCTGGCCAGTGCAATGAGGTTGGGGAAGAAGGGCCATGCAGCTCCCGGGTGCCATGCTCCAGGGCACACCATTCCTGGCCTGGGCCATAAGCGCAGTCATAGTTTCCACCTGCCAGTGGGTCTGCCTTGGCCAGGACTGGCTGAGCATCTGGGGTACAGCCCCCTTTCCTGGGAAGGTGACTGTTGGAGTGGGGAGAACTGGAAGCTGGGACTCCCACTCTCATGCATTATGAGAATGGATGGGACAAGGAAAAAAGAAGCCCAGAATTTACATCCAAGGAAGGGCTGACTCAGGATGAAACAGGCTGTGAACGTGGAGGAAGGACAGAGAGAGTAAGGCCTGGATCAAAATGAGGTTTTCCTAGGGGAGGAGAGCAAGAGGAGAGAGAGGGCTTAGATGACCAATGAAGTTCAAATGACAAGTCTGGTCTTAAATCCCTGCTCTTTTCAGAGGAAGAGAGTCAGTGTCTTTTATTTATTTATTTTTTTGTTAACAGAGTCTTAGTCTGTCACCCAGCCTGGAATGCAGTGGCATGAGCGCTGCTCTGCCCCTCAGGCTCAAGCCATCCTCCTGCCTCAGCCCCCTAAGTAGAACACCACCATGCCTGGCACATTTTTGTACTTTTTGTAGAGACGAAGTTTTGCCATGTTGCCCAGGTTGGTCTCGAACTCCTGAGCTCAAGTGATCCTTCCACCTAGGCCTCCCAAAACGTTGTGATTACAGGTGTGAGCCACTGCTCCCAGCTGGGGTGCTATGACTCAGCATGGTGGGAGCCTGATCCCTGGCAAATCGATTGTAGCTGGACTTATCTTGATCAACATACCCAAGCAGCTGAAAGTCAGCATTTTATCATGGAGAATTCCAAGAAAAGTTTCAGCGGGTTCTCTAACACTTCTCCAACTCTGAAGAGAACAGATCTTGAGCTCTCCTTTCCCAAAGTGTTTTATTTTGCTTTCCCAGGGGCAGTGGTGTCAAGGCTAGGGTTCCAAGTGGCTGCACGACCTGAGGCCTTTGTGGGTTCTTCCACTGGGAGCTGCTCCCGATCTGCACACCTGCCTCAGCTGACGGTGGGGTGGCACTCTGGAAGTGAAGGCATGTCAGCAACAAGGTGGGTGGGAAGCATCTCATGGGTCCAGCCAAGGCAGAAGAGGCAATGCATGGTTTTGTATTGCGGGATCTGGCCAGCAGCCCACAATGCAACGGGGCTCTCTCTTTGTTCCCAGGCGGATTGGCAGGTCGAGAAATAATAGACACACACAAGATAGTGAAAGCTGGGTCCAGGGGGGTCACCGCCTTCTGGTCCTGCAATGCCGCCAATGCACTGTATATGCCAGCATTTATTATTAAGTTTAGTGAGGGCAGGGATAGGTTAGTGAGGGATTTAGGGTCATTTGATTATGAGGTGAGATGGTCACATGGGGATGAAGTAATTCTTTAACATAACATCTGTATGCAGAAGTACAGTATACAGGGATAAGAATTTACAATGTAGTGTGTGCATCAGTAATTTCTAACAGAGCCTTAAAACAGAAACACAGTCTTTCCATAACCTATGATTAGCAAGGTATTAATCAGCAGTAACAGTTGCAGTATTAATCAGCAGTAACAGTTGCAGTAAAAGCTGGTTACAAACAATCCATAGAAACAGGAAGTGAAGCTAGACAACCGGTTAGATCAGAAACTCTCAGAAAGGAGTATGCCTTAACCCTAAAGAGGCCTAGAAGAGCCGTGGCAAAATGAGGGCATTTATAGCCCTATCTTATCCATATGAACAGGCAGCCCTCATGCGTCTGTTTATAGGCTCTTCACAAGGGTCGCATTCCATTCCCAGAGCTATGAACATCTGCTTTTCTGGGATAGGAATCTTGGTGATGTGAAACCTCCCTGACTGCACGTCCATTCATAGGCTCTCTGCAGGGGGAAGCACATCACATGCTGTTGGCTCATTCTGGCAGTCCAACCTGGCATTGTCTGTACACAATCCTGCATACAATTTTGTATTTACAATAATCAGGAGCATTTCATCTTCTATTCTGTAGCAATAGTTTCAGGGGGTCTCCCTACAGTTTTGGAGACAGTGAGACTAGTATCCTGGCTCTATAAATGCATAGCTCATATGATAGTCATTCACTCCTTAATTAGACAAATGTTTCTTGGCCTGCTGAGGGCCTGGCTTTGTGGTGGGCAATGGGAATAATACAAACAACAGCAGTTATTAAGCCCTTATGTACCACACATTTTATTGAGCCCTTGTGCCGTGCATTTTACATTTACTAACTCATTTAAACATATGGAACCAAGCAAGACATGGGTTGCTCACAGTGTAGATGGAAGGTCAGGGCAGAAAACAGGCAAGGACAATGCAGTGTATACAGCTTCAGGGTGGGATCTGTGGTATGAATATACTCCCTAAAATTCACATGCTAGAAACTAAATCCCAAATGCAACAATGCAGGGAGGTGGGGCCTCATGGGAGGTGTTTAGATCGTGAGGGCTCTGTCCTCATGAATGGATTAATGCCACTATAAAAAGGGCTTGTGGGAGTGAGTTCTTTTTCTCTTCTGCTCTTCTTCCATATGAAGACACAGTGTTCCTCCCCTCTGGAGGATGTGGCATTCAAGGTGCCATCTTGGAAGCAGAGAATATACACTCTTTAGACACCAGATGCTGATGCCTTGATCTTGGACTTCCCAGCCTTCAGAACTGTGAGAAAAAAAAAGTTTCTGTTCTTGTTAATTACCCAGTCCCAGATATTCTGTGACAGCAACACAAAAAAGAACTAAGACCTGGGGTTAAAGGCAAGGGAGCTGTGGGGCTCAGGAGGTCCCCTGAGTCAGCTCAAGGGGTGCAGCAGGCCAGGAAGATGATATCTTACCTCAACCAAATGGTAACCAGGAGTGAACCAGTCAGAGAAGGAGGCAGAGGATGGACACAGGTCTGGGGACAAGGGACAGCAGGTCCATTTGGAAGCTGCAGGTTACTGACCCTCTCAGGGGCTCAGGTCCTTTATGTGTGAACTGGCACTGATATTTACCACACAGCATTGTTTTGAGTACTGAAAGGAGATAATGTATGTCAGTGGCTGATGTGCGGTCTGGCTTCTGGCTCCCTCTGGCCCTCAACAAGTGACATCTGTCATTACAACTGTGGTGTTGACCCACCTCACTTCCTCCCAGATCTCCTTGATCACCCCACCCCCTTACCCATCCAGCACCTGTTAAGGTCACTCTGTCACATATAGTCATGTCCTATTTAAAAGAGCCATGAGATCCTTGGTGTGACAGATGGGGTCAGGACACCCATCCATGGAGGCAGAGAGCAGAGCTGAGTGCCATGAACAGTCAGCCAAAAAGGGTACTGAGCAAAGAGTCAGCAAGACTGGGCATTTTCCTACCATTCATGTGACTGTGGGTAAGTCCATCAGCTCCCTAAGCCTCCCTTTCCTCCCTTGTCAAATGAGAATGACAATACCTGTCTTTCAGGGTTGATGAGGATTAAATGGGACAGCATGCTTAATGCCTGGAATATCATAATCCTTCAATACACTAGTTTTTGCCTTTATCAGAATGATCCTCATCATCCTCACCATGACCAATATCTGCCTCAGAAGTTCACTGGAAAGAACGGTCAACTAGGATTTGAATACCTGAGTTACAGGGGAGTGAGAGGGTTGAGAACAATTTCAGATATGACAGCACTGGATGAGGAGAGAAGTCTAATGGCCACACAGGGTGTGCATGGTCTCACGGCAGGAATGGTGACTAATAATGAGACATTGATGCTGTGAAAATCAAATGTCAGTCGCTTATTAGGAGCAAAGCACAACTGCATTCACACAACGCCTAATACAAGCAATGCTTAATGCAGCGTAAGCTTTAATTATAACTAGTTTTACAGGACTGGTTGTAACTAGTTTTACAGGGCTAGAGCCACAGGGGACTCCAGGTTTGCGGTGAAACTCTACCAGGTTACAGACTGTAATAAATCGCGCTGTCTGTGTGATTTAGAGAAGGGTAGCTTCAGCCGTATGCAGTAAATGAGCATTGGGGACCTACTATGAGCCAGAGACACAGAGCTGAATATAACATGCCCCTGCTTTGTAGGATACATAGTCTAGCAGGGAAGAGTAGGAGTAAGATAGCACAATAATGTAGGGTTGAGAGGGAAGCCCAAGGTGTGGAGGGTCGCAGAAAAGGGGCAACCAACTCTAGATGTAGTTATCAGAAAGAGCTTCCTGTGGGAGACATGTTTCATGAGCCTAATTTCAAAAGCCAGTAGCAGCTACCTTTCAGTAAGCACCTACTATGAACAGGCTCCTCATGTGCATTATCTTGTTTGATGTCTATAACAATCCTGCAAGGTAGTTGCCATTGTCCCTGTAATATATGAGGGGAAATGATCCAAAGATGTTAATTTGCCTAAGGTCACACAAGTAAAGGGCAGAGAACCTGGGATTTGAACCTCTGTGTGCTCCATAGTTAAGTAAAAAAGAGTCAAAAAGAGCAGACCCAGAAATGACCCACATGTTGGAGTGTTGCAGTAGGCAGACAAGAACATAAAGAAGTTATTACATATATTTTCAGGGACTTAAACCAAAAGACGGTCGTATGGAGTAAACAGATGAGGAATCTCAGCAGAGAAATGGAAACAAAAAATCACGTTGTGATGGATGATACGTATATTTTGGTTTTCATCCATGATTCCTGGCTGTAAGCTCTTGTAAGCCTTGTTATTTCCTAAGTGACTACAGCAGTAAAAATATTTTTTGTTAAGATATTTGGTCTTTGTCCTTGGTTCCTGAAGTACCTCCTGAATGATAAAGGTGAAAGATAATCTTTTGCTATTTTCTATTTTTTTTCAAAAACGTCTGTTCTTATGTTAATGACATGATTTTTGGAAAACCCCTAGAAACCACAAGACGGGGGAACTGGTTGCAAGAGAAATGGCCATGTGCCTAGAGAAGTGTAATTTTTAGTTCCATCCCCCAACCTCTGGGGAGCAGAGAGGGGGCTGAAAATTAAGTTGATCACCAGTGGTCAATGATTCAATCAATCATGCCTATGTAATGAAGTCTCCATAAAACCCAAAAGGACAGGGATCGGAGAGGTTGCAAATAGCCAAATGCATGGGGGCTTACACATTCATGTGCCAGGAGGGTGGTGCACCCCAACTCCATGATGACGGAAGCTTCTGCACTCAGGGTCCATCCAGACCTCACCCTGTGTATTTTCTCTTCGTGCTGTTTATTTGTATATTTAAAAATATCCTTTGTAAATAAGGTAGTAAACGTAAGTATGTATTTCCCTGAGTTCTGTGAGCTGTAGCAAATTAATTTAACCCAAAGAAGAGGTTATGAGAATCCAGATTTATACCTGGTCAGTCAGAAGCACTGGCAAAAATAACCTGGGGCTTGTGATTGTCACTGGAAGTGTGAAGGGGTGGAGCAGCCTTGGGGACTTGAGCACTCAACCTACGGGATCTGATGCTATCTCCAGGTAGATAGTGTTGGAATTAAACTAGAAAACACTGGGCTGGTGTTTCCTTCAGAATTCATTGCTTGTTTGGTAGGTGGGGAAACATCCTCCAACATTTGGTCACAGAAGTATTCTGTGTTGTGTGAGAGCAGAGGAAAAACAGTTTGTGTGTTTTTTACTTTCTCATATGAATATTTTAGAACTGAAAAATACAAGAAATGAAATACATTCACTGGATGGGCTTAAGATCAGTTTGAAGGAGTCAATGAACTTGCAAACAGATCTTCAGAAATTACCCTATGTGAACAAGGGAGAAAATAATTTTAAAAAGAGCAATATCTGAGTGACCTCTGATCCAGTATCAAGTAGTATAATATACCTGTTGTCTTAGTTCATTTTTGCTACTATTACAGAATACATAGACTGGGTAGTTTATCATTTATTTCTCATGGCTCTGGAGTCTGGGAAGTAAAAGAATGAGGGGCTGGGATCTGGTGAGGGGCTTTTTGCTGTGCTATTCCATGGCAGAAGGTGGAAGGGTAAGAGAGTGTAACTGCCAAATGGGTTCATCTTGCCTGCTGCCCAGATAGAGCTGATTTAGCAAGACAGAAGAATTGCAATAGAGAAAGAGTTTAATTCACTTAGAGCTGGCTAAATGGGAGACTGGGGTTTTATTATTACTCAAATTAGCCTTTCTGAAAATTTGGAGGCTAGGGTTTTTCGAAAGTAGTTTGGTGGGCAAGGGGCTAGGGAATGGGTGCTGCTGACTGGTTGAAGATGCAATCATAGGGGTGTGAAAAATGGTCCTCATGAGGTAAGTCCACTTCCAGGTGGGGGCCATAGGACCAGTGGAGTCAAGAACCGTGGGTCTGGGAGGGGCCATCCAGTTGTCAGAAATGCAAAAGCCTGACATCTCAAAAGGCCAATCTTAGGTTCTACAATAGTGATGTTATTTACAGGAGTAATTGGGGAAGTTGCAAATCTTGTGACCTCCAGAATAGTGTCTGGATTATTATTATACATAACTACGAATTCGGGCCCCTCTCATCCTCCTAACCTGGTGGCCTTTCATTATTTTCCCAAAGGCAGTTTAATTGTTAGGAAAAGGCTGTTATTAAAACGACTAAACTATTCTAAAACTATTAAAACTATAAAATAAATTTCTCCTAAAGTTACCTTGACTCACACCCAGGACCTAAGGGCATTTTGGAGGCTAAAGATAAGACATTAAGTCAGATCTCTTTCACTGTCATAATTTTCTCATTGTTATAATTTTTGCAAAGGCAGCTTCAAGAGTATGTACGCATGTGAGAGAGCAAGGGAGAAAGAGAGAGCAAGAGGAATGCTTTCATAAAACAAATCTATTCTCAGAATAATGAACCCACTCCCTCAATAAAGACATTAATTTATTCATGAGGGAAGAGCTTCTTAAAGGTCTTACCTCTCAATACAATTGTGTTGGGGATTAAGTTTCCAAGACATGAACTTTGGGGGATATATTCAAACCATAACAGCTACACGTAGAGTCTCAGAAAGAAAGGAGAAATAAAACAGGACAGAAATATATTTGAAGAAATAATGGTTTAAAATTTCCCAAATTTGATGAAAAGCATTTCTCAATGGATCCAACAAGCTCAGTAAACCCTAGAAAACTGTACCTAAAAACATCATAGTCAAACTAAGGAGAAGTGTGAAGAATGAGATATACAGTAGTACAAAATTAATTCTAAGTGGACTGTAATGAGTTAACGGTGTATATTAGAATCCCTAGAATAACCAATAAAAATAATAAAAGAAGCATAGCTTGAAAATGAAATAGAGGAAATTAAATAGAATACTAAAAAGCCAATTAATGTAAAGGAAAGCAGGACAAGAGAAATAGAAAAACCAACAAACGAAAATCTGAGACAAATAGAAAAAAAAAATAGCAAGAGTGTAGGCTGAAACCCAACCATAACAATAATTATACTAAATGTAAATGGATGAAACACATCAATTAAAAAGCAGAGATTGTCAGACTGGATAAAATAGCAAGAGCCAACTATATCCTGTCTATAAAAGGTGCCATTTAACTATAAAGACACCTATTCATTTACTTTTAACTAAGATATAAAGTATGCAAATACTAAACAAAGGAAAGCTGAAATGTGACTGTATTAACATTGAACAAAATAGACTTCAGAACAAAGCCTATCGGGGCAAAAGAGGGACATTTCATATGATAAAGAGAAAGTCACAACAATAATAAATGTGTTGGCATATGATAACAGACTTCAAAGTGCATGAAGCAAAAATGGACAGAACTAGAAGAGAAGCAGACACATTCACAATCAGAGTTGGAGATTTTAATGCTTGTTTCTTAGTAACTGATAGTACAAAAAGACTTTGATCTGTGGCACTGGGGAACTTGGGCCTCTTGGAATGAACGTGAAATGAATAAACTATTATCATGACCCGTGTTTGTGGCAAACACTGTGCCAAATTTTCCTATCGGTAAGCATTCTTACCATGATCCTGTGTTATTTCATTTGGTCTTGCCTCATAGTTAATAGTGTCCCTATTCCACTTGAGGAAACTGAGCCTAAGAGAAACAAGGCAATTTGCCCCTGTTGCACAGCCGGGGGTGGGGGTGATAGAGACTAGACAGGAACCAAAATCTTTGTTTTGTGTTCTTTCCACCTCCCCTGATGCCCTGGGGCGTATAGCATTCACTTCTCTTCAAAGCTCTTACAATAGCCTCCAGTGGTCGTAGGGCAGGGATTTATTAATAAAATTTTTAGGCAGAAGCCCAGAAACATTAAGAAACTAATAACCAAAGTGGTCAGACTAGAAACCTTGCTGATGCCCTGGTTCATCTTCCTTTTCAAAGGAAGTTCTTTTTACCTTTCTCTTTTTTATTCCTCAATGACTTGGCCCAGAAACCATTATGTGCCAGGCACTAAGAAGCCCAGCTTGGGGTCCTCCTGGTGGAAGAGAAGTTCTCGTTCATTCCCTGCCATCTACCTGTCCTGCTCCTTGCTGCTCCCCGGTGCACATATATTTTTAATTTCAATTTTCTCTATTCAAAATCTGGGCATTTTTATTAAGCAGGATCTATATACAAAACAAAGAAAGAACTACTACTCCCATCACCAGAGACCAAAGAAATTAAAACAAAGTGGAGAATATAAAGTCCCAAGAGAAATTCCTTCTCAGCCCACACTTAGCCAGACACTATACTGCCACTCAAATTCTCATACACGTGCAACACACACATGCCTTGCACAAAATGCTCAACATATGCTCATAGACACAATCTCTTGCATGCTTGTTACGCACAGGCCTCCACATGTGGCAAACACCCAGGGGCGTGCCTGCACACACACATACACACACACACACATGTTCATACCCTCGAATGAGGGAAATATAGCCAGGATTTCTTCCAGCTTCAGAAAGACTGTGGGCTTGCTTGACTTCTACTCAACGAATTTTTGATGATGCCTTCACCAGCAGGAAAATAATGAATTATTTATCAAATTATTCAATAATTAATAAAAGTCATCACAAAAGGCTGGGCTGAGATATAGCTCTGCATAATTCCTCACTGCCACCCACATATGCTTATGTGTGTGTGTACATATATAAGAAATAGAGAGGCAGAGGTGACAGCTTAAACGAAGCCTCCTATTTAAATTAGCTTTAAAATACGCTGCTCCTGGCCCTGACTCAGTTTCTTGGCTTTTTGTTTCTTCACGCTATTGCCACTGTCAGGAAAACTAAGAGCCACAAAATTCCTCTCTGCAAGCTCCTTCCCCGCTTTGTTTCTGATGAGTTTTGTGCCCGTGATACCACTGAGATTTATCCCAGAGACTCTTTAAATGTGCACCAAAGAAAAATCTATAATAAGAGAAAAGACAGTTAGCTAATACACTATAAAAAAGGTTCACTCCAATGAGTCAAAGAAATGGAAAAGTTGTAAGCACAACAAGGAGATACTACCCTTTGCTTTAAAATTAGGATGGATGTTTAAAAAATACTAACATGGCAGTATTCTGGTGATGGTGCTTCCAGACGAAAACCCTCTCTCGTGGGTAGCTGGGGCAGCATAGGTTGGAACTACTGTTTTTGGGACACGATTTGACAATATGCTTGCAATATTTGTCACTAGTCTTTCAAATATTCATATCTCTGAATCTACACCTGCTTCCAGGACTCGATTCTGAAAAAAATAGCAAATACTTTTACTCAATATAAAGCTCAATATAAAAAGGCTTGACTTGCAAATATGTTCAGCATTGTTTACAGGAGGGACAGCTTGACTACACTGAGGCCTGGGATCCACAGCCTGACCACATGGGTGCCTCTGCTGCCCTCAAACCCTCCCACACTTCACTTTGTTCTCTACGCTGACAATTTCACCCTTTTCCTTCCGTCTCAGAACTTCCACATGTTTTCCCTGCTTCCCTCTCTCTGCTGGTAACTCTGCAGGAGTCAAATACCAAGTGGATGAAAATTCCCCCGTTGTCTCAGCCTCAAAGCAACCAGACAACCCACTCTGTGCCTAAACTCTTTGCCTTCCCTCCTATTACAGCAAGGAAAGGGTCCCTGTTGTGTACTGAGTGCCCCATCCCTTGTCTCAGCTATCAAGGACTTTGCAATTATCTCCACTCTCCTAACTCTTTGCTCCCTCCCTTTCTCCTGGATCATTCCCAGGAGGACACAAAAATGTTCTAGCGTCTCCAAACTTTAAAATGTCCTCCCCTGATCTCGTTTCCTCCTCTAGGGAGCACTCCATTTCTTTGCTACTCTTTAGGGCCAAAAATTCTGAATGCTCAACCGAGCTTTCTTTAAGTCTAGATTCACTGTCTATGGTACTTTAATTCAGTACCTCCTCCGACCGCCACCAACTCACTCCAGCCAAGCGTTGCACCCAGCATTTTGCTGAGCTGCAGGTGACCACAGCTGGTTGTTTCCCCCTTCTTGAAGTACCTTCTCCTCTTGGCCCTTCCTACTCCTCTGGCCTCCTCTCCCAGTCTCCTGATGCTGCTCTTCCTCTGCACAGCCTCTGCATGGCATCTCGGTCCCAGGATTCTCCTTGATCTTCATGCCTGGGCCCTACCTCATCTAACTCCTTCCCTTCTGAGGTGACCCCCACCCAGGCTCATGACCTTAGGCACCATCCCTATGCCAGTGACACCCAGATGGACAGCTCCTCTCAACCCCAGCTCCAGGCTTGGTTATTCCCCCAACTGCCCGGTGTTTCTAGAATGGATGTTGAGCGTCTCAAAGTTCCCATGGCAGAAGGAGCCTTTTTGATTACCATCCTCTCCCTGGATCTAATTGTGTCTGTGACAACGGCAACGTCCACCCGGTTGCTTATGCAAATTACTGTAGATTCCTCTCGCCCTTTTCCCTATTCCCTTATACTCTGTCTTCCCCAACAGGAGGAGCCATGGACCTCCCCTCCAGCATGCAGTGTGTGCCTGGGATGACTGCTGTCCCCTCTCCGCCAGCATCACTCTGGTCCTCATCCTTCGCCTGGACCACGGCCGCAACCTCCCGCCTGGGCCTCCTGCCCTCTACAATCGAATCCTCCTTATATGGTAGCCAGTGTGATCTTTAAACAGTGGAATTCAAATCCAGTAACTCTCTCCAACACCTCCCCAGCACTTGGACCAGAATCCAGACCCCTTGACCAGCACAGGAAGCTCCTATGATGCCCCCCGCCTGACCCTGCAAACTCAGCACACAAACTCTCTCGCTGTTACAGGAACCTGCCAAGTGGGTCCCCACTTTAGGACCTTCACACTGGCCTTTCCCTTGCTCTGGAATGGTCAGACAGCTGCCTCCTTCTGCTCATCACCTCCCAGTTTAACTTTCGCCTCCCCAAGAGGCCTTTCCTGATCTGACCACCCCACTCGAAGTAAACACCAAGTCACTGTTGATGACTTCACCCTATTTTTGTTACTTTTTAATACTTCACAGTACTGAATTTCAGATGTATTCCTCTCTAATATTTTTCTTTATTTTCTTTTATTTTATTTTAGAGACAGGGTCTCAGTCTGTCTCCCAGGCTACAGTGCAGTGGTGCAATTATGGCCACTGTAGCCTCTAGCTCCCAGGCTTAGGTGATCCTCCCACCTCAATCTCCTGAGTAGCTAGAACTAGGGGCATGCACCACTGCGCATTTTTTGTAGAGATGGGGTTTTGCCTTGGTATTGAACTTCTGGGCTCAAGTCAGCTTCCTGTCTTGGCCTCCCAAAGTGCTGGGATTACAGGCATGAGCCACTGCGCTGGGCCTGATATTTTTCTTATTTTTCTCTCTTTCTCTCAATCTCTCCATCATCCACCTACCATTTTAATTTTGAGCATAAACTTTATGAGAGCTTTGTCTGCTTTGTTTGCTGCTGTATACAGAACAATGCGGGCCTGTTCTTTTACGAGTGTCATTTAGTTCCTCTTTTGAAATTATTATTCTACATATATAACGATATATTTACGTATTTTACATATAATGTTTCTATATTATTAACAGCTTAAAAAGGCAATTAAAAGTCAACACTGGAGAAAAATTTCTCTGAGCATACGTTTTCTTTCCAGGATAATATCTGACACAAAAGTAGACCAAATTAAATCCAGAGCAACGTCAAATCATGGCCAAGAGCATAAGCCCTATGGTTACAATCAGGTCCCTCTTACTAGCTGTGTGACCTTGGATAAGTTACTTAGCTTCTCTGGGCCTCAGTCTCTTCATCTGTGACTTAAACCAAACAATAGCCCTTGCTTTATAATTTTTTTTTTTTTTTTTTTTTGAGACGGAGTCTCGCTCTGTCGCCCAGGCTGGAGTGCAGTGGTGTGATCTCGGCTCACTGCAAGCTCCGCCTCCTGGGTTCAGGCTATTCTCTTGCCTCAGCCTCCCAAGTAGCTGGGACTACAGGCGCCTGCAACCACGCCCGGTTAATTTTTTGTATTTTTAGTAGAGATGGGGTTTCACTGTGTTAGCCAGGACGGTCTCGATCTCCTGACCTCGTGATCCGCCCACCTCGGCCTCCCAAAGTGCTGGGATTATAGGCGTGAGCCACCGCGCCCAGCCTAGCCCTTGCTTTAAAGGATTGTTCTAATGACTGAAAGACATAATTCAGAACCCCTTTCACACAGTACCCGTCATATAATAGGCTCCATAAATGTTAGCTTTCTCTCTTAATGGTGAATTGAGGTAACTTTTCGAGGCATGTAGATAGTGAGTTGCTTTAACCAGAGCAGTTTTTCAGAAACTAAATCCATAAGTTAGCTTATGTTATAGAAAATATAACAGCTGCACATTATAGAAAATACCTCAAAGAGACTCAGATGAATTGGACATTGATTCATGTCTTCATTCATTCCACAAATCTCTGGCAGGTGCTCAAGGCATGCCAAGCCCTTGATATGACTAAGGGGAGCACAGATCCAGTGCTGCGCTCAGGGAACTTGCAGCCTGGCCTTGGAAGGACAGAGACTCCTGGCTCAAGCCTCTGCCCTCCTGGAGCTCCATCAGCCCTCCCCGCCCCTGCACCTTGGCTCAGGCTGTGCTTGCTACGTTGAAAGCCCCCTGCCCATCTCATGAGAGAAATCCTGTCCCCAAAGCTCAGCTGCTAGAGCTCTTCCCTGGTCCCCATCTCCCTGCCCCACCTCCCCGCTCCACCTCCTGCAGCTGGAACTGCTCTTTGTTTCTTGGGAGTGCTCATTGCCCTGCATCTGCTTCTCTGTCACGGCTGCGCAAACACTGTATTAGAGCTATTTATGTAGGTATCTGAGCTCCCCAGACACTTCTTGAGGCTGGGAATCCGCCTCATTCATGTCTATTGCCTCAACACTGCAGCACCACAGCTGGTGAAAACTTTGCACATAGTAGGTGCTCAACAAATATTAGAATTAGCTGTGGGGAGCAGAGAGGACACAGATCTGCCTAGGGGCAGGGGAACATCACCCCATCGAACTGAGGTGAAGAGATGGTGGCTTTGATCACCTGATGAGCTATGCCTGTTCTGCCCATAATTCCAACTCTGTTACAGAGCATCATTTGTATACCAGCCCCTGTGCTAGGCACTTTATATACATCGTTTTGTTTTATCTCCCAACACCTGGCAAGTATTCTTTTTTTCATTTTATGGTGAGGAAACTGATATGGTTTTGTTGTGTCCCCACCCAAATCTCATCTTGGATTTAGCTCCCATAATCCCCACAGGTCATGGGAGGGACTCAGTGGGAGGTAATTGAATTATGGGGGAAGGTCTTTCCCATGCTATTCTCATGATAGTTAATAAGTCTCATGAGATTTGATGGTTTTATAAAGGGGAGTTCCCCTACACAAGTTCTCTTGCCTGCCGCCATATAAGATGTGACTTTGCTCCTCATTTGCCTTTTGCCATGATTGTGAGGCCTCCCCAGCCATATGGAACTGTGAGTCAATTAAACCTCTTTCCTTTATAAATTACCCAGTCTCGGGTATGTCTTTATTAGCAGCATGAGAACACTCTAATACAGAAACTATGGCTCTGACCAGTAGAATAACTTGTCCCAAGTCACCAGTGAGTAACTGGAAGAACCAGGACCTGAAATCAACTGTCTTACTCCATCATGTCAGGCACTGTGTGTGCAAATGACTTTTTGTTTTTAATGAGGTGCAATTCACACAACATAACATTAACCATTTTAAAGTAACAATTTGGTGATATTTAATATATTTACAATGTGTGTAACCACCACCTCTATCTAGTTCCAAAATATTTTCATTACTCCAGAATAAAACCTTGTATGCATGCTCTCCTAGCCCCAGCTGTTAGTAACCCAGATTGCTTTCTACCTTTATGAATTTACCTATTCTGGACATTTCATATAAATGGAATCATACAATAATGACATTTTATGTGTGGACTCCTTCAGTTCACTTTCTAGTTTCACACACATTGTAGCATGTATGAGCACTTCATTCCTTTTTATGGGTGACTAATATGCCCTTGTGTGGCTACATCACATATTGTTTATCCATGAATCTGTCAATGAATACTCGTGTTGCTTCCACCTTCTGGCTACTATGAATAAGGCTGCTATGAATGTGTGCATCCTTGTATTTGTGTAAGCCTCTATTTTCAATTGTTTTGTGCATACACCTAAGAATTGAATTGCTGGGTCATGTGGAATTCTGTAATATGATTAACTTTTTGAGGAACCTACACCATTTCACATTCCCACCAGCAATGCACCAGGGTTTCAATTTCTCCACATCCTCACAAACTTGTCAAATGATGTTTCATTATTATTTTTTATAAAAAATTTTAAATATTTATGACCAGGCGTGGTGGCTTATACCTGTAATCCCAGCACTTTGAGGGGCCGAGGTGGGCGGATCATGAGGTCAGGAGTTTGAGACCAGCCTGGCCAACGTGTTGAAACCCCGTCTCTACTAAAAATACAAAAATTAGCCGGGCTTGGTGGCGGGTGCCTGTAATCTCAGTTACTCAGGAGGCTGAGGCAGGAGAGTCGCTTGAACCTGGGAGGCAGAGGTTGCAGTGAGCCAAGATCGCACCACTGCACTCCAGACTGGGCGATAGAGCAAAACTCCATCTCAAAAAAAATTTTTTAAAAATATTTATTAGATAGTGTTTTGCCGTGTTGCCCAGGCTGGTCTTGAGCTCAGGCAATCTGTCCTCCTAAGATTCCCAAAGTGTTGGGATTATAGGCACGAGCCACCACGCCTGGCCCACATGAAGTTTTATTCATGATCTCATTTAGTCTCTCAACAACCAGGTGCAGTGGATGTCATTAACCCACCTTACAGAGCAAGAGAAGTGAACTTGGAAAAGGGAGGGACTTGCCCCAGGTCACACAGCTGAGAAAGGGCAGATTCCAACCCAGACCCTCCAGGATCCCAGAGCTCTCTCGCACTACCCCCAGCCCATCTCTCGAGAAAGCCCTGTTGGAAAGCCAGCTCTGTCCTAGTGTGGTCAGACTCCCACCATTTGGGATGTCAAGTGCACCCACATAGCCCTTGCCTTTCACCATCAATGTTCCTGGCGGGGCTGAGCTGCTGGGGCTGGGGCAGTAGACAGGGGGAGATCAGCACGCAGGCTTAGGCCAGGGTGATCCATCCTCCGCCCCAGGGGCTTCTGTGGGGTGGTTTGGGAAGGAAACCCATTAAGGTGGAGGGGCAGTGACATCCACGCAGAGCAGGCAAGGCTCTCGGGTGGGCTTTGAACTGGTGGTGAACTGTCCCACTCAGGTTGGGAGACCTCTTTATGCACAGCAGGCCACTGGGATACTTGTCTCCTGGAGGGAGGGAGCCTCGCAGGTCTGGGGTTTTTAAGAGCCTGGGGCCTGGGGAACCTTAATAAGAGTAACTGTGTAGGGAGCACCCACTGTGCTGGGCATACCCACCGTGCTCAGGACCCTGGCACTGTGCTGGATGCTTCCTGCCCATTGTCTGATTCCATCCCCCAGAGAATGAACGAGGTGAGATCGTGCTCCCCATCTCCCATGTGGGAAAATGGGCTCAGGGAGGGGGTAGGTTTCTCAGGGTCCCACAGTAAGTGCCATGATGGAGATTTGAACCCACACAGGTTTCCGACCTCCCCTGGACAGCACCGCTTCCCCCGGACCCGGCTCCCTCATCACCTCCCCTTGTTGCTGCAGCTCTGAGTTTTCCTCAGAACCCTGAGCTGTGTGCCCAGGAAGCCAGCAGCCACAGGCACGCCCTGAAGGCAGGGGGCCCTCAGTCTCCAGCCCTGGCCCACAGTTCCATGGCTCTCTTCCTGCCTTCCTCGCTCCCAGAAAGGCCTCTGCTCTCCATGGCCGCCCCAGCCCAGGGACCCTCCCTGCTGGGACACAACGACTGCTCTGAGGAGCTGCCATCTGGCCTAAACCTTGCGCCCTGACTTTTCTTTGAGGGGTCTGCCTCCAGGGAGATGTGGGGGCAGTAGCGACCCCAGGGACCGTCTCCCTCCTGGCTGTGAAGGGCTGTGACCCCACAGCTCGGGGTGTGGGTGGTTAAGGGGTCCTCAGGCTTTGGGGCTGAGCTGACGCTGCTCCCAGGGAGCCCCAGCAGGGGAGAGGGAGCTGGGGCTTGGCCTCAGACCTGCATGGATTCCAATCCAGCCTCTGCCACGTGCCAGCCGGGTGATCGCAGGGCACGTGCTTTTGCCACGTTTGTCGTCTCACGGGGCTGCTGGGAGGATGAAGTGGGGGTGACGCCGGCCCCTCTGTGCTCCCACTTCCATCTGCTTGTCAGGCCCTTCTGCCACCCCGCGGGGGTCAGGGCTAATTACTCAGTCTTGCTGGTGGGGAAACTGAGGCGTGGAGAGGAGATGGAACCCGCCCGCGGTCTGGGAGACGCAACCTGCTGCTGGACTCCATGGCTGGCTTCTTGACCCGCTGCCCTGGTACACAGCAGGTGCTCAGAAGGGGGTGGGGTGGGGGGCGGAAAGGAGCCTCCAGGGTGTCCACCCCAGCGGACTGCGCCTCCCAACCAGGCTAGGTGCCTGCAGAGGCGCCCGGACGCTTGGAGGCGGTGGGCAGCACAGGGACCACTCCTCCAGGCTCCGCTGTTCGCCACCTGCAGGCTGCTGCTGCAATACCCTGTGGAGCCAGGCAGCTCCTGACTCAGCTGGCGCCGCCCGGGCTGCGTGGGAACTCCCCAGGGGGCCTCCCGACCCCAGGAGGGGGGCGCCCGCGGGGGGCGAGGATGTCACGCAGCCGCTCCCGGGGGGGTGGTGGAATGGGGACGTGGGTGAGGCCTCTTCCTGGGAGCCCGCAGTGCTGCCATCACGTAGGGGCGAGGGCGCTTGCAGCGTCAGATGGGGGGTGCACCCTCTGGAGTCTGAAAAGCAGTTCTTCTAGCTTCACAGACAGGAACCAACTGATCCTCTGGTCATCTTCAGGGAGCAGTTTCTATTGCGTCTTGCATACCTCCTAGAACAGGAGTATCACCACCTGTTCTGCTTGGGGCCAGCCCTGGAATTTAGAAGTTCTTTCTTGGATAAAGTCAGAGACTTCCTCTCTATGACTTCTCTCTCTCAGGTTTACTTCTGCCCTTGGGAGACACTGGCCTTTTATTTTATTTATTATTATTATTATTTCACTGTAGGAAGGTGGAGTTCTACTATGGAGACAGACCTGCCTTCAAATTCTGGCTTTCTTCCTTAACAGCACTCTGATGGACCCCATCCATGGGGTCTCATGTCTCTCAGCCTCCACCTTGTCACTTATAAAATGGGGATGAGAAGGACTCCTCCTTGTGCTGGTCATAAGGAGTGAGTGAGAAGACGAAAAACCCCTAGTGCAGAGTTTGGCACATAGTAGGTGCTCAAGAAATAGTGACTATTGTTCACATTGATTCTAATTTCTTTCCCACATAACAATCCCTTAAAGTATTTACAGTTCTCCAGTGCCCCCTAAATCTACTCCCCAGGTTAGATGCATTTCCCTCAACATGCTTGGTTTCTGGAACTTCCATTTTCCTGTTTTTCTCCTCTGGAAAGACTCATTTTGTTCATGTCATTCATTCATTCATTCATTTGTCCCACAAACATACGTGAATACCTGACATGCCTAGTGCCACCAAGAAGAAAATGACACCGAGCCAGGCACTGTGGAGCGTGCCTGTAATCCCAGCTACTCTGGAGGCTGAGTGGGGTGGGGAATCACTTGAGCCCAAGAGTTTGAGACCAGCCTGGGCAATAGAGCAAGACCTCATCCTCTGCATCCCCCAAAAAGAAGAAAATGACACAGACCCTGCTCACTGTCTAGAAAGGAAAATTGACATCAAAAATTGAAAGACAATATCTAAAGTATAAAACAACAGAGTCCAGAAGCATAGCTAGAAGCGGGATGATGGATCTAGAGAAACATGGCCAGGTGCTTGATCTCAAGGCGCCTATAAGGAAGTGACCTGGTCTGCAATGTTCCCCACGGTGACCACAGAGCAGGGGCTCAAAATGTGGCATGAATGTCTAATGGAGCACTGACCAGGCAGCAATAAAGAAAAGATCTAGACCGGGCACGGTGGCTCATGCCTGTAATCCCAGCACTTTGAGAAGCTGAGGCGGACGGATCATGAGGTCAGGAGATCGAGACCATCCTGGCTAACACGGTGAAACCCCGTCTCTATTAAAAATACAAAAAAATTTGCCGGGCGTGGTGGTGGGCGCCTGTAGTCCCAGCTACTTGGGAGGCTGAGGCAGGAGAATGGCATGAACCCAGGAGGTGGAGCTTGCAGTGAGCCAAGATCGCGCCACCGCACTCCAGCCTGGGCTACAGAACGAGACTCTGTCTCAAAAGAAAAAAAAAAGAAAGAAAAGAAAAGATCTAGAGAACTTAAAGAAAAAGGTGTTAATTTCTGAGATGTCTACAGCCCTGAAATGGATGTGGTTCTGTGTATAACCTGGAGCTACACACAGAATCCATCAATTTGTTCTGCAGCTTTCCAGTGTGAACCCAGGAGGTCACATTGCAAGACTCCTCAGCCATCTCAGCCCCAGCTTGCTTAGGAAACAGAGGCCAAGTTGGGGCCAGGCACTGAAGCTCACTTAAGTCAGCTGAAGTAAGAAGGGGCCAGTCACTCTGAGGACACAATGCTGTCTCACGGCACCACGACAGCTTGACAACATGATGGATGGATAGGAGATCGAAGAGGGCAGAGTCAGGGCAACCACACTTGACTGGGGAAGAGGTGGGGACTCCACACTCTTTGGAAGTGTGGAGAAAAAAAATGACATAAAACCAGGTGCTGTAGCACATGCCTGTAATCCCAGGTACTTAGGAGGCTGAGGCAGGCAGACCAGTTGAGCCCAAGAGTTTGAGACTAGGAACTGAAGTCCTTTATCTGCATGTCCCTTGAAGACCAGCTTATTAGGCTCCATATACATGGTGGGAAGCTGGCAGCCACAGCACCATGCTCACGTTTCACGGGGCTAGCCACCAACGCGAGGCAAAATAACTCCTTTTCAGTATCAACTACAAATTCCTAAGGAAGAAGCTGATTGGCTCAGCTTCATTCAAGTGCCCCCCCCCAGGCCCAGTCAACCATGGCCAGAGGCAATAAGTTACTTGGAATGAAAATATAATTTTAGCAGATACATTCATCATCAAGCTCTTACTATGTGCTAGACACAGGCATTTTGTCAGTTGCATCCTCCAACAAGCAGGTAAAATTCTCCTCCCCATTTTACAGATGAGGAAACTGAGGCTTGGGCAGGTTAAGTTACTAATCCAGAGATGTAAAGCTAGAATTTGAGGCTGAGCAGCCTGACTTCAGAGCTCACACTCTTAGCTGTCAATGTAGACTGCCTCCATGGCTGCAGTCCATTGCAACCACACAGAAGGGAGCAAGGAGGAAGTTTCCAGAAAAAAAGGGGGCCAGGAAGACAGGTGCATTAGTCGGGGTTCTCTAGATGGACAGAACTAATAGGATAGAGAGATATATATATAAAGGGGAGTTTATTAAGCATTAACTCACATGATTGCAAGGTCCCACAATAGGCCGTCTGCAAGCTGAGGAGCAAGGAGAGCCAGTCTGAGTCCCAAAACTGAAGGACTTGGAGTCCGATGTTCGAGGGCAGGAAGCATCCAGCATGGGAGAAAGATGTAGCCTGGGAGGCTAGGCCAGTCTAATCTTTTCACGTTTTTCTGCCTGCTTTATATTCTAGCCGAGCTGGCAGCTGATTAGATTGTGCCCACCCAGACTAAGGGTGGGTCTGCCTTTCCCAGCCCACTGACTCAAATGTTAATCTCCTTTGGCAACACCCTCACAGACACACCCAGGATCAATGCTTTGCATCCTTCAATCCAATCAAGTTGACACTCAGTATTAACCATCACAACAGGCCCGTAGTTAACCACTAACGCCACTCAGGGGATTAATTACGTTATTTTAATTTACACTCATATGGCACTCGATGTGGCCATGCACTGGTCTAACAACCCAAAAGATAAGTGCTATTACCATCCTGTTTTATAGATGAGGAAACTGAGGCATGGAGATATTAGGCCACTCAATGCAGCCGGGGCAGAGCTGGAATGAGATTCCAGGTCTCTTGAACTGAGCACTGGAATCCCTTTCCCTGCCACCAGGTTGTCTGTTAGGAGTGTGTGTGTGTGTGTGTGTGTGTGTGTGTGTGCGCGTGCATGTGCATCATATGTGTGCATATGTGTAAGCATCACAGTCACAACTATGGTGCTCAGCCCCACGTGAGTTTTCTTGGCAATTCCCTGCCCACTCGCCTGAGCCTACCCCTCTTACTCCTTCTGAGTTTGTTTTACTTTGTCATTAGCATGGCCTTGGGCTTTGAAAGCAAATTTCATTACAAAAATGACAGCTGGCAGCCCTCACAAATTCCTTTTCGCTTTGAAATGGATGATCCAGGGCTGTGACTAAGAAGGACCCTGTTTGCCTTGGTGTATGCACATGAGCAAGGCAGGTCCTGGTTCAGAGGGCATCCACACCCCCATCCCTAGCTTGGGTGCTGAAACCTCTGGCTAGGGCTCAGTTCTAAGTCTTGACATTGCTCCTAACTTCTGGGCCAACACTGAGTTGTGTTCACTCCGGAGCTAAACTGGAAGGTGCCATTTTGGATTTTATTATATCCTGATTCTGAGTCACAGCCCCAAAAGGCCTGATCAAGGAGTTGATCAGTCAGGAACTGTGATTTGCCCTCCTGCTGACAGTTGCAAACTTTATCACTTTGGTCAAGTCAGCTCACCTTCCTGAACCGCTGTTTGCTGATCTGGGAAAAGGGAAGAAGAAGAATAACTCCTTCTGGGGATCCTCAAAGGGCTCAAAGGAGAAAAGGCTGTGAAGGCGTGTGCTGCTGCAAAGAATAGCCGGCTATTAACATTACTGCCACCTCAGTCAAGTTTTCCAGGGGGACGGGGGTCATCAGCAGGGATAGTCCATGTGGCAGGCAGGTCAGGGTTGAGCCTGTACCAATGCCTCCCACAGGGAAGATTTGTCATGCCAGTACCTGAGCCTTGTCGTTCCTGTGTGCAGCTTTGGGAGTGAGGGACACTGCCTTCATTGTCAGTGCAGTAATCAGTAATAACAGAAAGGTTCCTGGTGGTCCCACAGCCCCGCCCAGCAGGTGGGTTTATTCCCCACCAATGTCCCCTTGAATTTCTCCCCTTGGCCTGTCAGTGGGCTTCCCTGGCCACAGTCTTTTGTTGGTCATTTAACAAAGATGGATTTCAGGGACCACGAAATATTGATTAAGTCACATCTCTAAATTACTCTGCTGTCTTCTACAAAACACTGGTGATGGTTTTTACGGGCAAGCTCCTGCAAACAGAGCTTTCCACTTCAGAGAACGGGCTTCATTCCCCTTCTAAACTCAGGGGTCAGCCTCTCATGTTGCTCAACAAATGTTGGATGCATGACGGATGGATGATGAAGGATGATGGATGGATGGATGGATGGATAGATGGATGGATGGATGGATAGATGGATGGATGGTGGATGGATGGATAGATGGATGGATGGATGAATGGATGGATGGATGGATGGTGGATGGATGGATAGATGGATGGATGGATGGATGGATGGATGGAAAGAAGGAGGTGTGGAGTGAGGGAGGAAAGGAGGGACAAAAGGAAGGAGAGAAAGATGATGGATGGATAGATGGAGGAAGGGAGGGATAAAAGGATGGATAGATGGAGATTCAATTCATGAAAGAGTACAGGTTCTGTTTTTCTTTGTTCTGGTCTTCAGGAAGAAACGTCACTTTTTTAAGTGTGCAGATATTAACTTAACAGATGTTTGTTGAGCATCTGCTATATGCTGGGTAAATGGGAGCATAGCAATAAATGAGACACCATTCCTGCCTTCGAGGAGCTTACTACAATCTTGTGGAAAAGAGGTTCAAGAGACAGAGAATTACAGTACAGTCTACCAAATTTAATTATAGAGGAGGACACATGATACATGGTCCCAGGGTTGCTCACTGGAGACACTGATCCAGCTGGAGGGGCATCAGAGAAATCTTCCTGGGGGAAGGGGAATCTACTGAAATTCATGAAGGGGTTTACAGATTGAAGCTTCACAAATTGTCTTGACTCAGCACTTAACATCTATATCCATTCTTGACTATACAGTTTTAAATCATGTTCTTGCTCTTTATTGTTTGTTTCTCTGTGTTTTATGAAGATGTTGATTCCCTTGGGACTTCTGTAGCGAATAAACTTGACCATTTTCTTTAACTACAATATTCCCCACCCCCCTGCATGCTGGCCTGAGAGTTGAGAAACCTGCTTTAAGTTCCAACTCTGCCATTGACCTGCTGTGTGGCCTTGGGCAAGGGGCTCTGCCTGCATGGGCTGGAGTTTCCTCATCTGTAAAATGACTCAGTGAGCCCTAAAGTCATTTCCACTTGCAGTCAAGCCTTACAGTGTGAAGCTGGTTAGTAAATGCAAGATCTGCCCCAGGGTTGCCAGTCAGTCTCACTCTGACTGGCAAAACAGCCTTTTTCCAAGTCACACTGGGCCTTTCTAATCCTGTAATCAACACAATACTTTATACGGCCTCAGGCTTGTGGCTCAACAGGGATGAACCAGGCCAGGGTGACAGGGACCCTTTCTTCCAATTGCTTTCAGGCAGCATTGAGATGTAAAAATCCTGTAGTGTAGAGTAGGGACAAGTCCATATGCACAGGTTCCACTGCTAATTTTGCTTTGACCCTGCAGAAACTCCTATACATTCCTTACACACGTCCCAGACATCACCTCCACTGGGAAGCCTTCCAGGATCACCTCTTGTCCACCCATGTAGCCACCCCCAGCATCACTCCCTTCTCTGCCTCCACCCATTGCAGGCTGACCTCCAGTCTGGCACTGTCACCCTCATCCACTCTCAGCCCCGTGGGTGCCAGGGCTGTTTCTTCTTCAACTCTATGTGCCCAGAGTCTGGCACGAGCACCAGGGTCTAACAGGGGCTTAGTAAAGTGGTGGAATGGTTGAAAGAACAAATGACCAAATGACCGAATGAATTAAATGATGACCCCTTTGCCCTCTAACTGGAAATCTATGCCGGACGCCCCTCTCTGAGCCTCACTTTCTTTGTGTGTATAGGATTTGACTGAATGGTCCAAGATCTTCTTTAGTTTTAATATTCTGTAGTTTTGGCCAGGCACGGTGGATCACACCTATAATCCCAGGACTTTGAGAGGCTAAGGTGGACGGATCACCTGAGGTCAGGAGTTCAAGACCATCCTGGCCAGCATGGTGAAACCCCGTCTCTACTAAAAATACAAAAATTAGCCAGGCATGGTGGCATGTGCCTGTGATCCCAGCTACTCGGGAGGCTGACGCAGGAGAATCACTTGAACCTGGGAGGCAGAGGTTGCAGTGAGCCGAGATTGCGCCACTGCACTCCAGCCTGGTTGACAGAGTGACACTCCATCTCAAAAAAAAAAAAAAAAAATCTACAGTTTGATTTAAATTTGTCAGGCTGGGATATCCCTAACCCCTGGCTATGCCCATCACCCCTCCTGTCACCCCCGCCATCCCCTCGCACAGACACCAGCTGCCCGGTATTTGGTGTCCCTGGCCTCTTGGGTTTAGTGAGGTAATTGTCACCGTGACTGTATTCCTTATTTCCCAGATGTCAGAGTGTGTATCTGTGTGTGTTTGAAGGGTGGGCAGGTTCCTGGAGAAGCCATCAGCTCTTCATGGGGAGGGACTTCCTTTTCCTTGTGTCTTCCTTGGCTCTGTGCCCTGCTCCAGATGGCCCTCACACCCTAGGCCTTGGGTTGGGCTCTGGAACAAGTGAAGACTGATAGGGGTTGGGAAGGGGAGTAGTTCCAAATGGCTCCAAGAAAACCAGGAGAGGCTTCCTGGAGGAGGCAGCATTTGAGATTGATCTTGAGGGAGGGAGGGAGGCCTGGAATGCACGGGTGGGGAGTATGCAGGTACTTCTTTAGGTACTGGGGAGCCACAGCAGACTTTTTGAACTGAGAAATGACTTGACCACAGCTGCAGTTTGGAAAGACCCATCTGGCATCAAGGTGAGGGTGGGCAGGAGCCAGCCTGGAAGAGGAGGAAACAGCAGCTGGGGAGCTGTTGCAGGGGGGTTAAGTGAAAAGCCTCAAGTGATAAGTTCGATTTTTTTCTCATTGTTTTTTTTAAGCAAATCTTGCCTGGCTGCCACAGGACCTGCTGGCTTAATAACTCCTGAGTTGAGGTTTGACAGGTGGATGCTAGGCTCATACACCTTCCTTGTTCTGCCAAGACCCAGCCTATTTCAGCAGAAAGGGAGTCAGTGCCAGGAGCTCTGGGGATATTGGACACCCGCCAAGGCCAGGAACTGCCAGGCTGCAGCGTGTGCCTTGTGGATCTGGATTTCATTTTGACACAAACCCCAGATCGTGCTGCTAAGGCTTGGACCCCACACCCATCTCTCTGTTTGTTGTCTCTGAGGAAACAGGAAGACTTTATGGTTCTGATGACATGTTGGCCTTGAGGAGGGGGGCATCTTCAGGAATCCCATGCCCAGATGGGATCTGTAATTGGACAGCTCTTGCCCAGGGAACATCCAAACCAACCACCAGTTCATCCTCAGCTGAAAGAAGAAGCCCTCCTCCACTCTCTTTCAGCCAACAGCTCCCTTGGAACTTTGGGGGAACTTAGGAAAGGACAGGAGAAGAATCCTGGGGCAAAGAATAATATAATGTCTTGCCCACGGTCAGTAACTTTCAGGAGACATCACTCCCAGAAAGCTCCTCAAAGCCTGCTGAGGACATCCCTATCCAGCAGCCTGAATTTCCAGGCCTTGCCAGCCCCTTCTTCCTTCTTTCAAAATAACTTATCCCACCAGGTTGCCCATGGCTCTGTTTTAACCCAGATGCAGACTTGCTTGCTTCTGCTGCCATGGGGGCCTGTGCAGGGCCCACCCGGTGTTGCCACATTGGGTCTTCTCACAGCTATCTCAGGAAGCAGACAAGGAGGTTGAGGCTCGAAGCAGTGCAGTGACTCTCCTGGGGCTTCTGGTGCCCTTAGAGAGGAGAGCTGGGGCTTGTGACTCAGGGGCGGGGTTCTTCCAGTCCTGTCCCTGCTATTTCCCTCCTTTCTGCTCCAGGAACTAGCGTGGAACTGCTGATCCCTTTTTGTGGAGGAATTGAAATGCCAATTGTGTAACAAAGCTAAGGAATTATTTCCAGGGATCACTGTTCTGCCCCGGAGGCTGCCATAATTCCCCATTGTGCTGGTGATTGTGAAGTCCTCAGCCTTGTCTTTTGGAGCTTTCAGGTAAGGTGTCCCATTCCCACACACATGCCTGGCTTCCTGTCCCACCAGCCATGCCCTGTCTGTCTGTCACAGGCCTGTACAAATGCCACTTCCTCCGGGACACTTTCAGAACCATTCCTGACAAAGCGATTTCCTTCTTGAATACCATTCCTATGCCACTGAGGTGAAGAACGCACTAAGCACACGCCACAGCCTTCTGCACGTTCCCTACAAGGCAGACGGGATGCGGATAAGAGAGGGGGCGCAGAGAGTGAAAATGGTGAGCCAGAGTAGAGCCATCTTTGTCCCAAACATCTCAGCACTCTGTGCCATGCAGCCAGCCCCCTGCCCTGCCTGGACTTCTGTTTCTTATCCTACCCCTCTGGCTTTAGGCTTATGACCTGAGTCTCCCACCTGGCCTCTTCCTTACCTGGGTGCCTTGTAATATACACCAGCTACTATGCTTTCCTCATACGATGCCATTTCATCTTCACAATAACCATAGGGTGGTAGATATCCCTAGTCCCATTTAACAGATGGGGAAACTGAGGCTCTGACAGGCCATTTGACTTGTCTATGGTGACTTGCCCAAAATCGCATAGCTAGAAGGACAGAACAAGAATTCATTCATTCATTCATATTTACTGAGTGCCTGATATGTGTTGAACAAAACACATTTGGTCCCTGCTGTCCTGAAACTGATCCAGAGCCTGGACTTGGACCCCGCAAGGGAGCGCAGGCTTCCAACCTGAGGCTGGGAGACAAAAGGACCACGTGCCTCCTTGAGCGTGACTCTGGCTTCTTCCAGTGAAATATGGAGATTCATGTTTCCTTTCTGTGTCGTGGACACCCAATCTGTCTTGTTTTCTGGCATTCAGGGCCACCAGTGGCTCGGGCTGCAATCCGTTGGAGTCATCCTTCCTTCTGTTTAATCTTTAAAATGAGAGCCGAAGCGCTGTTGATCACTTTCATGAGCTGCAGGAGATGATGGCAGCCTGATGGGGCTGTAATTTCCCAAGCTCCTCTCTTCTCTCCACTCCTGCAAATTGATGGGACAGGGCTATTTGCCTTCAGGGTCTGTAGGCTGTCATCCCGGTCATGCAGCCCCAGTCGGCTCCCGGTTGATTTCCTCTCAACCTCTCCAGTCAGAGCCTGCAGGGGCAGGAGCAGGTCCATAGAGGAAGCCAGTCTGGTGCCAGCCATGCCAAAAACCTCTGTGTGTGCCGGCATTACTGTGGCCCGGGGTGGGGGATCCCAGAGGAACACACTGGGCTCTCTGAGGGCTAATGCCTGGAGGAGGGGGAGACAGTGTTGGGAAGACTTGGGAGGGGATGTCACTGTGGTCCAGAAACTACTCTGCAGCTTTGCTGGAGGTGGGGAGAGAAATGAAGGATCACATCAGCAGTGAGTTTATGATGAGTCACACACTGTGCTAGCCCTTTCCAGGTGGCATCTCATTTCACCTCCATAACGACTGTATGAAGAAGACATTCCTGACTTCGTTTTACAGACAAGGAAACTGAGACAGAGGTCAAGCACCTTGCCCAACATCACATAGTCATTAAGCAGCAGGGCTGAGATTTAGACCCTGAGCTGAGATTCAGCCCATGATCCTTCCACTGTACTGGTAAGGTGGTCCAGAAGCTTGGGGCTAATTCACACATATCAAAGTCCCAAGAGACTGATGTACAAACCGGAAAGTGGGGTTATTGGTTTATGGAACTGATCTACTTTCTCCAGGACCTAGAATATTCCTGGCCATCATGTTTAAGTCATCCATTGGTTTTCACTAGGCACAAAAACAGAGGGAGCAAAGTTACTCATTCTTGGGAATTATTTCACTGAGGCTGCAAAAAAGCCTGGTGAATTCTCCCAATCCCCATGCATGAGGTTGTGTGCCTGAGGGCCCTGTAGTGGGTGGGTGGGTGGCTTTTGCCAGCTGCTGGAGGAACACTGATAAATCTCACTACCTTGGTTTCCTTTTTTTCTTCTTCTGTAGATTCCTTCTAGAACTCCATTCTGGTTATCAGTTGCTATATAGCAAAATAACCCAAAACTTAGTGACGCAAAATACCCATCATTGTTGCATGCACAAATTCTGTGGATCAGGAATTAGGGCACAGAGGAGATGGTTTGTCTCCATGATGTCTGGGGCCTCATGTAGGAAGACCCAAAGGGTGGGGCTGACTCAAATGGCTGTGATCTAGAATCATCTGGAAGCTTCTTCACTCATGCATCTTGTGCCTGGGCTGGGACACCTATTGGGATCTCTCTCTCTTTCTACAGGTCTCAGGGCCTCCATGTGGTATCACCACATGGCCTCACCAGCACTGTGACTTCGGGCTTCAGGGTATTTTGGCAAATAATGATGGCTCAGGGGTCCCAGAGCAAACAGTGAAAGATGCATGGCCTTCTCTGAGCCAGCCTCCAAAATTACATGATGTCACTTCTGCCCTACTGGATGGGATTAAAGCCATGGCAAGTCCACCCAGATTCCAGGTGAGAGAACATGCACCCTGTATTAGTCTGTTCTCATGCTGCTATGAAGAAATACCTGAGACTGGGTAATTTATAAAGAAAAGAGGTTTAATTGACTCACAGTCCTGCATGGCAGGGGAGGCTTCAGGGAACTTACAATCGTGGCAGAAGGGGAAGCAATCATGTCCTTCTTCACATGGTGGCAGGAGAGAGAAGTGCAGAGTGAAAGAGTGAAGCAGGGAAAAGTCCCTTATAAAACCATCAGATCTCCTAAGAGCTCACTCACTATCATTAGAACAGCATGGGGGAACTGCCCCCATGATCTAATCACCTCACATAAGGTCCCCCCCACAACATGTGGGGATTACAATTTGGATTACAATTCAAGATGAGATTTTGGGTGCAGACACAGCCAAACCATATCAGGCCCATCTCTTGAAGGGAAGAATGTCAAGGAATTTGCAGCCATGTTTCAAAACCTCTGCAATTACCTGCATCATTTGCACACTTTCTTCAGAAGAAACACAGCTGGACTTGTTCCTATGTGAATTTCCTTTTCAAGACCCAGCCTACCTTTCAAGATGATAGTTAATAAAAAAAAAAGTATCAATTATCAGACAGTTACTTTGGCCTAGTGACTGCACTAACTACTTCACGTGAGGAATGTGCTATGTCTTAGTCCATTCAAGCTCCTATAAGAAAATAACTTAAACTGGGTGGCTTGTAAACAACAAAAGTTTGTTTCTCACAGGCTGAAGGCTGAAGAAGTCCAAGATCAATGTGCCAGTAGATTTGATGTCGGGTGAGGGTCCCACTTTTGGGTTCGTAGACAGTGCCTTCTTACGGTGTCCTCACATGGCAGCAGGAGCAAGGCAGTTCTCCAGGGTCCCTTTCATAAGGGCACAAATATCATTCACAGGGGCTCCACCTCTATGACTTAATCACCTGCCAAAGGTCCCACCTCCTAATACCGTCACCTTATGGGGTGAAGATTTACATAGGAATGTCTAGGGGACACAAACATTCAGGCCATTGCATGCGCTCCTGTTCCCCATTTTACAGGTGAGAAGCCAAGGCTTCCAGCAGGTCAATAGGTTGCCCCAATCACTCAGCAAGGAAATGTCAGAGGGAAGAGCAATACCCAGAGCTCCTCATCTCCAGAGCCTACACCCTTAATGCCCTGTGCCCTGGCCCACCACGCTGCCTGTGAGTCTGCTGTGTCTGGTTTTATTGGCAGGACCTGGCTGTTTCCCGCAAGTCCTCCAACATCACTCAAGCTCCTGAATCTGTTAGAAGTTGTTTCCTCTCATTCTTACTCCCAGAAGGAAATCTTATCTCCATATTCTAGGGATACTCTCCTCTAGTGATGGCTACAACTGGTATACATTTGGCAGCTTACTAGATGGTTTCACTATAAAAAATGTATTATGGGGCTGGGCGCAGTGGCTCATGCCTGTAATCCCAGCACCTTGGGAGACCAAGGCGGGTGGATCACTTGAGGTCAGGAGTTCAATACCAGCCTGGCCAACATGAAGAAACCCTGTCTCTATGAAAAATATAAAAATTAGCCGAGCATGGTGGCGTGTGCTTATAATCCCAGCTACGTGGGAGACAGAGGCAGGAGAATCGCTTGAACCTGGGAGACAGAGGTTGGAGTGGGCCAAGATCGCACTGCTGTACTCCAGCCTGGGTGACAGAGTGAGATTCGGTCTCAAAAATTAAAAAAAAAAGCATTATGAAGCTGCAATAATTAAAATTGAGAGCAACTCAAATTTATTTTCATCTGAGAACTGAATAAACAAACTGTGATAGAGTCATATAATGAAATATTACTCAATGATGAAAAAGTATGAAATAGTGGTACTCACAACAGCGTGGGTGAACCTCAGATGCATTATGCCGAGAAAAACAAGCCTGACTCAAAAGCCTATATACCATAAACATACTGTAGGATTTCATTTATATAACATTCTGGAAGGTAAAACTATAGAGACAGAAAAAACTTCAGGACCTAGGGGTAGGAGTCAGCTATCAAAGAACTTGATAGACACAGTGGAATATTATTCAGCTGTAAAAGGAAGGGAATTCTGTCACATGTGACAACATGCGTGAGCCTCGAGGACATTATGCTAAGGGAAATTAGTCACAAAAGATAAATCTCATTTACATGAGGTATCTAAAGTAGTCAAATTCATAGAAACAGAAAGTAAAATGATAGTTTCCAGGGAGCTGGGGTGAGGGGGAAAAAGGGAGTGGTTTAATGACATAGAGTTTCAGGTCTGCAAGATAGAAGGTTCTGGAGATCTGTTGCACAACACTGTGAATATTCTCAACACTACGGAACTGTATGTTTGAAAATCAAAAAGGTGGCATATTTAATGGTGTGTGTTTTTTAAAAATCACAGTTTAAAATAAAAAAAATTAATTGAAAACAAAGACATGACAGAGTGTTTTTGTGGTGACAGAACTATTCTATATCTTGGTTATGGTGGTTTTCCAACTGTATGTGTTTGTCAAATTCGACCTGGCCACTAAGGCAGGAGAGTTTTGCTGTGTGTAAATTATACCTTGATAAAAGTGAATTTTAAAAAAGCAAAACCAGAAATGATCTGGTACAGGAATAGTCCACTCAAGCAATAATGTGTATTTCTCGAGTACTTGCTATGTGCCGGACACCATTCTAGGCACTAGTAGAACCAAGGCAACTTTCATGGAGTTTACATTTTTGTGAGAATGTAATAAAATGCAATGATCATACAGACTAATGGAATAAAAGAGATACTGGAGAAATAGACACACACACACATATATCCATATCTATCTATCTATCTATCTATCTATCTATCTATCTATCTATGCATCTATCTATCCATATCAGTTTAATAGAGGATAGAGGTGGCATCACAAATTATAGATGAAAGCAGGGCATGGTAGCTCACGCCTGTAATCTCAGCACTTTGGGAGGCCGAGGCAGGTGGATCACCTGAGGTCAGGGGTTCGAAACCAGCCTGGCCAACATGGCAAAACCCCATCTCTACTAAAATATGAAATTAGCTGGGCATGGTGGTGCATGCCTATAATCCCAGCTACTTGGGAAGCTGAGACAGGGGAATCGCTTGAACCTGGAAGGTGGAGGTTGCAGTGAGCCGAGAATGTGCCATTGCACTCTGGCCAGGTCAACAGGAGCGAAACTCTGTCTCAATAAATAAATAAATAAACACAAATTATAGATGAAAAATGGATTATTCCATTATTTCTAACTTTATGCTATATACCCAAACAAATTCCACATAAAGATTACGATGTAAAAAAAAACCTTTGTGTTGAAAATGTAAAAAACATAAAGAATAAAGAACATATAAATATTTACGTAATCTTGGCCTGGGGAAGAGCTTTCTAAGTATAAAATCAAAGGCAAATGCATAGAAGAAAAGAGTAATCGATTTGACCACATATAAATTGAGCCACCTGACATCAGAAACACTGTAAATAAAACTAAATGTCAAACCACTATGAGAAAATATTATTTGCAGCATGTATTGTAGAACAAGGATTAATATCCTTCATGCATAGTGTTATGAATTGAGAAGAAAAAGGCAAATAGTGTAATAAAAATGGTCAAAGGACATACAATCTGACACTTTAATTATTTTAGTTTTGTATTTCAACAATTTACAAAACAAGTAATAAATATAGTGGCCAAAAACATAGGAAACGTATCCAACATCACTAAAAATCAAAGAAATGCAAAGCAAATCAAAGTATAATTTTTTCCTGTCAAACTGAAAACAAAATTTAAAATCATAACCTTCAGTGTTATTGAGATTTAGGAACTGGCATTTCCATGGCCTGCTGGTGTCAGTGTAAGTTGATCGAGCCTTTCTGGAAGACAATGGAAGAATGCATATCAAAAGCCTTCAGGACAGTTGTTTATTTGTTGCCTCTCATCTTCATACCTCCTGCCCACACCATTTCTGTTCGGTAATGCAGGGGCTAGAAGTCTGCAAACTTCATTTTCCAGATACCTTGCTGGCTTCCAGTTTGCTAATGGGAGGCAATGGTGGAGATTGAATGGTGAGAGGAGGGGAGAAGGGACTCTGTTTTGATTTCTGACTGAGGTCTGCATCCCTCCAGCAGCAGCCATGCCACCTGCACCCCAAGCACCAGGCATGTGGTGCTGCCTCAGAGGTCAGTGCCCTCCTCTCAGATGTCTGAGCGTGGCCGCAGGCGCCCCCTGAGAGTTCCAAGCACAGATCTTGCAGTGTCCTGCCCTGAAGGTCTGAGCATGAGCCTTAGGGAGCCTCCTCCTTCACATGCCTAAGTTCTGGACGCTCCATGTCTTTTTTTCTTTTTTCCCCCAAACCTGGGAATGGCAGCTCCTTCTTGCAATTATTAATCTCTGGGTTACCTCTTCATCTTTTGCTTTCTATCTTGTCTCTTCTCTCTCTCTGTCTCTCACCCAGGCTGGAGTGTAGTGATGTGATCTTGGCTCACTGCAGCCTCGGCTTCCCAGGCTCAGGTGATCCTCTCGCCTCCTGAGTAGCTGGGACTACAGGCAAGCGCCACCACACCTGACTAATTTTGTTTTAAATTATTATTATTTTTAGTAGAGACTGGGTTTCACTATGTTGCCCAGGCTGGTCTCAAACTCCTGTACTCAAGCAATTCGCCTGCTTTGGCCTCCCAGAGTTCTGGGATTACAGGTGTGAGCCACGACACCCAGCCTACTTTGCATCTTCTCAACACCTGCACAGTCAATTCCGTATATTAAATCCTCTCTCTTTGAAAAGACCTCTGATTTTCCTTTTCCTGGCCAAATTCTGGCTGATGATACAGTCTGTATCTAGAAATTCTACTTCTAGGAACTTATTTTAAGAAAACAATCATGGATGTGTTAAAAAAAAATGTGACCTAATTTATTAATAGCAAAAATGTCAACCAAAATACCCTAAAAGCCTGACAATGTGAGTAAGTTTTGGGTTTGTGTCCCCCAAATGGATATGTTGAAGTTCTAACCTCTAAAGCTTCAGAATGTGAACTTATTTGGAATTAGAGTCACTGCAGACATAATTACTTAAGATGAGGTTGTACTAGAGTAGCATAGAACCTTAATCCAATATGACTAGTGTCCTTATAAGAATTGAAGAAGGCCAGGCACAGTGGCTCATGTCTGAAATCCCAGCACTTTGGGAGGCCAAGGCAGGAGGATTGCTTGAGACCAGGAGCTTCAGACCAGCGTGGGCAACATAGCAAAACCCCATCTCGACAAAAATACAAAAATTAGCCAGGCATCGTGGCGTGTGCCTGTAATCCCAGCTACTCAGGAGGCTGAGATGGGAGGATCACCTGAGGCTACAGTGAGCCATGATGGCGCCACTGCACTCCAGCCTGAGTGACAGAGTAAGACCCTGTCTCCCCTCCCTCTCACCCCCCCCCAAAAAAAAAAATTGGAGAAAGAAACACAGAGACACACAGAGAAGACAGTCACGAGATGATAGAGGCAGAGACTGAAATTATGCCGCCATGAGCCAAGGATGGCTGGCAACCCCAGAAGCTAGGGGAGTGACATGCTTGGAACAGATTCTCCTTTTGAGCCCCCAGAAGGAACCAATCCTTGATTTTGAACTGCTGGCCTCCAGAACTGCAAGAAAACGCATTTTTTTCTTTTGTAAGCCACCCAGTTTGCAGTGCTTTGTTATGGTAGCCCTAGAAAACTGATACAATGAGATGGGTTAAATAAATTATCCTATAGTCACATGATGGAAAACATAGCAATGATGAAAATACGAAACAATATTGTGGAAAAATGTATGATAATATCAAACGACGTTCATGACGTGTTATGGTAAAAAATAAGACTACACAATTTGAGCCCATTTTTGTAAATCAAAAAAAAAAACAAAACAAAACCACCTATATGGTGAACAACAACAACAACAAACTTGAAAGTTTACACCTCAAATCACAACAATAGTTACATGGGCAGGCGGGAAGTATTGTGCATGATTTCTATTTTCTTTCTTTTGATTATCTTTGTTTCTAAATTTTGTACACCGAGCACAGTTCATTTTTGAACATGGTTTTTTAAAAAGTGCTTTTAGTCTTAGCATTTTCTCTGATTCTTGCAAGGACCTTATGAGGGACTCAGCAGTTCTTGTTACACTTAATGTCCTATGGAGAAACTGAACCCCGCAGAGAGGGGTCAGGGAAAGGTACTTCCTTCCCATGCCATGATCAGAAGTTGAAAGAGAACTTGTTCAAATAAGAGTGGCAGCATTCCTTTCTCTCCTTGAGACCAAGCTCCATCCAGGACGTCTGGAGAGCAAACTGAGTAGATGTGAGTATCCATGATAAATTACCAAAGATGTCATGGGAGAAACCATATAAATCTCTTGGTTATTTTTAGCACCCTCTGTTTCCACTGACTAACTCCACAGGACCTTAGGCAGCTTCCCAGGGACACTATTTTGTTACTTATTTATAATTTATTTTACATTTATGTTGTATTTTTATAAGATTTTCAAACATACAAAAGTAGAGAGAAGAGTAAGCTGCCCTGAGCCCAGCACCCAGCTTCAACAACCATCAAAATTTTGCCATGCCAGCTTTATCCCTACCTTACCCTCAGTTTCCCCTAGAGTATTTCAAAGCAAATTGCAAACTTGATGTCATTGCACTCATAAATACTTCCATGTGCGTCTCAAAAAAGAGGGGAGTGTGTGGATATTTTCTTATTTAACCTCCATGTTATTATCACATCTAACAAAATTAATTATAATTCCCTAATATGGCCTGGTACTGAGTCCATAGTCAAATTTCTACTGGGGCCTTATTTGGGCTCACCTCATTGTCATAAACATCCAGCATTAAACCACGAAGGGGGTGGCGCTTCCCAAATCTCTGAGAGGTTTGTCTTGCTGACATTGCTCTTTCCTGGGGCATGGGGTTGAGTGATGGGTCTGTGATTGGAGAAAGGGCAGGTAGAAGATAGATGCTGCACAATTTGTAGAAAGAGAACTTCAAGAGAATGCTCTGACTCTGCTGTGTGACTTGAGCATGCTACTTATACTCTCTGTGCTGCTATTTCTGCTTCTATGAAGTGTGGAAAATAACCAAAGCCAGTGATTTACCTGTTTATCCACAGGCCCTTTTCCTGCCTTTCCCCATCATGTCTAGAGGGCAGCTTGAGGACCAGAGCTGTGCCCTGAGGACAGCCCTGGGAAGGGATGTGGAAGATCGGGGTTCTCGCTGATGTTGTTGGTCCGCTGAGCTTACCGACCCTGGGACCACCTGCCTTGGACTTCCTGTTTTGAGGTGCAAATGTGTTCTCCAATGGAAAAGAGTCAAAATCTGTAAAATGTTAGGTTTATTCTGAGCCAAATATGAGTGCCTGGGGCCCAAGACACAGAGTTAAGAGGTCCTGACAACATTTGCCCAAGGTTATTGGGTTACAGCTTGATTTTATACATTTTAGGGGGACAGAAATTACAGGCAGACATCAATCAATGCATGTAAGGTGTACATTGGTTCAGTTCAGAAAAGCAGGACAACTTGAAGCAGGGTGGGCAAGACGGTGGGCTTCCAGGCAGATTCCAGGTGGATTCAAAGGTTTCCCGATTGGCAGCTGGTTGAAGAAGTTGTTATTTAAAGACCTGGAATAAATAGAAAGGAGTGTCTGGGTTGATATAAGGGGTTGTGGAGAAAAGGTTTTAATTATGTAGATGAAGCCTCCAGGTAGCAGGCTTCAGAGAGAAATAGATGGTAAATGTCTCTTATCAGACTTTAAAATGTGTCAAACTCTTAGTTAAATCTCTCCCAGATCAGGAAAAGACCTGGAAAGGGAAGGAGATTCTCTAAAGAATGTAGATTTTCTGCTAAGAGACAGCTTTGTAAAGCTATTTTAAAATGCGTCAAATAAATGCTTTTTGGGGTAAAATACTTTGATTTTTTTCAGGGGCTGCTATTTGTCATGTGATGCTATACTAGAGCCAGGTTGGAATTTAGTATCTTTTTGGTACAAGGAGTCTGTTTTGTCAACCTTAAGATCTGTTAATGTTAATGCTGATCAGTTGTGCCTGAATTCCAAAAGGAGGAGGGTATAATGAGGTATGTCTGACTCCCACTTTCCATCATGGCCTAAACTAGTTTTTCAGGCTTATTTTGGAATGCCCTTGTCCAAGAGGAGGGATTCATTCAGTCATTTGGTGGGCTTAGAATTTTATTTTGGTTGGCAGTTCGCAGTTTAGCTAATCCAATGGAGGGCTTGGGTTATTACTTGCAGCCAAATGCGTTTGATGCATTCATTGAGGTAAGAGACTTTCAATCTCTATTAAGGTGGCCTCAAGCGGCTTAACCAGTAAGAGGGTCTCCCCTTCTCCCTTTCCCTAGACTTCATATTCATGTTTATATCAGCAGTCTGTGTGAGACTGAAGAAAGGGTGCTTTTGCTTACAAACAGAGCAGCAATGCAGCTTGAGAGCCGTTGACAGGAGACAAGCAGATGCCACCCCTAGGAGTGAAGAGCACCCAGGGCAGTGTGGGTAGGCAGAAAAGTGACTTCTCACACAGGTGTGGCCAGACTGTCACTCAAAGAATCTCTGGCACTTTGGGAGGCCGAGGCGGGCAGATCACTTGAGGTCAGGAGTTCAAGACAAGCCTTACCAAAATGGTGAAACCCTGTCTCTACTAAAAATTAACTGGGTGTGGTGGCGGGTGCCTGTAATCTCAGCTACTCTGGAGGCTGAGGCAGGAGAATTGCTTGAACCTGGGAGGCGAAGGCTGCAGTAAGCTGCGATTGTGCCACTGCACTCCAGCCTGGGCAAAAAACCGAGACTTTGTCTCAAAAACAAAACAAAACAAAACAAAACAAAACAAAACAAAACAAAACAAAACAAAAAAACCTCTGACATCTCCTCTTGTGAAGCCTGGGGTTGACACAGGGCCTATGATGGTTAATTTTATGTGTCAACTTGGCTGGGCCATGGTGCCCAGATAGTTGGCCAAACATTATTCTGGATAATTCTGGGAGGGTGTTTTTGGGTGAGATTTACATTTAAATGGGTGGACTTTGAATAAAGCAGACTGCCCTCCCTAATGTGCATGCTTTGGGGAGTGTGGAGGGGCATTCAATCAGCTGAAGGCCTGAGTAGCACAAAAGACTGATGTCCCCTAAGCAAGAGGGAATCCAGTAGCTGACAGCCTTTGGACTTGAACTACAGACTTGGCTTTTCTTGGATCTCTAGCCTGCCAGCCCACCCTGCAGATTTTGGACTAGACAGCCTCTGTAATCACATGAGCTAATTCCTTAAAATAGACCAATTTATACACACATCCTATCAATTCTCTTTTCCTTCTTCTTCTTTTTGAGACAGGGTCTTGCGCTGTTGTCCAAGCTGGAATGCAGTGGTGTGATAATGGCTCACAGCAGCCTCAAACTCCCGGGCTCAAGCAATTCTCCTGCCTAAGCCTTCTAAGTAGCTGGGACCACAGATGTGTGCCACCATGCCCAACTAATTTTTAAGGATTTTTTGTAGAGACAAAAGTCTGGCCATGTTGCCCAGGCTGGTCTCGAACTCCTGGCCCCAAGCTATTCTCCTGCCTCGGCTTCCCGAAGTGTTAGGATTATAGGCGTAAGCCACCATGCCTGGCCTGCTTCTGTTTTTCTGAAGAACCCTGACTAATACAGTGCCTATACTTGTAAAATTAAGTTGTTGTGATTCCATGGGTAAATCAAGGCAAAGACAGGCCCTGGCCCCTGAAATTATCAGAGTCAACTATGTTACAAACCTAACTTGGGTCCACCTTCCCGGTACAGCAAACCCAAATACTGACATGTGGATTCACAGAGAGAGAAAGTGAGGCACTGCAGGATGCCAAGCAAGGAGAATCGGGCAGCTAAATCTCGGGACCTGAACTCTCCTATGGCTTACCTGGAGGGGGTTTTAAAGGTGGGGAAGCAGCAGCTACCTGCAGTCATAAATCAGTACCGGGAGGCCATATATTGGTTTCACCTGAAAAGGTGGGACATCCTAAAGCAGGGACCCACAGGTCATAGGTGGACTCAAAGATTTTCTGATTTGCGATTGGTTCAGGGGGAGAAATTTTGTCTAAAAACTTGGGGTCAGCATAAAGAAATGTTGAGCCCTGGCCTGTGGATGTGACTTCCTCCAGCTCCCTAAGGAAGAAATTTAGAACAAAGAACAGCAGTCAGGGTTCATTCAGTCTTCAGCTCCCCCTTATCTGAGGTCTATGTGCCATCAGACAGCGGTTTCCATTTGATGGGGGTCTGGGTTTCTGAAAAACAACTCAGGGACATAAGTTAAGATGTTATCTTGGCCGGATGCGGTGGCTCACACCTGTAATCTCAGCACTTTGGGAGGTCATGGCGGGCAGATCACTTGAGCTCAGGAGTTTGAGATCAGCCTGGCAACATGGCAAAACCCCATCTCTTATAAAAATACAAAAATCAACTGGGCATGATGCCGCATGCCTGCAATCCCAGCTACTTGGGGAGCTGAGGTTAGAGAATTGCTTGAACCTGGGAGGCGGAGGTTGCAGTGAGCTGAGATCACACCACTGCACTCCAGCCTGGGTGACAGAGAGAGACTCTGTCTCAAAAAAGAAAAAAGAAAAGAAAAAAAAAGTTATCTTTAGTTTCCATAAGAAACTCTATTTGGTTTCCATAGGAAACCACCAAATATTTTGTGGGTCTAACTTTCTTGGCAATTATTTTAAACTATTATTACCTTTTTGCTTATCAGGCTGCTCATTCACTTCTCAAAGCTAGTGAGGTGCCTGGAATTTTCCTTGACGGAACTCAAGATTTTCCTTTATTTCAATGCTTAGGGTGGGGCAGGACTCTCGGGGGGGTCCCTGCTCTGTTTCAGCCAGGAGAGTACTTGGGGCTTGTCCTGGCTCTTCCCACTGGGCCACCTTGGTGTTTCCCAGAAGAAGGTGCTGGACAGCCAGCAGCCATCACCCAGGCATTGTGGGTATCTGGGGCCCGCAGGAGCCATGTGCCTGAGGATTCTCCTTGCCCAGGAACAGGGGACATGCAGGGTGAGGCTCCTCACCAAACCCCGACCAACTCTACTTTATGACTTGCTCCAACAGTGTTCTCTGACCATTTTACAGAAGGAAAGACTGAGGCTCAGAGAGCTTCTGCGTTATTCAAGGACACACAGCTGCTACGTGGCAGAGCTGGTGCAGAGTCGAGGTGTGCTGGCATCTAAAGATGATGTTTCCACTGTAAGTGCTGCCCCTAGGTATCTGGCTTTGTCAGTCTGGAGCAATTGCTTTAATTGGAGAGTTTAAGACAACAACAATAACAACAACAGCAACCTATAATTCATTGAGAAAAACTGAACTGCTGTAAGAATTAAATGTCTCCTTGTTTATACATGCTTTGAGAAAGAGCCCCCTTGTGTGTGAATATGATGTAGCAAATTACAAAGTCATAACTGATGCAAAGTAATAACTAAAGTATGATTCTGTGGCTCACCATGAATTTCTTAACCAGAGTTCATTAGCATATTTATTTATACATTCATTCCATGAGTATTTACGGAGTACCAACTGTATACTAGACACCATGCTAGACGCTGGGATTACAAAGATCAAAGCACAATTCTTGCTTTCAAATAGGCCTTATGGTGGGAAGACAGATCTGTGAGCAGATAATCCTAGCAGGGTCTGATATACATGAAGAGTAGTGTGGTCCTATAGGACAGCCTCATTTTATGGCTGTTGTGGAGTTTATCATTAATAGCAATATTTTTTTCCTCTCAAAAGTGTCCTCGTTTGGTTGTTAATTATATGGTCACTTTAACAATGAAAGAAGCATGCACCAAGTCCAGTGGCAAAAAAAAGGCAACGATTCTTTTCATGTCCTCCTGTGAGCTTTCACACAACACTGGGCTGGGCTGCCCTGTGCAAATGCCAGAGAAGCCACCGTCTGACAAATGAGACTTCATCATTGCATTTTTTTTGTTTCTTCTTTCTTTCTTGGTTTTTCTTTTTCTTTTTTCTTTGTGAGACAGAGTCTCACTCTTGTCACCCAGGCTGGAGTGCAGTGGCATGATCTCAGCTCACTGCAACCTCCGCCTCCCAGGTTCAAGCGATTCTCCTGCCTCAACCTCCTTAGTAGCTGGGATTACAGGCATGTGCCACCATGCCTGGCTAATTTTTGTATTTTTAGTAGGGACAGGGTTTTGTCCTGTTGGCCAGGCTGGTCTCGAACTCCTGACCTCAGGTGATCTGTCCTCCTCAACCTCCCAAAGTGCTGAGATTACAGGCCACCACGCCCAGCCAGTTTTTATTTTTCTAACTAAAATTTAGGCATTGCCCATAGTTCATAGAGTCGAATGCTACATTTCATTGAAACTAAGATGATATTGATTGTAAGATGCATTATTATTTTATATACAAGCAGGAAAGAAAAAAATGCTGCCAGTTGTAAGTTGCCACTGATGGTTAAAAAAATTAGTTTCCAAGATGCTAACATGTGAAAAATAGGTGTCTTAGAACCTATTGTGAAGTGAAGTGGTTCTATTGCGAAGTGAAGAATAGGTCTTAGAACCTATTGTGAAGTGAAGCTTGTTATGGAAATGGCAGTCCCCGACACCTCTCATCACCACTTCCAGGTCCCCAGAGAAAAGCACTTTGAACTATTCTGGCTGATTTTCCATCCATTGGTTGGTATCTGTTGTCCATATCATTAATTTCATGTGTATGTTGCTAATTCTTGATTTTTCCATTTCAGATGTTATCTGTTGACTTCTCCACGAGGAACATGAGGCTCTCTCTCTCTCTCTCTCATGCCTGTTCTCAGGTACATCTGCCACCCCACCCGACCTCGGCATGCTTCTCGTTCTTCTCAGTCTCTCAACAGAATTCCGTGATTATTGTGGTTATATCGTCATTCAGGCTCTACATTATTATGACTATGTTTGGCTATTTACAGCTGAATATAGAATAGTGTAGAAATAAATAGACTATAGAATAAAATAGAATGCTATAACTGTTTTCTTTTACTGCATAACACATTATTTTCCCTAAAATTAATAGCTCTTGATTTTGTTTTAATTTCAGAGTGCTTCTCTGTACTTAATCGGTAATGTGTCCCTAAGCTTCTTTTAATATGTTTGAATACATCGGATATTACATCAGTTTAACCTTCCTCTTGAAGCTTCTGGAGCCTTCTGTGTTGCTCCAGCCTGCACCAGTTGCTGTCCAGGTCTACTGGGCAGCCATTTTCCTGGGTCTCCTTTCACCAGCATCGCGGGCAGCTCCTTCACCCCCTCTGCTGTGTTGGGATGCTGGCTCCCTGGATCTCACCTCTTCCTCTTTCTTGCTTACTCTGTTGCTTTAGTGGAGCATAGTTTCCTGAGAAGGGATGCATAGGCGGTATGATAGTTATATACTACCGCCTGACAAATTACCCCGAAAGGTAGTGGCTTAAAACTACAAATCTGTGTAATCTCAGAAAGTTTCTGCACTTTAGGTTGTGGATCAGAGTCTCTCATGCGGTTGCAGTAAAGCTGCCAGCCAGAGCTGCAGTCAGCAGAAGGCTTGACATGGGGCTGAGGATATGTTTCCAAGATGGTCACTCATATGGCTGTTGACGGGAGATCTTCATTATTTGCTGGCTGTTGGTAGAAATTCTCTCAGTTTCTCATCACAGCAACCTTTCCTCGAGGCTGCTTGAGTGGTCTCACAACATGGCAGCTGGCTTCTCCCAGAGTTAGTTTTTGCTGCATCACAAGCTGAATTCGTTTCCTAGGCCCGCCATAACAGAGTACGACAAACTGGGTGGCTTAAAACAACAAGAATTAATTTTCTCACAGTTCTTGAGGCCAGAAGTCCAAAATCAAGGTGTCAGCAGGGTTGGTTCCTCCTGGAGCCTTTGAGGAAGAATCTGTTCCATGCCTCTGTCCTAGCTTGTGGCAGCTACTGGCAATCCCTGGCACTCCTTTGTTTGGAGAGGCACCACTCCTCCATCTTCACAAGGAGCTCTTCACTATGTTTCTTCTGTATCTATGTTTAAATTTCTCTTCTTATATGGACACCAATTGTTGAATTAGGCCCTACTCTAGTCCAGTATGATCTTAACCTGATTACCGCTGCAGAGACCCTGCTTCTAAATAAGGTCACATGCAAAGGTACCAGGTATTAGGGCTTGAATATATCTTTTGGGGAACACAATTCTGGCCAGTACATCTACCACAAGGGGTTTTTGTAAAAATTAAATTAAATACTATATGTTGGCAATTATTATTACTATCATCTTCTTACCACTGTGAGAATATTAATTTTTGTTTTTGTTTTTGTTTCTTTGTATAGTCGTTCTTCTATATAGTTCTTGTATAGTCTTTCACCCTCCCTGTATAGTCCTTGTTTTCTCCCACTTACTTTATCTGTTTGTTTTGGCCTCTGTTAAATGTCTGGTGACCACTGTCTGGCCACTCACACCTAAGAGTGGGGACTGACAAGCTGGTTGGTGCTTAGTGTTCAGGAATAGATCTTGTCCAAGGCAGGCTTTGCTTTGATTGGCCAAGTATTTCATCCAGGAACCCTGATATCTGTACCTACAGATATTTTCTTTCCAGCTTCTCAGATTCCCTATCCCTTACCTGGAAAAGGTTAATGCTAGTGGCCAGGATGCTCGGAGCCAGGCAGGCATAAAATCCAGGGATCTCTACCTTCACTATGCAAATTTTACCGAATTTGTCCTCGTGTTCTCCCTGGTGTCCCCAGTCCTACAACCTTCTATTTCATCCTCTTTGGAGAATAAACCTCCAGCCTTCTGTAAAGGTGGGGAAGATGGATCCCTCCTCCTCTTTTATAAATGCTGTCTTTATCCCACTTTCTAAAGTATCTGTGGTTGCCAGTGTTTCAGTCTTTGGGAAGGTCATTAGAATAAATTGGGTTGTTTCTTGGCTTTCTCTACTGCTGACGAAGGATTCCACTTTCTCGGATCTGCTAAATCAGTTAGCCCTCCTCCATCAACTTTTCAGATTCCAAACATTTGCTGCTTGTGCTTCCTTCTACGTTCTCTTTGTTTTTTGGGGGGTACAGCCTGGACAAAGGCTTAGAGGTTGAATGGCATAAAAACAGTGGCTTGTAATATGTGCTTAACATTGTTTAAGTACATCACATCTGTTTGCTCACTGAATCCCTACTCACTCCTATGGGAAAATGGGGACACAAAAGAACAAAAGAGGCAAACTAACTTGCATCAAGTGGCACAGTTAGGAAGAGGTCGCACCAGGATTGGAAGCCAGACAGCTTGGCTTGAAAGTCCACATTCTTAGCACCCTACCCCACTGCCACATGAAGTGTAGTCTACACAGGGGAGGAAGTCACTTCCTGGGGCCAAAATGTCTTCAAGAATGGACACTGTTTTAACGTGTAGAATATCCTTGTAGATAATATTTTCAAGACAAACATAAGTACAGGGAACATCCTCATGAACTTTCAGGTTACTCTTAGGAGTCTCACGAACAAAAGAACTCTTGTGTCCTGTGTGTCCCTCCAGGCTGAGATGTCAGTTCCTCGCATGAATGCTTTGGACTCAGCTGTGGGTGGGGACAGCCCTGCCCACCACTTCTCTGCAAGATGTGCAAGATTTACTCTTGGAGGCAAAGTGCCATCTTACCCACATGGCTCTCTTGGTTCCTTAGTGGTGGGGACTGTTTCCTCTATCTCCCTAGCCCCTAGCACAGTGCTTGACACACAGTAGGTGCTCCACAGATATTTGTTGAATGCATAGATTAATGGCGCTCCCTCCCCATCTCTTCTCTCCACTGGTGATCCCATAACCAGGCTGACTGCCCCCACTACAAGACCTCTTCTCATATGGTTTAGATTTGTGAACCTGCCCAAATCTCACGTTGAATGGTCATCCCGAGTGTTGGAGGAGGTGCCTGGTGGGAAGTGATTGGATCATGGGGACATTTTCTAACGGCTTAGCACCATCTCCCTAGTGCTGTGTTGTGATAGAGTTATCCTGAGATCTGCTTGTCTAAAAGTGTGTAGCACCTACCTCTGCGCCCCTTTTCCTTCTTCTCCGGCCATGTGAAGATATGTCTGCTTCCCCTTTCCCTTCCACCATGATTGTAAGTTTCCTGAGGCCTCCCCAGAAGCAGAAGTCTATACAGCCTGCAGCACCATGAGCCAATTAAGCCTCTCTTCTTTATAAATTATCCAGCTTCAGGTATTTCTTTTTAATAGTGTGAGAATGGACTAGTACACCACCTGATGCACACACATACTCAGCTGTTACCCAGGACAGCCAAGCCAAGTTGACTGGATCCTTAACCCGTTCCTTGGCTTCCAACCCTCTTGGCCTGGCCCCATTTCTGGCCCCCAGCTTGCTTCTTGGACATGAGGATGAAATGCAGCTTCTGCCTCTGAACGGCAGGCTCAGGTTTTAGCTCTCCCTGAGGCTAGTGGGGGATAGACTAGGTCTCATATTAAGGTACAGGCTGAGCCACTGTAACAAAGGGTCCCCAGATACAGTGGCTTATGTAAGATGAAGGTTTCTTCCTTTCTCATATAAGTCTGTAAATGCAGGCAGGCCTGGCAAACTATTGGTTTATCTTGAATGACTTGCTATAGTCAATGGCATGTGAGTGGAAGTGACAATGTTCCAGGAAAACCAGGCTGAAAGAGGCCTTGCAGGTTGCTGTTGCCCCTCCTGTTCTCCTGCTCTGCATCATAAGAAGCATCATCCCCAGTCAGCCTGCTGGTTCAAGGAAGGTGAGAGAAGTGGAGCAGACACAGACCAGAGCTGTAGCTCCAGCCACCCAGCTGAGCCCAGCCAGAACAGCAGACTCCCAGCCAGCCTGCAGACACAGTGGAATGAATGCTTCCTGTTTTCTGCCATGGAGATTTTGTTGTTATGACAGTGACAATCCAGGATGGGCAGGTGGTTCTGCTCCATGAAGTTGTCCATGGACCCAGGTTAGCATCCACCCCACCAGCCTAACACATAGCTCCCATCTGTCTAAGGCAGTGGTTCCAGCCACTGGGAAGGGAAAAACCAAACAAGTATGGAGCATGTGGACTGACTTAAGGAAATTGACAACACTTCTGCACATATCTCATAGGACTGAAGTTCATTACACAGCCACACCTAGCTGCAAGGAAGGTTGGGAAATACAGGCTTGTTCTGGGCTGAATTATGTCCCCCTCCAGATTCATATGTTGAAGTCCTGACCCCCAGCACCTCAGAATGTATTTGGAGACAGGATCCTTAAAGAGGTGATAAAGGTAAAATGAGACCATTAGGTTGGGCCCTAATCCAATGACTGCTGTCCTTATAAGAAGAGGAGATTAAGACACAGACATGCACAGAGGGAAGACCGTATGAAGACACAGGGAGAAGGCGGCCACCCGCAAGCCAAGGAGAGAGGCCTCAGAAGAAACCAGCCCTGCCAACACCTTGATCTTGGACTTCCAGCCTCCAGAACTGTGATAAAATAAATCTTTGTTGTTTAAACCACCCAGTCTGGGGTACTTTGTTATGGCAGCATGAGCAAACTAATATAGCCTATCCCTTGGCAGCCACGTTCCCAACTAAAACTAAAGAAAGAGAAGGGAAGAAGGGATAATGGGGGTGGCATCTGTCTCCCACAGATTCTCACTCGTGAACCTGAACTAGCACATCGCTTCCACCTTCCCAGTCTGGTAGGTCCCCAGCCCTTGTGATGTGGGAGCTCCAACGTGTACCTATTGGCTGCTTACCTAAATCAGAATTGTAATTCTCTACTTTTCATTGTATATATTTACAAACCTTCTAAGAGGTCCATAGGCTTCTCCAGGTTATGGTCAGGAATCTGTGGTGTGTTGTATCCTTCCTGGGCCATTGGCAGGCCAAGTGCTTCAGCATTGCTCACACTATCTTTAATTCAGTGCCAGAACTCCACTTACAGACGCCTTCATAATTCCACCTCCATTGTCTTGCAGCAGGATTGGGCAGAAAGCGAAGTTGAACTCTGATGCAGCTGCCACAGAGAGCCCAGCTGATCCCACTAGGGCTCTGGAGCTGGGATTGCCAGATGGGCGCTCCACATTGAGGCAGGGGCTTGGACCTTTGGCCCTCCACAGTGACAGGCCATAGAGGCGGATGTAGCATAAGTCAGTTTCCTTCCACTGAGGGCAGCTCCTGGGGAGGGGCCCCTTGGTGACCTGCTAGCAGTCAAAAGTCCCGGCAGCTGCAAGAATGAGTTCCTGTGCCCTGTGGTGGACTCCAGACACCATCGTAGCCACGCCAATTCCAGGTCTGACCGCCCTAGCTGACCTGTAATTTTCTTTGTGTTCTTCTCTGCACGCCTGTGCCGAGCTTTGGCCAATAGCTCCAAGAGACTTGCATGTAGATACTTTGGAATTTTGAGGTGAGGTGGGGTGGGCTAGGATGAGTCTCTCTTTTGAAAAGCAGATCCCTCTAAGTTTCTTCCGAAAGGATTCCTGCTGTTTGGAGCAGGGTGTGGATGCTGATGAGGGAGTGTAACATCTCCGAGAAGATTGGCCGTGCTCGGGGGTGCTGAGTGATGAGTACAAACCTCATTCCATGCTCCCCCTCAGGGAGACTGGACATCTATGCACTGGGCTCAGGGAAGGAATGGGGCAACAGGCTGTCTGCCAGCCAGAGCAGTCTAGGCAGAGGCTTTTGCTCTCTTCTTGGGCATCCCAGACACTCTGGGCTCTGCCATTTACTTCCACTTGAAGGCATTCTTAACCATCGCTGTGCCATGGGCCCCTGAACATTATGCGCTAAAGCCTATGGATCCCTTCTCAGAGTAATAAGTGCATAAAATAAAATACAGAACTGGCCGGGTGTGGTGGCTCATCCCTATAATCCCAGCACTTTGGGAGATTGAGGCAGGCGGATCACCCCAGATCAGGAGTTTGAGGCCAGCCTGGCCAACATGGTGAAACCCCATCTCTACTAAGAATACAAAAATTAGCCATGTGGTGGTAGGCACCTGCAGTCCCAGCCACTCAGGAGGCTGAGGCAGGAGAACCGCTGGAACCTGGGAGGCGGAGGTTGCAGTGAGCCGAGATCATGCCATTGCACTCCAGCCTAGGTGACACAGTGAGACTCTGTCTCAAAAAATAAAATAAAATACAGAACTTACAAAAGGTAAGTGCATAAAGTAAAATAAAATACAGAAACTTACAAAAAAACCAATTTTATTGGAATAGGTATGTAAAAGTGTTGTATTTAAACATATTTATAATATAGAAACACATGTGCTTCTTTTTCAGGTCAACAAGATAAGGCAGCAGGAATCCATATCTAACAGTAGCTAATATGATTGTAATATCAAAGTAGGGATGAACATAAATGGTATTCTGTGATATCTGTGACAATTATAAGGGGATCTAAAAATATTTATGATGTTTCTTGGGTTCAGAGTACTACTGATACTACTGTGCTTTGTTGCCTATGAGATAGCTTTCCCTATCCAAGTTCATAGACACCTCTGAATTCTATCTGCAGACCCCTTAGGGGTCTAGGTTCAGAACCCCTGTTTAGTGAATTCTGAGCCAGAAGAAGCTGAGTCAGCCTTGGAGCCAGGAGCTGGACTTTGCAGCCAGCAGCATCTCCTTGCACCTCTCGGCAGCTGCAGGGCTGGTGACTGGCAGGAGCAGTCACTTGGCATGCCTTACCATACGGCCTGGGATTGATAATTACTTGTGTATCCACCCATCCATCCCTCCATCTGTCCATCCATCCATGCATGCATTCACTCAACAAATGTTTATAGAGCATGACTCTGTGGGTTCCAGGCTGATGGAAGAGAAACACACAGAGAAATTACAGTCGAATATTGTGCTTAGAGAAACATGAACTGAGTGAGGCAGAAGCAAGGGTGGGGCTGGAGGGCACCCCAGGCAGAGGGGACAGAGTGTGCATGACCTGCAGGTGAGAAAGGGCCTGGTATGGCAGAGAAACAGCATGAGAATACAGTGTGGAAGTGGCGATTCTGGGGTAGATCATGAAGGGTGGTGCCAGTTAGGTTCGGGGGCACAGATTTCACCAGCCACTGAGGTTTTTAAACAAGGCAATGACACACTCAGCTTTACAGAGGCAGGGGTACAGATTGGAGAGGGGAAACACTGGAGAGCGGAACACTAGTTAGGAACTTTGGAACGGGCCAGGCAGGAGATGATGAGATCAGAACTTAGGTCTTGGCCAGTGATGGAATTCATGACCTCTAGGTCATGGGGGGAACCAGGGAGACTCCCCAGCTCTCTGAATTGGAAACTGGAGGCTGCTCACATCAGTAATCCAGACTCGGGACATGGGGACAGAGTAGGGAAGGGAAGGAGATAATGCATTTGGCTTTATGCAAACCCCTGTAGTATGCTGTGTGGCCATGTTGGGTTGGGAGCAGCCTCCCTGGGACTGGAGATTCAGGAATCATCCCTGAGTTTGAGTCTCATTTCCCTGAGGAGGGGAAGGAGGGGCAGCAAGTTGCCATGGGCCCCTTCCTTGATGTGCCTCTCAGTCCTGACCAATGTGTGGACAGGGCTGCAGATGGTTATGCCAAGCGTCCGCTGGGTAGGATGCTGAGTGTGAGTGGCTCATGGGGTGACATGCAGAGCAGAGCACAGCTCAGCTGTGAGTTATGGTCAGAGTTGGCCAAGCAGAATGTCATGCCGGTGCCGAAGGAATGTCCCGTGTTTACCGGGAACATGGGAGATAATGGCCTCATGAGTACGTAAGAGAGCACAGACAGCGCAGTGACGAATCCTGCTTAGCTGCGTCCCCAAGGATGACCAGCTGGACCGTGCGGCAGATGGGGGCCATGGAAGGCATTTGAGCAGCGAGAAGGCCAGTCATACTTGTGCTTTGGAAAGATCTCCATGGATAGTTACACATAGAAGGTGAATTGAGCTGGTCTGGTCCCGAGGAGAAGGGAACAGATGTTTGACCACTATGAACCTTATGGTACATCTTGCCTGGAGCCAAAACTGAGACAGGTTGAGCCGCAAGGAACAAAGATACAAATAGATCTGCTGTGGAGGGGACTTGACTGTTTCCCAAGAAGTCCCTTGGGACTGCTCTTTGCTGGAACAGGTGCAAATCCAAGGAATTAAAAGGAGGTGGTGGCTTGTGGGTTGAGTCAGCATTAATGCCAGTGAAATACAGCCTTTGACGTCACTCAGTTGATCTTGCATCTTGAAAGCTCCTATAAAACCAGAAAATTAATGGCAAATCATCTAAAAACAGCTCAGTAGCTCTCAGAGCTTTGTGTCAGCCTTGTCCTCCGGAAGCCAAGCTGTAGCTGTGGTAGTGACCACTGATGCATGGGCTCAGCTTTCCAGAAGCAGGGAGCGGTGCAGGAACATTGCTCCTTCAGTGGCCTCTGCTCCGCTGCGTGGTTGATGTATTTCTCAGGTCTTCCTCATAGGGGCGACTGAATGTGTTTGTGCCGCAGATTAAGTGTCTTCCTCCAGGGAGTTTGTCCTCTGGCACTGGCAGACGCATCGCCTGCTGAGAGAGGAAGTGTGTTTGGGCCAACTTCAGGAGGAGCTTTGGAATCTGCTGGGCTCCTCATTTCATAACAAGCCCGAGCTTCTCTGGGTTTCAGTTGGGGGGGCACTGCCAATAGGGAAAAACAGACAGACAGAGAGAGACCCAAGAAGGAAAGAGACAGAGACACAGAGAAGCAAGGGTGGGGGCTAGAGGGCACCCCAGGCAGAGGGGACAGCTTGTGCATGACCTGAAGGTGAGAAAGGGCCTGGTATGGCAGAGAAACAGTGTGAGAATACAGTGTGGAAGTGATGAGTCTAGGGGGGATCATGAAGGGTGGTGCAAGTCAAGTTCAGGGACACTGATTTCATCAGCCACTGAGGTTTTCAAACAAGGCAATGACTCGCTCAGCTTTACAGAGGCAGGGGTACCTCTCTTTGGGTCTCTGTCTCTAATTTATTATTCCTCTGTCTCTGTAGTTCTATCCCTCTCTGTCTGCGTCTGTCTTTATGCTGGTCTTTACTTTGCCTCTCTCTTCGCACTGAGTTCTCTCTCTCGCTCTCTCTTTTTCTCTCGCTCCCTGTGCATGTGTGTGTGTGTGTGTGTGTTATGTGTATGTCTGTCTGTGTGTGTATGTGTGTGTCTGTGTGCTTCCCTGCTCTTTCTGGGTCTGTCTTTCTATGTCCTTCTGTCTGCCTGCCTCTCTCTTATTTCTAAGCCCTGGTATCTGTTTCCCTCTGAATCTTGCTGTCAGCACATGTCGAAGTGCTGAGTTTTTGCTGCTGCTGGTGGTGGTGGGCACATTAATTGGGAAACCCTAGAGCCCCCTCTTGGAGGTTCACAACACGTACCGTTGCCTGTCAGAAGCACTGAAGCCCTGTGGAAAACAACCTTTTTTGTTCTTGTTTAACTCTGTGCTTTCCATCTTGTTTGGCCACAGAATTATTTTCCCCCCAAACCACCTTACTCGCATCCTGTGGAATCATCCTTAGCAGCATTGGCCGATGGGGATTCTGCCCTGTGTGTGGGCTCTGCTCCCCGTTTCTGTCTGTCTAGCCTTTCTTTTTCTTCCTGCTTCTCTGTATCTCTGTCTCTTTCCTTCTTGGGTCTCTCTGTGTCTCTCTGTTTTTCTTCTCCATCTCTCTTTCTTTCTGTCTCTCTGCGTGGTCTCTCTGATTCTTGCTTCCCTATCCCTCTTTCTCTTTCTCTCTCTCATTTCCCCTGAAGCCAGGGTACTGTAGGGGTTCTCCGGCATTCCAGGGGTCCCGGCGCTGGGAGGCGAGGTGTTGAGCTGTGTGGCTTGGAGCGAGGCGGGAGTGGAGGGAACTTTTCCGTCAGGAGAGTAAGTGAACCAGAGGACGGTGCCGCAGCCACCGAGTGGTCTTCCAAGGCCCGGGTGAGAGGTGCGGCTGGAGGGATGTGGCCAGCCCTGCTGCAGGACGGGAGAAGTGCCTGAACCCCGCTGACCACCACAGCTACCACCAGGGATCAGCCCCCGGGCCACATCAGCTGAGGACTGCTATGAACATAAATTAAAAGGAGAGAGGCGTGAAAAGGGGCTTTGAAAGTACTCTGTCATTTGGTCTTCCTGTCTGTATTTTTCCTTCTTCTCTCTCATTTGTTTGCTCTATCAACTCCTCTCCTTATCTTCTGCCTGAGGCCCTACTTTCCTTCTCTTGATCTTCTGAGCAAGAGGCTAACTTCTGAGTGTGTTTTCACAGTAAGGTCTGGCGTTTGTTCGATGCTTTAGATGGCACACCAATAACCTTTATACACACTGATGTGGCCACACAGTGAGTGAGCAGTCCTGCTCCCATTTCACAGATGAGAAAACGAAGACCCAGAGGGAGGTTAAGGGACTTGTCAATATCGCATAGGAATAACAAAGCCCAGGCCTGCCAATGCCAGTCCTCCTTTGGGCTGCCCCATGGTGCCCGTGAACTCCTCTAGGGCATGGCCTTTATTACTGATGTGCCACTTTACAGTCCTTCCTCCCTGTTCAGGTCAGTGCTGATATGACTTCTGGCCAGGACTCCTCCTCAGCTGACACCAGAGCACCTCGGGTTTCTTGGGCTCACTTGGTTCCGGCTTCCCGAATTCCCATGCTGCATCAGAGCAGCAACTGGCAGAGACAGGGAGCTTGTACCTGGGCCCTGGCAAGTCCTTTGCTGATCTGTCTTCTTTTTCTCCAACCTTCGCTCGGTTATGCCAGGAGGAGCTGGAGTGAAGGAACTGGCCCTGATAAAAATCTTTTTGGATCCTGGAACACTGACCGTCAGCGACTTTGGCGGCAGATGAATTTCCAGTCCTGTCTTACATAAGGAAACGAGAAGTTCATATTTCCCAACATACCAGAAAACCATTCCTCAGCCGTCACCTGCCATCAGTAGGGGCAAAATGAGGACCAGTGGGTGGAGCAGGACAGGACTGGAGGAAGGGCTCACAGTAGGCTGGGCCAGTGGATTCCAACAGTTAATGGCTGTGAGGCTCTGGCAAGAACTGGCGCCGAGCCAGGCACAGGGAACATATGATCTCACTTAATCCTCACAGCTGCCCTGGAAGGGAGGTCTGCTGTTCCCACTCTAGAAGAGGAACCTGAAGTTTGGATCCCATATCCAGAAAGCCCCAAAACCGAGAGTGTCTGACGCCAACCCTTATCACGAAGCAACCCTGCCTTGGGAGGTGATGGCTCTCTGTTACGGGGGCTCAGTGAGCTCTTGCTGGGTGCTGTATGAATGGTAACCGTGACTCTGGTCTCAGGGTCTTGAAGACTCTGACCACTCTCAGACCACCCGCATGGCCAGTGCCCAGGCCCTGCTGTACCATTGGCTGTGGGGAGACAAGAAATAACCTGGCATTTCAGCAAGGGTCAGAAGGTGCCACCCGAGAAAGGAAATTGAATGACTAGGACATAGCATTGAAAGGTTGTTTGTCAGGGAAGATCGAGGAAAGCCTCAATGCCCATCAAGAAATGTCTAGATGAAAAAACAATAGCTCAGCAGCTCAAAACCCTAGGGATCTCTCTGAGACTGACAGGGAGAATAGTCCAAGAAACATCATTTTGTGACAAAAAGCAAGCTGCAGAATAAGATGTGCAATGGGATATCATATATGTGAAGAGATACACACAAAACACAAAGCCTCCTATTTCCACATGTAGTTATACATGCATGGCAATGCATAGCAAGAGGTCTGGAAGGAGACACCCCAGACTGACAAAGCGGTGTCCTCCAGGGGAAGGCCAGGAACAAAATGGGAGCCTTGGCATAGGGTGATGGTGGAGGGTATGGTAAAGGAGTTCCTTTGATTGATTTATACTGTTTGAATTGCTTACAGCAAAAATACATTATGTCCTCCTTAGGTAATTAAAAATAAATACATAAGTAAACGAAAAGAAAGTGCAAATCTGCTTTGTGGATCATAAATACATGGAGTGGTGACTTGATCTGATTAATTGATGAACTCAGCCAATAAATATTACAGAGAGAATGTCCTCTGGAACAGGCCTTATGCTAGGGGTGGAACTGCAGAAATGAAAGATGGAGACTCCGATCCCAAGGAGCTTAGAATCCAGTGAGGAAGGTAAACGGCAAACCCAGAGTGAATATCCTAGGAACTGTGACAGCCCAGGGAATCACATAATCTAGCTGGCCTGGAAGATTCCTGGAGTCTATGTCTAAAAGGTGACATTTGAGTGGGGATCTGAAGGATGATGTATGTCCCCAAATTCATGTGTTAGGAACTCAATTCCCAGTGTAACAGTATGGGGAGCTGTGACCTTTGGGAGATGATTGAGTCATGAGGCTCCAGCCTCATAAATGTGATTAGGTGCCCTTATAAAAGGGCTTGACAGAGGGAGTTTGCCCCCCTTTCACTCCTTCCATTCCCTCCACCATGTGAGAACACAGTGTCCCTCCCTTCCAGAGGATGCAGACACAAGGCACCATCTGGAAGCGCAGAGCAGCCCTCGCCAGACACCAAACCTGCTGGCGCCTTGATCTTGGACTTTCCAGCCTCCAGAACTGGAAGAAAATGAACTTCTGTTCTTTATAAAGGACCCAGTCTCAGGGGTCTTGTTATAGCAGAACTGATGGATGAGACAGATGAGTAGCAGCCTGACTTGGAGATGGGGAACACGTCCTGGCAGATGGAGCAGCAAGAGTTGCTATTGCCTGGCAGCAAGTCCAGAGCTGCCTCCAGTGGGCATGGCCAGGCCTCCCATCCAGCTCTCCTTCCTCCTGGAGCTGACATCTGGGTGACAACGTCCACCTTGAGATCCGTGAAGACACTCAGATTCTAGTCTGACTCTGTTCCCTCCGCCACGTAATCTCTCTGATCCTGTTTCCCATCTGGAAGAGTCAGGAGGGGGTTAATTCCTGCCCTGCCAAGTTTCTAGGATTATCATGAAGATCAAGTGGGATAATGCCTAGAAAAGAGTTTCATAAACCAAGAAGCACCAAACAAATATTATTTAGATTGCAGTCTTGCTTCTAGAAGCCGAGCCAGTTGCCTAAACAGAAAAATTAAATTTACGAAGAGGATCTGAACTTTCCCTCTCATATCCCCAGGCCTCCATTAACCATGGAGAGGCAAAACCTTCTTGGTCTATCTCCTTCTAGAGAGGTGATGGGTGCAGGAGAGAAAGAGGGGAGGGTGTGAAATAAGGAGGAGATGGCTTCATCACAGCCATGGATCGTGAGGACAGTTGTTCTTTCCAGCTAGTCTGTGTGTGGGGTCAGGCCAGGCTCAGACCCAGCTATGAAGTCACCAAATAGGATTTTCTTTGCTCTCAGATTTGGCTGTTTTCCTTTTTTTTAACATCTTGCCAAGGAAACCAGCTCTTGGAAGATTCTGCACTACTTCCACCCTGCAGAGAAGGGTCTGGGTCTTTTTCTCAGGTGCCCCCAGTGCTTACGTGGCTGTCATCCCCTCTGGTCCTCCGTACCCTGGGATGCAAGCAGGAATGCCACTCAGAGCTCCAGGGGCCTTTACCAAGGATCAGACTATCAGGTGAAGGGAGGAGAGTTGACCAGCATGGAGCAGATAGGGGTGGTATTTAGTAGGAATGGTGGTATGGCATTCTAAGACTGCTGAGCTTGTCCAACTTAGCTCATTATGGATTTCCATTCACAGAGTCTAAGGAGTGGTCCCTAAAACCTATAAACAATGCTATCATCCTAGAGAGCAACCGACAGTGGTCTGAGTGGGACTGTCAAGCTTGAGTGTGCCTGCCCTTCGTGTACAATGTTAGCCTAAGAAACTCAGGTTTGTAATTTGTCAAGAAAAAATTGGAAGGCAGTTGAGGAAAAATCTATCATAAGCTAAAGCCTTGGCAGTTGTATCCAGCTGAAGGTACCAGGGAGCAGGTGTGGATGGTAGGAAACTGAGACAAAGATCCAAATACCTGGGGCCCTAGCTCATGGTCTGAGGGTGTGGGGCAGGGATACAGACCTGTAACAAAACAGGATGGATGTTGTAATAGCAGATGTGTTCAAGGGTCTCCAAGACAACCCTCAGGTTTGATGATTTGCTAGAGGGACTCACACAACTGAGAAAAGTTGCTGTATTCATGGTTATGCTTTATAACAGTGGAACGACATAGATTAAAACCAGAAAAGGGAGAGGGTGCATAGGGTGGAGGCCAGGAGAGAGCAGGGACAAGCTTCCAGTTGCTGTCCTCCAGGGGAGTTTTACAGACAATGCTTAATTCATCTAGGAGCAATGTGACACCACACATGGAGAGCTACCAACAACGGAAGCTCCTGAGCCTCTGTGTCCTGAGCTTTTACTGAGGGTTGGTCGTGTAGGCATGGCTGACCACCTGCATGGCTGACATTACTTAGTCCCCAGCCCCTTCAGAGGTCAAACAGACACGTGTGGCTAGAGGCCTGCACCAGCAATCTCATTGTTAGCATGGACTATCTGGCATAGGCCCTGTATTAGTAAGGGTTCTCTAGAGGGACAGAACTAATGGAATATATATATATATACTCCCATATATATATGGGAGTTTATTAAGCATTAACTCACATGATTACAAGGTCCACAATAGGCCATCTACAGGCTGAGGAGGAAGAAGAGCCAGTCTGAGTCCCAAAACTGGAGGACTTGGAGTCTGATGTTCAAGGGCAGGAAGCATCAAGCACAGGAGAAAGATGTAGGCTGGGAGGCTAGGCTGGTCTAGTCTTTTCACGTTTTTCTGCCCGCTTTATATTCTAGCCAAGCTGGCAGCTGATTAGATTGTGCCCACTCAGATTAAGTGTGGCTCTGCCTTTCCCAGCCCACCAACTCAAATATTAATCTCCTTTGGCAACACCCTCACAGACACACCCAGGATCAATACTTTGCATCCTTCGATCCAATCAAATTGACACTCAGTATTAACCATCACAGGCCCAAAGACACTATTATCAGGCAAGATATTCTAAAGGCTTAGAGGTTATCTCCTAGGAGCTGGCCCGGGGACAGATATCTCTTTGGAATGCATAGGGTGTGGATAATCCAGGTCTGCTGAGCCAACACTTTACTGCACAGCAAAACTCCAGAGAACTCATGAGGAGCCTGATTTATTTGTGATTGTGGGTAAAACTAGGTGGGAAGAGTGGGCAGGAGAGTAACCGGCCTACCTAGTATGATGTCTATAGTGTAATGTCTGGAAGGAGAAGGTTATTTACCCAGAACCTGGACAACATGAAACTGAGGGAAGACTGGGAGCAGAAAAAGCAACTGGGAAGGCCAAAGCTCATCCATTCATGGAGAGAAGGTTCAGTTGGTCAAATGTTGCACAAAGAGGTTGTGTAAGATGAGGGGCAACCAGACGGGGGCTAAGCAGCACAGTACAGGTGGCCATCAGTGGCCCTTGGCATGGAGAGCTGGTTGCCAGGGTGGGGCTCCAGCCCAGAGACAAAGCAAGCTGGAGGAGATCATCAGTCAAATAAGAGTGGCTGAAGGAACCAGAAGCATTTCACAAAAGGACAAGAAGGAAAGTCTCCTCTTATGTGTTTAAATGTCTCCTCTTTTCTTCTTGTCTCTAAGGCCATAACTCAGAAATTAAAATAAGACTTTGTCGTTTCCCGAGATGTGAGATGACACTGGGGAAAGCAGGGTACCCTCAAAAGAGACCTAGGGCCCCATTATTTTTTAAAAAGGCAAGGGGCCTGTGTTGGACCACCTCTGCTGGTTCTAGCTGGTCATGGCAAAGAGGGAGCTGATGGAATGAGACAGGACTGGTACAAAGGAATACAACCAGGAGGGAGGTTTTGGCCCACGTAGAAAATTACTTACTAACAACTAGAACTTCTAAAGATAGGCAGGCTGCCTTGCCTGGTAGTGAGCTTCCTGTCATTGGAATATGCAAGGTGGCTGGGTGGCCACCTGCCAGTGATGCTGTGGAAGGAATTCTTGCTCTAGGAGGGAGAATGAACTAAAAGGAGCCATTCTTCCTATACTCTCCCCAGGTGACCTCATCTAGTCCTGCATTAAAAACCTCTTCTATGTTCAAAACTCACCAATTAAAAACTCCAAACCAGATCACTCCCCTTGGCTCCGGGACCTTGTCAATCTCCTCTACTGACTGTCCTGTACCTAGGAAATGCCTGGCACATAGGTGTTCAGTCAATGTTTTTGAACAATTGGGTGAACCTCAGCCCTCTCACTTTTCTCCTCCCTTGGTTTTGCACAATTACCACTTTGGGCAAGCAACCTTCCTTCTGTGAAAAATGGCCCTATGAGTCTTACACCAGCTGTGCCAACTTCACCGTTCCCCACTACTTACTTCTACCCCACCCCTAGAAGTACTAAGGACCTACGGTGGATAATCTGTGTTGCTTACCCTTGTTCAGTGCCCTGCCATGTTGCATGCCTGTCACCCTCTCCCCGACCCTGTGAGTTTCTGGAGATAGAGGGTTGGGTATGTATTACTGCATACCTGACACTTTGCCCAGGCACTGGCATAGAGCAGGTGCTCAGAACCTGAGTATTGCAGCAGGGTTTCTTAGCTCCTATCTTAGGTGGAGCTTCCCCTCCCCATGCCTTCCACGAGTAGAGTATGTATTAATGAACTAGCTCTTCCAATGCTAGGAAATCTATTTCACTTTAATGAAATCCAATTAGTGCCTCCACTGTGGAGCCCTGGGCTCTTTCAGACTAGAAGATGCTGAACGAGAGGATGCCTTTTCCTGTAACCCAGATGTGTCTTTCCCGCCTCCATCTCCCTTCCAGGAACAACACTGCCATTTTTCAGCTTCTTTTATCTCCAAATGTACATCTGTTTCCAACATTTCCCTGTCTCAGGATTCTTTGAGTGTTACTCTGCAGAATAACTTGAGGACGGTATTCTTTCACTTTTCATCCACTTACTCATTCTCCTGTCCACCCACATATCCACTCACTCACCCTTCTTCTGAACACTCATTCATTTACCCACCTGCTCTCCCAGAGACACATTCCCAGCCGGGTGCGGTGGCTCATGCCTGTAATCCCAGCACTTTGGTAGGCCGAGGAGGGAGGATCACGAAGTCAGGAGATCAAGACCATCCTGGCCAACATGGTGAAACCCAATCTCTACTAAAAATACAAAAATTAGCTGGGTGTGGTGGCCTGCACCTGTAATCCCAGCTACTCAGGAGGCTGAGGCAGGAGAATCCCTTGAACCTGGGAGGCAGAGATTGCAGTGAGCCAAGATCGCACCACTGCACTCCAGCCTGGCAACAGAGAGACACTCTGTCTCAAAAAAAGAAAAAAGACACATTCCCCCAATCATCTCTTCACCCGTCAAACCACCCACCATCTATCCATCTCTTTATCTACTCATCCATCCATCAATCCATCTGTCCATTTATCCACTTATCCATGCATCCATCCATGCATCTCTCCTCCCATCCTTCCACCCATCCACTCCTGAACCCTTCCATCCATCTGTCCATCATCCATCCAGCCATGCATCCATCCATTCATTCAGGCAAACACACCCAATAAACATTTCTTTGAGAGCCTACCTTATGTGAAGTCCTCTGCCTGGGACTAAGGAAACTAATGAACAAGATTCAATTACTCCCCTGGAGAAGCTTCCAGTCTAATAAGGGAAAACTGACACACAGTGTGTGGTTAAGAGTATGAGCTCTTGCATTAGAAAAACCTGGGGTAAAATACCAGCTCTACTACTTAGCAGCTCAAGAACATGGACAGATTGCTTAACTTCTTTGTGTCTCAGTTTCCTTGTGGCAAGTAATACTCAACTCATGAGTAATTGTTGTGATAATTAAATGGAATAATTCATGTAAAGTGTTTAACCCTAATCCTGGCATATATTAGGTGCTGCACAAGTGATCAATAACATTGTTACTTATAATATTATTCATTGCTTATGATATTATAGTATTATTAATTCCCTCATATGCTAATTATGGGATTTGATTGCTTATGAATTTCATAATTAATTTACACACTCAATGATATTTGTTGAGTATCTACTGCATATCCTATCCTGTGCCAAGCTCTGTGCTCTTTTGGAGATTAGAATCTTATTGTGCAGATGAGACACATACACTAGAAATAGCTCAATAGTAATGATAACCACAAGAATAACTATAATAATAATGATAGCTAATGTTTATTGAGAGCTTATTATATGCCAGGTATTGTTACAAATATTTTACATAGATGAACCGATTTCACGTTCATAACAATTTTGAGACAGCACCTATTATTTGCCCAATTTTACAGATGAGAAAATCAGGAAAAGGACAGGTTGGGTGTCTTACCCAATGTCACAGAGCTGGTATGTGGATGAGTTGGGATTTGAATGACATTATCTAAGTTCAACAAAACAGGGCTCAGTCAGAATGTCATAGTAATGTGCAGAGGGAGGTTCCTGCAGGCAAACTGCACGGAGAAGGTGAACACACGGAGAAATAACTTCCTCATGGAGAGGGGCATTTGATATACTCCTTCCCACATGTGGGCTGTGGACAGGCTGCAACAGATTCATTGTTCTCAAGCCCCAGCCAGACCCACCGAATCAAAGCAATGAGGGAAGAACCCAGGAATGTGAATTCTAAGCATAAGCTACCATTTGCTAAAGCTTGAAAAACACTGCTCTAATGTTGAAAGTAGAGTCTCATCCCCAACTTCACCACCCACCTACTCCCTCTATGAAGTCAAGCATATCATTTAGCTTATCTGGGACTCAGTTTCCCTTATAGAAATTAGGGATAGTAATATTTGCCTCTTGGCACTGTTATAAAAAATGAACTAATATGTGTACCAAGCTTAGCCCATGGCTGGATAGTGGCAGGAGAGAGAATACAATGCTTGGGTCTTGGGTGCAGGAGGTAACCCGCCTTCCATCAGGTGGAAGGAAGTGTCCTCTGCAGTGGTAGAAGGGGAGTCAAGGGCAAGAACAGGTGCTTTCAGAGTCTGAGGATCCACGGTGGGCTTTGTGTTGAATTCACTGCACTTACCTTGGTTTCCAGCCCTTCAACGTAACTGCTGAAACTTAAGCACTCACACTTGTTCATCTGGGAGACTTACACAATGGCTTGGTTCTTGAGAATGTTCTTCCAGAATGACTACTTGTGGTAAGTGGCAACGTGCGCTTAGGATCTGATAGGAGCTCTTTGCTCACACCACCCTGGAACCTACATGTCATCTGTGGCTGGTTCCCAGAAGCACCAGCTTGCCATGCACATTCCTAGTGAGAATGGAAAAATCCTAAGCCCTGCAACCAACTGAATGGACACCCTCTTGACCAAAAGTGATGCAGCACTAGCAAGTCCCAAAATTGGGGCTTAGCTCAGAAGGGTTCTTGGCTTCACCCAGGAGGGAACTCGGGGGAGCCAGTGGTGTTAGACAGCAACTTTTATCGAAGAGGCAGTGCACAGAGGTATTGCTCCTTGCACAGCCGGGCTACCCCCTGGGTAGCGTACCCAGAATCACAGCTAAGAGACAGTTCTCCAGTCATATTTATATGTGCTTTTAATTATATACAAATTAGGGGGCAGATTATGCAAACATTTCTAGAAATAGGATGATAACTTCTGGGTCATCAGGTTGTTGCCATGGAAAGGGGCAGTAACTTCTGGATGTTACCATGGCAATGGTAAACTGACATGGCACATGAGTGGGCTTGGCTTATGAAAAGCTGCTTCTGACCCATCCCTGTTTTAGCTAGTCCTCAATTTTGTCCAGTGTCCTAGCCCCGCCTCCATAGTCGAGTCCTGCCTCCTGAGTTGAGTCCCACCTTCTACCTCAAAAGGATCTCAGAGAAACCCTAAAAACTGAGCTCCTAGTCCTGACATGCCTCATTCTCCCCCATCCCTTTTGTGGCTTAGACACAACAACTGACCAGCATGAATGTTAACACAGAGACCAAAAGACTGACAGAATGGACTCGTTGTGGCAATAAGATAACAAATTATAAACCAGACCTAAGCCCATGCCAGGTGAGGGTTAAGTCATGAACCCCTACGGTCACAGAATAAACTATATTCCAATAGTCACACGTTTCCCCCTTTTTTTCTTCAGCAGCTAAACAAGCACTGGCTTGAAATAAGCAATATGGAAGGAACGGCAGCTCACCCACCAGCAGACACTGACTGAGCACCCAGTTCCACCAGGCTGAACTGCAGCTTTGATTAGACAAGAGACTGATTTGTCCTGATAAGAGACAAATGGACCAACCATGGACTCGTTTTGGTCAGTTTACAGAGGCTGTGCACCAACTGCCTTCATGTCTCTGCTTTATCTTTTAACACACAGGGCCTAATTTCAATGCATGTAAATGTTGCCTTCACCCCAAAGTGAACATAAGATGCATGTAACATGCATGCTTGTTTGGTACACATGCATCAGAAGCCCCTTTGTGAATATTCATAGCTCCTCCTATAGCCTATTGAATATCTATATTTGGACACCTTCAGCATAAATCCCTGTCTCATCCTTTTCTCCCTTGAAATGCCTGCCTTTGGGGCTACTGGATGCTGCACTTCCCAGTCTTCGAGATGACCAGCCCACAGGATATAACCCTTTATAAGAAATAAAGTCCCTGGCAGGTGTGGTGGCTAATACCTGTAATCCCAGCAGTTTAGGAGGCTGAGGTGGGAGGATCACTTGAGCCCAGGAGTTTGAGATCAGCCTGGGCAACAAAGTGAGACCCTGTCTCTACAAAAAATCAAAAAATGAGCCAGGCATGGTGGTGCATGCCTGTGGTCCTAGCTACAAGGAAGGCTGAGGCAGGAGGATCACTTGAGCCCAAGAGGTCAAGGCTGCAGTGAGCTATGTTTGTGCCATGGCACTCCAGCCTGTGTGACAGAGTAAGACCCCTCTTAAAAAGAAAGAAAGATGAAAGACAGAAAGGAGGGAGAGAGAAAGAAAGAAAGAAAGAAAGAAAGAAAGAAAGAAAGAAAGAAAGAAAGAAAGAAGAAAGAAAGAGGGGAAGGAAGGAAGGAAAGAAGGAAGGAAAGAAGGAAGGAAGGAAGGGAAGATTCCTTTCTAAATTGATAACTTTGTGATTTTTCAGTTGACACTAGAAAAGCCTTTTCACTCCCTTGTGGCTTTGTAAATAGCAGGCAGTGGTGTTTTAGGATGCAGCACCTGCTTCTGCTGGGTGAGTGATGAGGTCTTTCTAGCAAAAGGGCTCTCTCTGTCTCTCTCATGATCAAGGGTCACTGTAACAGCTGATAGATGAAAATTTATCCATTTGTCGCCGTGAATGTCTCTGTGAGTGAAGAGCTCGCTGATCTGCCAGCAACTCCTGGTAGTCTGTCATTGTATTTTGACTGAGACTGGGCGAGGGCGGCTTTTGGCAGGTGTCTGGCCAAGCGAGGGCACTCCGTGGTGGCATTTGAAGCTTGAGTCAGTCTGAATTTGAAGCTTGAGTCAGTCTGAATTTCGTCAGGGAAGAAGAGCTGCTGTAAGCGATAGTGGCATACAGGGTATAATGGAGGAGATGAGGCTTACTGAATGAGGGAGGAGTTGGGGGCAGAAACAGCCATTGACCCCTGAGCCTGAAGCCTGAGCCTCAAACCCCAGCTCAGTGCAGTAACCAACTGTGGAGTACCCAGAGCTCAGGCACTTCTGGTAGGTGATTAAGTCATGAGGGCTCTGTCCTCATGAATGAGATTAGATGCCCTTATAAAAGGACTTGAAGGAAGGAGTTTGCCCCTCTTGTCCTTCTGCCTTCTGCCGTGTGAGGACACAGCACCCCTCCCCTCTGGAGGATGCAGCTTCAAGGTGCTAACCTGGAAGCAGAGAGCAGCCCTTACCAGACAACAGAATCTGCCTGTGCCTTGATCTTGGACTTCCCAGCCTCCAGAACTGTGAGAAATAAACTTCTGTTCTTCATAAATGGCCCAGTCTCAGGTGTTTCATTACAGCAGCACAAAATGGGCTAAGACATCATCTCACAGTTCTGGAGGCCAGAAGCCTGAGAACCAGGTGTGGGCAGGTTTGCTTCCTTCTGAGGCTGTTAGGGAGCATCTGTGCCAGGCCCCTCTCTCAGCTTCTGGCCATCTTTTGCGTTCCTTGGCTTGTGGAAGCATCACCTGATCTCTGCCTTCACTGTCACATGGCTGTGTGTGTGTGTGTGTGTGTGTGTGTGTGTGTCCAAAAGTCCTCTTTTTAAAAGGACATCAGTTATACTGAATTAAAGGCCCACTCTATTCCAATAAGACCTCATTTTTAAAATTTTGTTTTTTTAATTGATATGTACTATTTTACATAGTTATAGGGGTTGTCATTATATTTTATTTTATTGTAATTAGACCTCATCTTAACTAATTACATCTACAAGAAATCTATTCCCAAACAAGGTTACATTCTGGTACTAGGGGGTAGGACTTATGAATTTTGGAGGGGACACAATTTAACCCATAAAAGAAGGGGATTTGGGGAAACATTGCTCTTAGCTTTAAATGGGTGTAGTGGTGACAAGATGACAACGGACAACCCCAGAGCTGGCAGGGATGTCTCCCCATTGAAGCCTTCATTCGCTCCTGCACTCATTCATGGGATGTGTACTGAGCACTTACTACGTGTCAGGCTCTCTGTTTCATAGTTGAGATGCAAAGGTGAGTTCGGCCTTTTCCCTTCAAGTGTCCTGGGGGTGAGCTGGCAAGTCAACCAATAAATTATAATTGGTGGCAGAGCATTTGTGGGCACACAGAGGGACAGCTTGCTTGGAGACCAGCGATGGTGTCCCTGAGGAGGGGCCTGGCAAAAGGAGCTGGAGCAGAGGGCACAGAGAAGGGAGGAAGGGCACTCCAGGTAGAGCCACTGCCCTGTCCTGGGATGGTACATCCTGCAGGCCAACTCCTGTGGAGGGCACAGGAGGTGGGGGGAGCACAGGGCTTCAGAGTAGAGGGCACACCTGGGTATGATCCCTGACCCCCAGTCCCCTGCCGAAGACGAGGTGGGAAGACGGGACTTTTACACACACACCCACCACCCTGGGCTGCTCCCTGCATCTCCACATTTTAAAGATGGGAAAGCTGAGGCTTAGGATGGAAGTGACTTGAGAGAGGTGGCCTGCAAGTGCAGATGGCCAAGACGAGTGGCCAGCAAGTGCAGATGGCCAAGACGAGTCATTCAGGCCCCTCTGGCTTGGCAGGGGTGGGGGTCAGTTATGCCGAAGCCCTATCTCCTTTCATAGTGTGGATATGTTCAGAGCTAGCCACCCTCTACTCTGGATCTACAAGCTCTGCCTAGGTGGTTCTCTTCTGCCACCATGGGAGTCTCACCTTGGTCCCCAGCACCTGGCTCAGCATCTGGCCTAGCAAACTGTGGATGCTCAGAATTGGTGAAAACCAACAACAAGAACGCAGTTGCCTTAACCACAGCCTCGCATCTTGCTGCTGTCATCAGGGAGTTCACAGGACCTTGCTTGTGTTCGGCAGGCCTTCTCAAATATTTTTGAATCCCTAGCTCTCATACTTGTACAACTTAGAACAAATTTATAACTCCCATCTTATCGTCTGGACAACAGGTAAGGCAGGGAGGAGGGGGTTCTCTCAATGCTGCAGACAAGGACATGAGTCTAGAAAGGAAAGTCCCTTGTCTGAGAACAGGCCTGCAGGACTCTCGGGGAGGCAGCCAGGGTCCTCTGCCCTGAAGCCACGGTCAGTGCTAGGGCCCAGGCAGGTGAGGTCAGGATCCCGTTGAGTGGGGTAGGGGTAGGGAGAAAGCTGTGTCACTGGTTGAGTGGCCAGTGCATTGGGTTTTTCCATAAACAATTTACTTGTAACAAAACCTCAGCCAGGGGTAGGAGGGGAAATGCACAGGGCAAGAAGGATGGGACAGGAGCTCAACAGAAAAATGCAGGAAGCCCAGACTCTGGAGGAAGCAGTGTGGATGCCCTGGGGCATGCAGAACTGTTGGGGCATAAGAGGTTTGGGCATAGGAGGTTTGCAGAGCTGTGAAGGACACAGGAGAGGTGTACAGAGCTGAGGGGGGCACAGGAGGGGAGTTCAGAGCTGTGGGGGGTACAGGAGAGGAGTACAGAGCTGAGGGGAACACAGGAGTGCAGAGCTGGGGGGGCCCAGGAGGGGTGCATAGCCCTGAGGGGGGCATAGGAGGGGTATACAGAGCTCAGGGGGGCACAGGAGGAGTGTGTAGAGCTGAGGGGGGCACAGGAGGAGTGTACAGAGCTGAGGGGTACAGGAGGGTACAGATCTATGGGGGGTACAGGGAGGTGCAGAGCTGAGAGGGTTTCAAGAGAGGTGCAGAGCCAAGGGGGCACAGGGGTGGATGAACAGGGCAGTGTTAAAATGCACAGCAGACAAGCCTCCTGCAATTGGACTGTGGTGAGGAGGAGGCTAGGGAGGCAGTGGGGATGACCCTGAGGTCTGTGTAGGGTGTAGGGTTTTATTGACTGCCTGGGGGCCTGCTGGCGGCGAGATCTGGAGGGTGAGTAGAGGGTTTCATTCTGGACATGTCACATTTGAGAGCCTGACATTTCACTTGGAATTCTTCTCTGCTAACACTCCTTTACTATCTGCCACCCTCCTTCTGTAACCCACAGACAAAGTGCAGACTCCTGGGGGTACCCGAAAAGATTTCCACACAGAGCCGGGCTACATGCACTCTAGGACAGCTCGGGGTTGAAATGTACTCAGCAAGGGCCAGGGAGCCTCCTTAAGGAAAGGAAACAAAATTATGAATAGAGAGTTGGATATGATTAAACCTCAAAGGGAAGGACTCCACATGAGTGAGGGGCTGAAGTTTGAGCAGTGCCAGCCAGCTCTGCCCCCTCCTGAGGCTGGCGGGGCCACCACCACTGTTATTGAGCCTTTTGCTCACCCTCCAGGCCTTTGCTTGGCCATTCCCTTGGCCTAGAATGCCCTCTTCATCTCTTCTTCCCTGGCTCTCGTTTCCTCAGCCTTTAAGATTCCAGCCTGGACTTTGTCTCCCAGGGTACCTTCTTCTACTCTCAAGATGGTGAAAGCTCCTGATATGGTTTGACTGTGTCCCCACCCAAATTTCATCTTGAATTGTAACTCCTACAATTCCTACTTGTCCTGGGAGGAACCTGCTTGGAGGTGATTGGATTATGGGGGCAGGTCCTTCCTGTGCTGTTCTCATGATACTGAAGGAGTCTCATGAGATCTGATGGTTTTAAAAATGGGAGTTCCCTGCACAAGCTCTCTCTCTTTGCCTGCCGCCATCCATGTAAGATGTGACTTGCTCCTCCTTACCTTCTGCCATGATTGTGAGGCCTCCCCAGCCATGTGGAACTGTAAGTCCAATTAAACCTCTTTCTTTTGTAAATTGCCCAGTCTTGGGTATGTCTTTATCAGCAGTGTGAAAACTGCTGATACTGTGACTAACAGAGCTCCCCTCTGGCTCCCACAGCCCCCAGGGCTCTCTTCCCTCCCAGCTCCTCTCACTGTTTTCCTGTGTGTCCCCTCTTCTTAAAAAGGGGAGGAGGGGGCTACATTTCAGTAGCTCCCAAGCCCAGGGGTGGGGCCCCAACACTAGCAGATGATGCTTAATTCAGGTGGGTTGAGTGAGTGAGTTGGTCCCACCCCTTACTCCCAGGGGGTTTGTAGCAGCCAGCAGGGCTGCCCTCCCTGGTCAGTGAGGTGCAGGGCCTGGGGTGACCTGAGCCTCAGAGACCAGCCACAGCTGCCAGTCCCTGCCCCATGAGAGTGACAGTCCACTGAGACTTTTCTTCCCAAGGTCAGGCTTGGGGACTTGGCAAAGTTGAATTGTTGCTATGGTGGGGGTAGAGGGTAGGAGCCTTTAGTGATCTGAGGGAGTAGCTGGGACTCTACTCAGAGCTAACCCAACAACATAGATAGGGAGACCTGGTTCAAGCCATCTTCTGCCATGTGACCTTGGGGAGGTCACTTAGCTGTCTCATCTGTACTTGCAGGGTAATGTGAACCACTGTCCTGTTGAGACAGTTCATGGAGATGACAATAACAAAGGCTCTTGGTGACTCACAAAGGTTTCTACAAATTCAAAAGCTAATTCAAGAGTTCACGCTTCAAGGCCAAGCATGACAGCTTATGCCTGTAATCCCAGCACTTTGGGAGGTTGAAGTGGGAGAACTGCTTGAGGCCAGGAGTTCAAGACCAGCCTGGGCAACATAGCGAGACCCTATCTCTATAAAAGTAATTTTTGTTTTTCAAAAAGTTCATTTTCTAAAGGGTTTGGCAAAATGAAACTTTCGAGAGGCAAAAAAAATGAGCAAAGGATTCTGCTAATATTTTAAAACTCATTTTAAAAATATGTTCCATGTAAAGAGAGAGAATTGGAGAGCTGCTTAATTTTTCAAAAGGGCTCCTACATAAGCAATCTCACCCATCACCTCCCAGAGCCCTGGAGGGCTTAGTTATCCCTGTTTTATAGATGAGGAAACTGAGGCTCAGAACTGCAGTGTGACTTCCTCCAGCTTTAGACCCAGAGGTGGAGTCCAAGCCTGTTGGCTTGGATTCAGGTCACATGGCATCCTTGTGGGTAGTGATGGAGAAAGGGGGAGTAACAATGGGGTACCACTCTGTTCTATCATGTTCTAACCTACAAATGAGGCAGGAGAATAGGGTCTAGAGGCAGGGAACCCAAGGTCATTTCACACTGACTTCCTAGAACTAAATTGAAAGGAAAACCCTAACTTTCCACTCCTAAGTAACAAAAGGACCAGAGGCTACTCCCTTTACAAGCCCCCACCTTTTCTGTGAGGCAGATGGAAAATTGAAAATACCTCTGATTGGTTGCTTTTTGCAACCAATCAGACCTTTGCCTAGGAGTGTAACTTTGTAACTTCACTTCAGCCTCTAATTAGTTGCAGACAGACAGATTGCGAACCAAGTCTTCATTTGCATAGAAGTGCAACTTTGTAACTTCACTTTAGCCTCTGATTGGTGGCTTTCTGCAACCAATCAGATGTTTGCATGGGAGTATGACCTGTGTAACTTCACCGATTGCGGGTCACCATTTCATTTACGTGAGGTGAACACCAAGTGGCCAGTGGGAGACCTCTAGGGGGTATTTTGACCCAAGAAGATTCTGTATCTGGGGCTCCTGAGCCTCTGCTTAGCCCGCTCCCTCATGGTGGAGTGTACTTTCACTTTCAATAAATCTCTGCTATTGTTGCTTCATTCTTTCCTTGCTTTTCTGTGCCTTTTGTCCGATTCTTTGTTCAAAATGCCAAGAACCTGGACAACTTGCAGTCAAGACCCTCTACCGGTAACACAAATGCCTACCAGGCTGTTTTGCTCAGTGCTGGGACAAGTGCCAGGGCCTGGGCCTGCCTGGTGGACGAAACGTATCCTTGCCCTCAACAGGCTCAGTCACAGGCAGAGAGAGTGTGAGGAGACAGAAAGGAGAGAAGAAACTAAGTCCCCAAGGGGAAAGGCAGGAACCTGGGTGTCCTCAGGCTCACAGAGCCAGGGCCTGGCCCCTAAAGGGCATTGGTACTTTCTGGGAAAGGAGCAGGAACATCTATAGGTGACAATGGCTGGCACAGCAGGTGCACACATTTGGGCCCAGTCTATCTCAGGACACTCAGGTGGAAGGCAGAAGGGCAGGCCCGAATTCTTCCTTTCCTCATTAGGAACTGTCTTCACTGAAATCTTCCCCATCCCTCAAAGCCCACCAATGCCTCCTCCTGTAATGGCACCAGATTAATCTGGTTCAACTTTGTGTAATGAAACAGTGAGTTGTTTTTAAACTGCCATGGATCCCCAGGTTGAAGGTCACATAACCTGAGAATGTCCAGATGAACCAAGGGTGGAAGCTAAGTGCTCAGGCCAAGGAATAGGACTGAATTAAGCAGCGGACACCACAAGGCGGGATCCAGAATCCAGTGAGATCAAGCCCTCGTGTCACCCCATGGCAGGATCCAGTCATATCATTTCTCCCAGCATCACCTTATCGCAAGATCCAATCAGATCATTCCTCACTACTCTCTCACTATAAAATCTCCCCCAACCACCAGCTTGGGGAGACAGATTTAAGCTTGACTCTCGTCTCCTTGCTTGGTAGCTTTATGTATTGATCTGTTTTCATGCTGCTGATAAAGACATACACAAGGCTGGATAATTTACAAAGAAAAAGAGGTTTAATGGACTCACAGTTCCACATGGCTGTGGAGGCCTCACAATCATGGTGGAAGGCGAAAGGCACGTCTTACGTCGCGGCAGACAAGAGAGAATGACAACCAAGTGAAAGGGGGTTCCCCTTATAAAACCGTCAGATCTCATGAGACTTATTCACTACCACCAGAACAGTATGGGGGGAACTGCCCCCATGATTCAATGATTTCCCACTGGGTCCCTCCCACAACACATGGGAACTATGGGAGCTATAATTGAAGATAAGATTTGGATGGGGACACAGCCATATCCTATCACCTTGCAATCAACTTTTTTCTTTCCAAAAATCCAGTGCTTCAGTGTTGGGCTTTCCCTTGCACGAGGCAAACCAGACCATTTGTTGCTTGTTGACACTCCCCCAAGCAGCATTCCCAGGTTCCCTGCTGGCAAGACCCACCCTTCTTCCAGTTCCTAGGGCAGGCCATTTGTGCCTTTTAAGGCTTGAACTCCAGCCTGCATGGCATTGCCTCCCTACAGGTCTCTAAGCCAATTCTGGAGGGAGGTTATCTGTGTGATTCCGCTCCTCCAGCTGCACCTCCAATTCTTTATTGGAGTGGACCTTTCTTGAGCTTCTATGTGGCACTTGACCAGCTGCTCTCCAAAGATCATCTTTAATGCCCGGAGCTCTGTCCGTTTTGCAGATGTGGTGATATTGTGCACCGTTCAGATCCCAGGCTTTGAAATCAGAGTCCTGGGATAAGCCTCATCTCCAGGTGGATGGGCAAGGGCAGGTGGCCTTGCACTGGTCACAGAGCCCGAGTCTCCTCATCTTTGGTGGGGCAACATAAGTGCCCACTTCCTAGGCACTGTGAGGGCTGAGATGAGGTGCCTGGCATACAGACCACAGGCCATCAGCAGTAACTATGACTGTTGTCGGGAACTGGGGCTCCGAGTAGGTGGTGATAAAGGCATATTCAGCGGATGGATTCATGACTCTGCAGATGTGTCTTAGCCTTGAGCAAACTTCTTGCAGCTGGAAGGAGGTGGGTGTCAGGGGAAACATTTTCCTCCCTGAGAAAACTTGATGATACTAATTGGAATTCAGATGGTGCTAAGCTGCTAGGCTTGGGGGAGGCAGGCACGAAGTCATCCGCCTTCTTGTTTAAAGTGAGTTGTAATTCTCCAGGGGTTGAGAAACCAGGCGCTTCACTCCAGCAGGGAAATAGGCACGTGGGTTGGTGGAGCCGGGCCAGCTGAACACCCCTGCCTAATTGGTGTCCCTCTGCTAATCAATACCTGTGAGGGAGGTGGACGGGACCCTGGGGGTCCAGGAGTTGCTGCTGGGAGCCTGGCACAGTGCTGGGTCCCTGGGGAAAAACAGGAACCTCTACTCTTGGGGCTGTGAGGAGGACACATGAACCAGCCCCCTCCAGCTCCAGTTATGATCAGAGATGAACAGAATTCTGCCCAGAGGTGCCCTTCTCTCCCCAGCAGTAAAGAATGAGGATCCTAGTAGCTAGCGCAATTTTGAAAATGCGTTTGGGCATGAGGCGTGATGGGAAAAGGTTAACCACTTTCCAGCACAATATGGATGTGGGGGTTGTGAGTGAGGGGAGGCGTGATCCTTCCTAAGAATGGGAAACAGTCTTTCCTCTAAAGGATTAAACTAAACTCAAGATCTGTCTTGGAACAGGAGGGCTTCCCTGGTGGGACCAGCCTTGCCTGGGGGACCTCATTCGTACTCATGCCTGGCCTGGGCCCTCCACCCACCCTCAGGAGCCTGCATGATGCTGCAGGGGCCAATAGGCCAGGACCCTTCTGCTCATGGGATGCTGAAAGCAAGCCCCTGAGCCACCTGGGTTAGCAGAGGAGAATCGAGCAGCACCTGGTCAGGGTGGGCGCTTGACTCTGGGTGAGTCCGCCCTGCTAGGGACCCCCCCAGGCCAGGAAAAATGTGGGGGATCTACACTGAAGGAGGCTTCTGAGATCCCAAAGCCCAGAGCTCCCTCTCATGGCCCCTGAAACTTCCGGGTATCTCTGGGAGACTTAGAAACATCTATTCCCAGGGTCTGGCCCATACTTGAGGTCCAAAGTCTCAGGGAAAGCCCAGGACAGCCCCCAGGGCTTCTGTGGCCCCTGCCTAAGACATATCCCATCTAGTTGCTTGTCCCTATTTCTGTGGTGAGGAAGGTCCTCTATGGGCAGGCCACTTGGTTCAGTTTGTGGCAACAGGTTTTGAGCACGTGATATATGCCAGACCCTTGGAGTGGACAAGGCTTGAGGTGACAAGAACCTCAGGTGCTGTGGGTAGAGCCCAGAGGAGGGAGGGGCCCTAACGCTGCCTGGGGTGGCACCTGTAAGTACCCTCACGATAAGGGCAGGCTTCTTCTTGTCCTTCAAAGTCAGGGTCCAGATTCCCAAGCCTCAGGAATCACTGGTGCCCAGTGCAGACAGCGGAGCTTGCTGAGAGGTCCCGTTCTGTGAAACGATCCAGTTACCTGTCTGCCCACTACTTGGCTGCATCTGGGAGCTTGCTCAATGCAAACAAATAAAGCTCTGATTGGGGGAAATTCCAGCAGGATAGAAAGTCTCCGGCTGCTCTGCCCTTTCCTCACACTGTGACCTTGAGTCAATCCCTGGGCCTCAGTTTCCCCAAGACTGTTTTGAGAAAGTGAAACTAGCTGTGCCCAACTCAAGCCTTTCAAAAAAGTGCTTCTGGGCCAGGGCATTTTTGTCTCTTCCAGGACCCTCAGGGGCTCATTTGCATTCTTGGAATAAAAATGTTGACTGTACTTCATGCCCAGCCGCACATTTAAATGCTTATGCAAGGTTTATTTTGGAGAAGCAACTCTCTGGAATGCTGGCAGGGCGTGAGCCTCCGCCTCCCCTGGGAGAGGCAATCAGCCCCCAACCGAGGCAGGAGCTGAGGAGGGGCAGAGCCTCTTGGCCCCAGGGGAGGCACAGTCCAATGAGAGCCTCACCCCAGGGGCTGTCGCGAGGCTGTTGGGAAATGTCTCATTTTTATATGTAAATAAATCATTTCCAGAGATTGCTCTGATCGCAGCAGGCTGCTGCTAAAATGTTTTAAGTGGGTCCTTTGCCACTGTAAACTTTGTTAAGGATTATTATTGAGTTTGGTTTTTTGTTTTTTTTTCCTGTTGATTTCACTGAATCACCAACTCCTGGGACTCTAGCATGTCCTGCCATTGTACCCTGTTTGCACACCTCTGTGGACGGAGAGCTCACCTCCTCCAGGCTGCCCATTCTGTGGTTGGATGCACCAGGGACTGCCAGAAACAGCTTCTTTCTGAGTGAGCTGGAATTGGAACTCTTTTCCTGTAGCTTTCCTTGCTGGATCATGAACCACGCCTTGCTCTGGCCCCACAGAACACACTTGTTCTCTCTTCTCTCTGTCACACTCTGTGTATCGGACCAGGACTTCCATCTCCTTTGCCAAAGCTTGCAACATCCTCCGTCACCTGGCCCTGGCCCTTCTGCATCCTCAGCTGCTCACACCCTTACTTACCATGCTCCAACCCATTGGCTGTTGTGTCCCTCAGGTATACCTAGCAGGGTTTCCCCTGGGGCCTCTGGCAGGATGCTCCTTCTCCAGGTTTCCTTCTCGAGGATCCCAGCTCAAATGTCGCTTCCTTAGAGAGGCCCTCCCTGGGATCCTAGGTAAAGGGCCCCCCAACCTCATCCCTCTTGATCATGGTGTCTTATGTTCCTTCAGAGCCTGTGACACTACTTGCTTCTAATACAGCACAATATAATATTTACTGACTTACATGTTGCTGCCTGGATAATTAGAATGTAAGTGCCTTGAAGATGGGTCTTTTTCTTTGGATTAGTCCGTTCTCTCATTGCTGTGAAGAAATACCTGAGACTGCATAATTTATAAAGAAAAGAGGTTTAATTGACTCATGGTTCTGCAGGCTGTACAGGAAGCATGACGTTGGCATCTGCTTGGCTTCTGAGGAGGCCTCAGGAAACATGGCTGGGAGCTAGAGGAAGAGAGAGGGGAGGTGCCACACACTTTAAAACAACCAGATCTCTCGAGAACTCTATCATGAAAACAGAACCAAAGGGGGAAATCCACCTCCGTGATCCAGTCACCTCCCACCAGGCCCCCCCTCCAACATTAGGAATTACAATTTGACATGAGATTTGGGTGGGGACACAGACCCAAACGGTGTCAGCCTTGCTTCCTGCTGTAATCCCAGGACCAATAAATTCACATTCTAGGAATGTGGTGCCTACCTTCTCAGAGCCTCCTTGCCATGATTCTCTGCAAAATACAGGTTCTTGTCCCTCATTCATGGCTTTCTCTCTGGACACTTCCCCTTAGTCCACATCAGGCATGTGCAGACTCACTTAGCAGCAGAAGCTGTTTCTTAAAAAAATTCTTACCCAGAGGACCAATATATAAAATAGCTGAAGGTGATGTGGCTGAATGGGGGGAAGGAAAGAAAGGTCTCCTGAGCCCTCAGCCCCCTGGCTCTCAGTGTAGTCCCTGAGGCACCTGCAGAGATGTCTGTTTCCTGTCTGCCTGTGCTCATGGCCCCTTTGTCTAGTGACAGTGCCTGATTTTCCTCTGGGGACTCCCCCTCACCCATTTGTAGATAGGGACTTCATCCACCAGGCCCAACCAGTCTGCCAGTGCCACATCCTGGCCATAATGATTGATTCAGGAAGGGCCTGGGACCCAGGATGGTCCAAAGAGTCTGGCCTTGGAAACTGTCCTGGATGCGCTGAAGCAGAAGTTTGCTGGACTGATTGGGCTTAAACCAGTGTCTTTGTTTTTTGTACCTTATAACAGAATACTTGAAACTGGGTAATTTATTTTTAAAAAGGAATGTATTAGTCCATTTTCATACTGCTGATAAAGACATACCTGAGAGTGGGTAATTTATAAAGGAAAGAGGTTTAATGGACTCATAGTTCTGCATGGCTGGGGAGGCCTCATAACCATGGCGGAAGATGAAGAAGAGCAAACATGGCAGCCGGCAAAGAGAGAGTTTGTGCAGGGAAACTCCCATTTATAAAACCATCAGATCTTGTGAGACTTATTCACTATCCTGACAATAACATGGGAAAGGCCCACCCCATGATTCAATTACCTTCCGCCAGGTCCCTCCTACGACACACGGGAATTGTGGGAGCTACAATTCAAGATGAGATTTGGGTGGGGACACAGCCAAACCATATCAAGGAATTTATTTCTAACAATTATGGAAGCTGAGAAGTCCCAGGTGGAGGGGCCACATCTGGTGAGGGCTTTCTTGCTGGTGGGGGCATCTTTGCAGAGTCCCAAGATGGTGCAGGGCATCACATGACGAGGGGGCTGTGCATGCTAGCTCAGGCCTCTCCTCATTTCTTTACAGAGCCGCCAGTTCCACTCCCTCAATAATCCAATAATCCATTAATTCATCAATAGGTTAATCCATTCATCAGGGCAGAGACCTCAGGGCCCAATCACCTCTGAAAGGTCCCAGTTCTCAGTATTGTCACATTGGAGATCAAACTTCAACGTGAGTTTTGGAGGGGACAAACTTCCAAGCCATCGCAGCCAGGATCTGCACCCTCCTGAGAGCAAAACCCAAACCAAGCACGGCAGACTCAAGAGATGGAGAGAAGGCAGGCAGTCCTGGTAACATCGTCAGGACCCCTGGATCTGGCCATATCCCAAATCCTGAACTTTACAATGACCTGAGACAAGAGTTGTGCCTACTTTGCTTAAGCCTGTTTGAGCTGGGCTTTCTCTCACTTCTAACTGAAAGAATCCTTACTGTGACACTAAGGTACATAGAACATGGTTTGAAAGCCACTGCCGTATATCCTCCAAAAGTTGGGCAGAATGCATTTGATGTTTTTGTTTCTGCTAGTTTGTTTTCATAGGTAATAATAATGATAATAGTAATTAAAACTTTCATTTCTTTAGTAAAAGATTTGATGAAAAGCTTTCATCAAATTTTCAACATAATACCATGAAAAATAACTCTACTTCTGTCCTGTAGTTGACTATACTGAAGGAAAGTGGGGTTGAGGGATTTGCCCAAAGTCACCGTATTAATAAATATGGCAAGACTTTTCTGGAATTTATGGCAAATATGATAGAAACAGATGAATATCTTAATTGCACAAAGAACTTACATAAATTGCTAGACAAAACAAAATTTAAAAAACAAATACAGAGCAATGTCTCTGTAGATTAATGAGTAAGGAATATGAACAGAAAATTCAGAAAAGAAGTCATTCAAAAAGTAAATAATAAATGGAAAAAATTACTCACCAATAATTTGAGAAATTCAAATTGAAAAAAAGATACTATTTGTCTCATTTTAAAAATGTGCAAAGATTAAAACAAACACCAAATGCTGGCCTGGATGCAGAACAATTGATACCCTTTCACAATATTGATAGTAATGTAAATTAATGCAATTCTTTTTTTTTTTTTTTTTTTTTTTTTTTTTTTTTTTTGTAGAGACGTGGCCTTGCTATGTTGCCCAGGCTGGTCTTGAACTCCTGGTTTCAAGTGATCCTTTTGCCTTGGCCTCCCAAAGTGCTGGGTTTACAGGCATCAGCCATCACACCCTGATGCTCAAAAACATCATACGAAGCTTTTGAAAAGCTATTTGGCAAAAACATATTTAAAACAGGGGTTGGCAAATGTTTTCTGAAAAGGGCCAGATAAGTAAATATGTTCAGCTTATTGAACCATATTGCCTGTGTGCAATATGTACTCAACCTGCTATTGTGGCAAGAAACAGCCATAGGCAATGTGTAAGTGAATGAGTGTAGCTATGTTCCAAGAAAGCTTTACTTATAAAGATTTATTTATTGCCCCAAAAGCCATGATTTGCCAACTCCTGGTTTTAACCATTAAATTATTATGAAAATGATGATTATATATAAAAAAAGTACCTACATGAAAGCACACTTAGAATATAAAGTTAAGTGAATAGTAGGTACCCAATTGTATAAAATCACAACCATGAAAATCCCTAGGCACAGACACATATGAAAGAAAGAAAACATGTCTCTCTCTCTCTTTTTTTTTTTTTTTTTTTTTTTTTTGAGACAGAGTTTTGCTCCTGTTGCCCAGGCTGGAGTACAATGGTGCGATCTTGGCTCACCACAACTTCCGCCTCCTGGGTTCAAGTGATTCTCCTACAAATGTATCGCAAAGAACTCCCGCACCGTTCCCTGAAGGAGACAAAGTTTCTCCAGAGGCCAGCTCATTCCAGAGGTACGGATGGCTGGTTCTTCTCTCCACTTAATTTTAAAAAATATATGTTCTTTCTTATGAAAAAAAGAATCCGTTTCTAGAGAATTCTACGAATGGTGAGTCACACTCTGGAGTGCCACTTCCATGAATGCCGAGTGATCAGTGGAGGTGGCTCACACGCCAGGGCTCACTGGAGCCACCCTCACTCCTGACACATTCCCTCATTTCCTGCTTCTTCCATTCATGTCTGTCTTTGTCTCACTTAATTTTTGCCCCAAATCTTATCATCTTACAGAACTGAAGCTCTTTGAAATTCAGCTTCTATGAAGACTCTGCAAGCCCCAAAGTGTTTAACCAAGACCTTTACCTGGGAAAGAGAATCCGGACTCAGCCCTCTGCAGGCTGTTGAAGCTCAAGCCACCACCATGCCAACTTCCACAATGATTCCACCAACACAAGTCAAGCACTGCCACCACCATGAGAAACACAATCCAGCAACTGTAACAAAACCCACAACAGCCAACACATCCCCCACAGCTGCAAATACAACCCTAACCCTACAACCACAGCAGTGATCACAACTCCAGTGATTATCACAACAAACCCAATAACCACACCAACTCCAACAACCACAGCTACAGCTCCCAAAATAACCACAGACCACAGCAACCTGACGCAATTTTAACAACAGCCACAATCATAACCACAACAGCTCCAATAACCACTGCAACAACCACAGTAGCAGGCATTTGTTGATCACCTCTTATAAGCCAGGTCCTCCACCAAGTGCTTGTCATATATTATCTCACATAGCCTTCCAGCTGCCCCAGGAAGTAGACAGATATACATGCATGCTTTATTTATTTTTATTTTTATTTTTAAAAGATAGACTTCTATTTTTCAGAAAAGTTTTAGATTTACAGAAAATTGAGGAGACAGTAGATAGAGTTCCTATAGGCCCCCTCCCTCCCACTCTCAGTTTTCCCTATTATTAACATCTTGCATTAGTGGGGTACATTTGCTAAGATTGATGAAACCATCTCGATGCATTATTATTAACTAAAATCCATAGTTTATGCGAGGGTACAGATTCCGGGGGCTTTGATGAATGCTTAATGGCATGTATCTGCATCAGAGTGGCATACAGAATAGTTCCATTGCCCTGAAATTCCTGCTTTCCACCTATTCATCCTTCCTCCCTTCTGTCACCCCCAAACTCCTGACAACCACTAGCCTTGACAATATTTTTATAGTTTTGTCATATAGTTGGAATCACACAGTATGTAGCCTTTTCACACTGGCTTATTCACAATGTAATATGCATTTAAGATCCCTCCATGTCTTTTCTTGGCTTGACAGCTCATTTTTTTTATTGCTGAATAATATTCCCTTGTACAGATGTACCACAGTTTATTCATTCACCTTTTGAAGTCTATCTTGATTGCCTCTAGTTTTGGGAAATTATGAATAAAGCTGCTATAAACATTTATGTGCAGGGTTTTGCATGGACATTTTTTTACCTTATTTGGGTAATTACCTAGGAATACAATTGCTGGATCATGTGTTTCAGCTAAACATAAACAAAGACGATGTTTAGTTTTGCAAGAGAGACAACAAATGAAACTGTCTTCCAACGTGACTGTACCATTTTGCATTTCCACCAGAAATGAATGAGAGTTCCTGTTGCTCTGTTTTCTTGACAGTGTTTGGTTATGTCAATGTTCCAGATTTTGGCCATTCTAATAGTAGTGTCATTTCCTTGTTGTTTTAATTTTCAGTTTCCTGATGACATATGCTTATTTGCAATCTGTGTATCTTCTTTGGTGAGGTGTCTGTTCAGATCTTTTGCCCATCTTTTAACTGAGTTGTTTTCTTATTGTTGACTTTTAAGAGGTCTTTGTATATTTTGCATATAAGTCCTTTATCCGATATGTGTTTTACAAATGTTTTCTCCCAATCTGTAGCTTGTCTTTTCTCTTAATACTGTTTTTTGCAAATCAGAAAATTTTAAGGAAGTTCAACTTACCAATTTTTTCATTTGATGGGTTATACTTTTGGTATTGTATCTAAAAACTCATCATCAAACCCAGTGTCACCTACGTTATTGTCTAGAAGTTTTATTGTTTTGTGTTTTACATTACGTGCACACTCCATTTTGAGTTACTCTTTCTTTTTTTTTTTCGAGATGGAGTCTTGCTTTGTTGCCCAGGCTGGAGTGCAGTGGTACGATCTCGGCTCACTGCAACCCCTGCCTCCTGGGTTCAAGCGGTTCTCCTTCCTCAGCTTCTTGAATAGCTGGGACCACAGGTGGATGCTAGCACACCCAGCTAATTTTTTTTTTTTTTAATTTTTAGTAGAGACGGGGTTTCACCATGTTGGCCAGGCTGGTCTTAAACTCCTGATGATCTGCCCGCCTTGGCCTCCCAAAGTGCTGGGGTTACAGGCATGAGCCACTGCACCCGGCCCATTTTGAGTAATTTTTTATGAGAGGTGTAAAATCAGAGTTAATTTTTATGAAAGGTGTGAAGTCATGTCTAGATTAAATTTTGTTTGCATGTGGATGTCCAGTTGTTTCAGCACCATTTGTTGAAAAGATAATTCTTTCTTCATTGAATTGCCTTTGCTCCTTTGTCAAAGATCAGTTGACTATATTTACATGGGTCTACTACTGGGCTCTGTATTCATTCCACTGATCTGTTTGTCTATTCTTTCAACCAACACTACACTGCCTTGATAATTGTAGCTTTATAGTAAGTCTTAAAATCAGGTAGTGTGAGTCCTCTGACTTTGTTCTTCTTCAATATTGTGTTGACTATTCTGGGTCTTTCCCTATAAACTTTAGATCCAGTTTGTTGATATCCAGAAAATAACTTGCTGAGATTTCTACTGGGATTGCATTGAATCTATAGATCAAGTTGGGTAAATGTACCTTTCAACTAATGAAAACACTAAGGCTCAGAGACGCAAATTGACTTGCCTAAGGTCAGCGTAATTAACACCCATATTTCCTTGATTCTAACAGAAACATTTTATGGTCTCTAAAATGGAGGTACATCGTACAGTTGATGCTGACAGGTGACAGTCATAACAAAGTTGTCATTGCCATACATGCATATTAAAATTTGCACAATGTGGGCAGTGGCTTTGGAAAGAAAATCCCAGAGACAAAAGTGGGGCAGCCCTTTAAGAAATGGTGCACCACCAATGCCCTTGATGGCCCAGAACCAGTTCCATGTGGGCAAATGTGGACACTGATGCCATGGAAGCTAAACAGTTCAGAAGAGAAGGACTCTTGAGCATGGAGTTCTGGGAGCAACTGAGCTGATTTATTAGTTGATATCTCCCTCTTTGTGTATGCACAAAAGTGATAGAGGATTTTTTAAAACCCTCAAAATCCTAAATTGAAACAAGTTTAAAAAACAGCTCTTTTGCCAAATATAAAATAAAAATATAAAGTGATAGGAAGCCCTGTGTCATGGTTTACAGGTCTAGTTTGTGTCATCACTTAAGGCTGTGGTTTATTCTCTCTCCCTTACTCCCTGCTTCCCTCCCTCCCTCTGTCCCTCCCTCTCTCCCTTCCTTTCTTCCTTCCTTCCTTTCTTTCCAGGGTCTTGCTGTGTCACCCAAGCTGGAGTGCAGTGGCATCGTGAACATGGCTCATGGCAGCCTCAACCTCCTGGACTCAAGTGATCTTCTGATCCTCCTGCCTCAGCCTCCTGTGTAGCTGGGACCACAGTCTCATGCCACTATGTCTGGCTAATTTTTTTTTTTTTTTGTAGAGGTGGGGGTCTTACTTCGTTGCCCAGGCTGGTCTCAAACCCCTGGGCTCAAGCGATCCTCCTGCATAGGCTTCCCCAAGTGCTGGGATTACCGGTGTGAACCACTGCACCTGGCCTGTTTATTCTTTCTTAGTGAGACTTAAAATAACAGTGCATCTTAAAATTGATGTACAGTAAACAGCTGCATCAGTCAGCCTCCTGGGAGAAATCCCATGGCATACATGAAAGAGGTCATGAGTTTAAAAGGGGAATATTTACAGAGGTGTGAGTCGGTTGAGGGAAGCCAACAAGGGATGGCACAGTGTCACAGCGCTGGTGACGTCCTGAAGGGCAAGGAGGAAGAGGGGTTACAAAACCTGGAGAGAGGCTGCAGGAAAGGGCAGGCTGTCAGGAGCTGCAGTCTTTGCTAGGAAAAGGTCCAGGGGAATAAATAAATAGCCAACCTCAGTCTCAAGGTACCCTCTGATCTTGTGCCTACATCTACTATTGTGGGAACTCACTGGGAACCAGGGGTCCAGGAGTCCTTGAATGGCGTCCGCAGAGACCAGAGAACAGCGTGGAGGGTCGGGGTGGGTCTAGGGGGAAAATGGAAACTGCCTGTGAGCACGGAGCCAGGATCCTGGTGTGCTGCCTCTGTGCACCTAACCGTAGTACTGTGCACTTAGGTCCTCGGGGAAGGGCAGTTGACCAGGTAGACAGGGCATCCTGAGCTCCATGCCTATTTGAGAAAGCCACTAGTTCTCCACAATCAGTGGACTCATGTGCCCCAATCCCATTCACGTGGCCAGGTCCAGCCTTTGGCAGCTGTTCCCGCCTCTCCCCCTCTCTCCTAAGCACGTGATTTATAATGTGGAACCCTGTGTGGGGAGAAATGAAGTGTCTGCTACAGCCAAAACTTGGCTCCAGGAAGGCAGATATCAACTCACACACCCGATGATGGACAGCGGGACCTCGTGGTGCAGCGTGTTTACAGCTTACAAGGGTGAGTTGTGCGTATTTCGAACTTGGCCCGGACGCCTACTTGCCCAATCAGCTTGTTGGGCGGTGTCTCTTCTGATTTAGAGCTCTGGATCTGCCAATTTGATTTCTGAAGCTAACTCTTAGGTTTGCCAAGTCTGCAGCAGGTCTGGGCTCACAGGATCTATGCACCGCAGAGCTAGGTCACCATTCTAGCCCCCCAGCCAGAAACTACAGATGAGGAGCTGAGACTGAGAAAGGGAAGGTGCTGGCCCCAGGTCACAGCACATGAGGGAGAACGAAACCCCTGGGGGCTGTGGTCTGTTGCCTGTGTTCAGGGCTCAGCTTGGCCTTAGGTCCTTAGGCAAAGGACCTAAATCTTGTCCTCAGTTTCCTGGTCTGCAAAGTGTGGGTGATAATAATACCTACCTCACAGGGTGGTTGTGAGAATCAAATCAGCTATGAGCCAGAGGGGCGGTGAGCAACTTTGAGCAGTACCTGGAGCTGTCTCATGTCCATGACCACAGTGAGCTAGCCCAGAGTATGCCCTCAGTGTTTGTTGAGTGACTTCATTAGTGTGAAGGGCTTCATGGACTGTCACGTGTGGAGGACATGCTGCTGGTTATGTTCATTAGTGCTCCGTAACAGGGCTGGTCCCTTGAAAGCCAGGAATCCCACCAACCCTGTCCATGGGCTGGAGGGCCTCCTTGATGAAGAATGTCCTGTCAGCTTTCCTTAGTGACAAATCCAGACTTCCTACTCACGTGATTTAAGGGAGATAATGATGGTTTGAGCAAGAACCACCCAGCTGTCAGGTGCTGTGGTGTGCAGCCGACCCACCCTGGACACTTATTGCTTGTCTGGTAGTCGAGGCACTTATGAAGCCCTGGGTCTCGAGAATCAGCCCCTGTAGGAATGAGGCCCCTGGGGCTTTGGGGAGGATGGGATTTGGATGAGCCCAGCAGCATCTCTGCTCTGCAGCACAGAAGCACAAGGAAAATTCTCAGCTCCTGGGGCTGATCTGGGAGGAGCCCAGAAAGGCCACATGGCCCTCTCGGTGCTGCTGCAATTTCCAGAGACAAATGATTCTGGCAATAAGAACTCAGAAGTTGGACAAGGCCTCAGAATGGCTCGTCCTGGCCGCTTTATGGAGAAAGAGACAGAGGCCCAGTGAGTAGAGGGGCTGGCCATGTAACACCACAGGCCAGCCTAGAACTCAGGTCCTCCTGTTCTCCCCAATCACATTCTGGGGAGAGGGTCCAGGTTCCAGGAAGTAGGCACTCCAGATGCTGTCATGGAGCAGGGAGGATGTTCTCAGCACAGGGGCTGCTCTGCAAGACTCCATCTAGTTTAAAGGGATGGCTGTGCCTCAAACAATGCAGTACGTAGCCTGTGCAACTGTACACAGCAGCCCTAGTTGGAATCCACATAAAAGAGATGATGCCGACAGTGTCAAGGGCATGTCCAGAAGTGACCCATATGCAGTAGAGATGTCCCCAGGTCCTTGTTAGCTGGCTTTTTCCTTAAGGAATGGGGATACTACCCAGTTAGTCAACTTCAGAAAGTCCATAGTGGAAGGGCCTTTGGAGGCCTCCTCCTCTGGACTCTTTACGACATAAATAAGGAAACTGGGGCTGAAAGAAGAGCAGGGACTTATCCACAATCACACGTTGAGTTGGTCTCACTTTCTCTTCACCAGCTCTGCTGAGGACCCCGCTATGACTCTGGATGTTTCCATGAGCTGGCTGTGGTCTCACTCACACTGGGGCCACCTGTCACCCCACACTCCTGGCCGCCTGTCCACCTCTGCACCCCTCCTCTTCCATCCATTCTGCATGCCCTTGCTGAGGAAACTTTCCCCAATACCAACATCCTAACATTTCTCCGGCTCCTCTTGCCAGTTCATTCTCCTTCCTGCTGCTCCGGATTCCTCTTCTAAGGGCCGTCTGGAAGCTCCAGTCACCCCCGCACAAGCCGTCAGAGCCTCTCACGCCCTGACGCCTTTGCTGTCCTGCAGGCTTCCCCCTCCCCCGTTCCTCCTGGTACCCCAGCCTTTCCAGCCAGCCTGGTTGCCATATGACCCGTGGCCCATCTGCTCCTGATGTGAACCTGTGTCCCACGGATCCTGAATCCTGAATACCATAGTCACCTGGCATTGCCTTCCACTTCTACTCCCTCTTCCTCTGCCCCGGCCCCTGGGCTTCACCCAGGGGATAGTAATGGTCACTGTCTGGCCTCTGTGTCCCCAGTCTCTGCCCTTGTGGAGTTGAAAAGCCTTCAAAGACCCTTGTGGGTTTCTATGAGAAATCCAAACCTCTGCGTGGCTTAAGAGGCTTGTTCAGGTCTAGGGCCAGGCCATGCTGAACTCTCTCACCCCGTCGCTCGTCACTGCTCCCCTCTCTCCAGCTATATCCAAATGTGTGTCATTCTCATCAAGCTTTTGCAGGCTCTGTCCCTTCCACACTCTGCTCACATTTCCCAGAGCCCCCTCTCCTCTCCTTCACCTGCTCTTTACCCCGAAACACTCAGTTCAAATGCCCCCTTCTCCAAAAGGCATTCCCAAAAACACCCTGGGCGATTTTAATACCTGAAGCGCCAAGAATCTCAACCTTTTCCACCGTCCCAAGGCAGTCACAGGAGGACACATGTCCATGGGCTGGGCCGGGTTTTTGGCATGGTTGCTCTAACTCCTCACCTAGAACATTCTAGGAAGCCTGTCATGTCAGTAAGGCTGATGTATGTATAGGAATAACCTGACTTCCACTTTGATTTGTAGAGTGAATCATGGACGTCAGTCTTGGAGCAGTGCCCGGGCACACCTGCTTTGCTGGGAAACTCACGGTGGATTGCAGCCCCCTGGGGGGTGCCACACCCCACTGTTCCGCCACCACTTTCCAGGCAGGGTTGTAACTGATTGCATGTCAGCCTCCTGCTGGGCTGTTAGCCCCGGTGTGTGAGGCATCCTGGTGACGTTCCTTCTGCTCTTTTGGTGGAGGCAGTTGTGGTGGGGTGGGGATAGCACTGCGCTAGGGCCAAGGGTCCCCATGGCTTCTCCCCTTGGGATGGCAGAGGGAGGGAGAGGCCCGCTCAGGGACCCGCTCACTCTAGACCTTCTGTTTCTGACTCTGGAGGGATGGGCCCAGAGCTGTGCTTGTTAACAAGCTCACAGCGGGCTGGGCATGGTGGCTTACTCCTGTAATCTCAGCACCTTGGGAGTCCGAGGCAGGGGGATTGCTTGAATCTAGGAGTTCAAGACAATCCTGGGCAACATAGAGAGATCCCATCTCTACAAAAAATGTAAAAACTAGCTGGGTGTGGTGGCGTTTGCCTGTGGTCCTAGCTACTCGGGAGGCTGAGGTGGGAGGATCACTTGAACCCCAGAGGTCAAGGCTGCAGTGAGCCATGATTGCATTGCATCACTGTACTTCAGCCTGGGCAACAGAGTAAGACACTGTCTCAAAAAAAAAAAAAAAATCCAGGGGAGTTGGGATCTGGCATTCTGGCATTTGGGAACTTTTGGGTCGCCATTCCCACAAGGCTTCACGTCCATCATTGCATAACTCTGCGGCAGAGCAAGTGGCTATGGATACACCTGTTCACAGGTAAGGGAGGCTCAGAGATGGGGGTCTTGCTAGAGGCAGCACAGTTAGGCTATGTGGCATCTGAAAAGACACACCCGAGCCTCTCTCCCCAGTACCCCTGCGTTTCTGCTCCTGCACCCCTGAAATTTGAAGACCTGAATGTTCACTATTGCACGGACTAAATTTACAGCGGGGAGCAGACGGGGGAGGTGGGGAGCGGACTCTGAGTTCTCTCCATTATGTTGCAGGCCCTGGAAGTTGAGCCGGGCTGTTTGGATTATGAAGCCAGAGTCGGCAAGGCCTGGGCCACCTGGTGGCTACTCTGGGAACTGCAGGCAGGTACCCAGGAAGCAACAACAGGCCTGTTGTGGACCCCTATTCTGCACGGGAGGCAAAGGCCACTCTGCTTGTTATGATGACTGAACAACTGCACAGAGGCACCAATGCCCATTTGAGGAGCTGGCTCCTTTTGATTCAGGTTTAGAAATCTAAAGTCTCCGAGTCCGGCCTGGCTGGGCTCCAGGCAAGTTGGGGCTCTTCTGGACCTGTTTCCCGTCTGCTGGTGAAGAGGCTGGATTTAATCTCTGGGGAGCCTGCTTGGCTCTGAAAGTCTTCTATGGCATGAGTAGGGACAACTGATGACAATTCAACACAGCAAATTCTTGTTCAAGTCCGAGTTTCGGGATTTGGGGAGGGGTCCTGCACACCTTGAGCTTGGAAATGTGCTACCCCACCTCCTGGGGAAAGAAAAAAGACGGGCTGAAATGAGCCCAGTTCTCCTCTTGGACTCTCGTGCTCGCCAGGCGTTTTTCAAAGATGTTCAAATGAAAGCATAATTGAAAAATGAGGCTGTAACTCCGGGAGAAGGGGTGGCAGGCCCAGGGCTGCTGACTTAATCACGCCGCCTAATGTCATTACCTCTGTGTTAATAACCGGTGCGGCGGCCGCAGGGAAGGAGCCCTTCACTGTGGCTCAGACACTTTCCAGCTGACGGGGCTTTTCTTCTTCTGCTGTTTTTCACTGCAAACAAATGCCTTTCTCCATTCCAGAGAATTCCCTGGAGTGAGGTAAACATATGAGTGCAAATGGGCTTTTTCTTCTTCTTTCTGAAATTCTTGAGCAGGAAAAAGATGTGCAGGGCTGTATCCTGGGACAAGGGATGGCCGGTGCTCAGCAAAGTCCCAGAGACCAGCCCTTCCCCTCCCATCAGCAAGGCCCAGAGACCAGCCCTTTCCCCTCCCATGAGCAAGGCCCAGAGACCAGCCCTTTCCCCTCTCATCAGCAAGGCCCAGAGACCAGCCCCTTTCCCCTCCCATGAGCAAGGCCCAGAGACCAGCCCTTCCCCTCCCATCAGCAAGGCCCAGAGACCAGCCCCTTTCCCCTCCCAGGCTGGGAGACAGGAGACCCAGAGCTCACCTCGGGGATGCGCGCCTTTCTCTCTCTCCTCTTTCTCTCCTCACTCTCAAGGAAACGCTCTCGTGTCCCCTTCCTTCCCCTCAATCATCCCCTCCTCTCCCTTCCCCTCCTTTTTACCAAAAACTCACTGGACAGTGGCACCATCCAGACCAGAAAAGCAAAGGCTGGGGGACTGCTCTGGGCTCCACCCTCCCCCAAATGCTGGGCTCTTCTGGGCTCCAGCCCAGCCTTTGCCTCCTTTTCATTTTGGGAAATTTGACAAATGCAGAAAAATCCTAAAAGGAAAATGACAACACCCCATATCTCCACTGCTCTGAATTAACCACTGTTAATATGAGACATTAATATATACTTATATGTGGCATTTTCACTTCTAGACATTTTTTAAGGAAAAACCACTCTCTTCTTTATTATTAAACAGGATACATGCACATTTTAAGGAAGTCAAACGATCAGAAAAGTAAAGGGAACCAACCACCGCCACTGATTCCCACCACCCAGAATTTGCCGCTGCTATTTTGGTGTCTTTGCTGGTAGTCATTTTGCTATGTGCAAATTAAAGAAATGAGACAAATAGCATATACATCTATTCTCTTTTAAAAATTAGAGTTCTACAACACAATTAGAATCCCCTTTGTCCACACACTTTATTCTCGTGAGCCCGAGAAAACCACTGCTCTCAGGCTGTGGCTGCCCTTGGAGCCCATTGTAAGCACATTTACACACAAGTATGAATCCAGAGAAAACACGAGGTGTCATTTTGTGCTTTGTTTCTATCATGCCCTATCATTTTCAACTTGCTTTGTCCTCTTAATCTGTTCTGAGCTCTATTTTCACTGCTCCCTACATACTGCATTCTCCCACTCTCCTCCCCTCCCCCTCCCCTCCTCATGGGGCTGCCTCCTCTCTTGTCCTTCCCTCATGGCCCTGGGTGGAGAACATGCCTGCTGCCACCCAGGCCCACCTCTGAGCTGCTCCGCCTCCCAGCTGCTCCGCCTCCCAGCTGCTCCGCCTCTGGCCTGCGTTCTCCTTTAGTGCTCATCTGCTTCCGCTATCATATTATGAGCCAATTATCTGTTCTTCTCTTGGGGTTACAATCACCGCCTCTCTGTTCTTGGTACCTAGCCCAGTGGTGCTCATTAAATGTTTATTAATGAATGTGAATTAAGCCACTTTAATTGAGCTGCTGCCAAACCTGGATTTGCCTGCATACCTCCAGGGACAAGGGGCTCACTACCTAGATTCAGGTAGCAGCAGTGGGCTATCCAGCTGTGGCAGGCGGGGATCTCTAGCAAGGGTGTGCTTCCAGCTTGGCACACGTACTGCGGGGTGGAGAGGGCAGGTACACTGGAGTGAGACTTGTGTAGGGGGTTGAATTGTGTCCCCTAGAAAGATAAGCTGAAGCCCTAATGCCAGTACCGTGAATGTGACTTTACTTGAAAATAAATGCAATGAAGTTAAGGTGAGGTCATAAAGGATTAGGGTGGGCCTTACGTTCTTTACAAGAGAAAGGAAAGAAATTTGGATACAAAGACACAGACTATGTCTGGATGCAGGCAGAGAGTGGAGTCACTGCAGCTCTAAGCCAAGGAAGGCAGAGAATTGCTGGCAACCATCAGAGGCTAGAAGAGAGGCAAGGAAAAATTTTCCTCTAGAGCCTCCGGAGAGAGCTTGGCCCTGCTCACACCTTGATTTTGGTCTTCTGGCTTTCAAAACTGGGAGAGAATAAATTTGTCATACGTGGTTATGGCGGGCCTAGGAAACGAATTCAGCTTGTGATGCCACAAAAACTAACTGATGCAGCCACTGATGGGTTACATGTGACCTGAACAGGGCCAATGAGACTGTGCGGGACTGCCAGCTGCTCCCCAAAAGCCACTTCTCTTCTTCCTGAGCAGATGGCCAAGCTCAGCGTGGCCATGTGACTGGGGCCAACTTAATGGTTCGTGTAGGAGGCGGAGGGGCCGCAGCTGGGAAGAAGTGGGCAAGTCACTGTCTGCTTTTCTTTTCCCTTCCACAGGCTGGTTGCATGTGCCATGGCCTGGGGCAGGAGCAGCAAACCGAGGCCTGCAGGACAAGTGTGGCCTGTGGTCCTGTTTTTGCCCAACCCACAAGTTAAGAACGGTTATTCCGTTTTGTTTGTTTTTTGAAATATAGCTTCACTCTTTTGCCCAGGCTGGAGCGAAGTGACGAGATCTTGGCTCACTGCAACCTCCACCCGCCGGGTTCAAGCGATTCTCCTGCCTCAGCCTCCCAAGTAGCTGGGATTACAGGTGCTCACCACCACGTCCAGCTAATTTTTGTATTTTTAGTAGAGACAGAGTTTCACCATGTTGGCCAGGCTGGTCTCGAACTCCTAACCTCGGGTGATCCACCCACCTCAGCCTTCCAAAGTGCTGGGATGACAGCGTGAGCCACCACACCTGGCCAAGAATGGTTTTTACATTTTTAAAGTATTGTGAAAGAAGAAAGAAAGAAAGAAAGAGAGAAAGAAAGGAAGGAAGGAAGGGGAAAGAAAAAAGAGAAAGAAGAAAGAAAGAAAAAGAAGAAAAAGAAAGAAAGAAAAAAGAAAGAAAGAAAGAAAGAAAGAAAGAAAGAAAGAAAGAAAGAAAGACTGTGACAGAGACCCTCAAAGCCGAAAATGTTGACTCTCTGGCTCTTTCCAGGAAAAGTCTGCAGACTCCTGCCCTAGGGGACAGTGAACCACAAGACGGAATGAGTCAGGTCCTTGAGCAACCACATGGAGAAATGACCAGAAAGGCCCACCACTGATATTACATGACAGCAAAATGCAGTGTTATAGTCTGAGCTGTTACAGCAGAATTTGAGGTCTATTTGTCATAGCAACTTAGCCTTGCCTAACTAGTACAGAGACAAAGTGAGATTTTCACTTAGACTTCTGGAAAAGAGATTATTTTTGCCACCTACATCTATACCCTGAAACTAGGCAGGCACAAAACTGGTTGCCCATCCCGCTACAAGTGAATCCTGGGACGTAAGCCTGCAGAGGGAAGGCGTGTGGAAGAATTAGAGAGCAAACTGATTCCAATGACATTGTTTGAACCCTGGAGCCAGCTGTACCTGCAGCTGACCCTACCTTCTCAGCTTACAAGAGCCACTGACTTCTCTCTTTTACGTAAGACAGTTTGAAATTGTTTCTGTTACATTCAAACAAAAATATTCCTAACCTAGTTTGGTATTATGAGAGCAATAACTTTAAATCTGCTATCACTCATTCAGAAAAAGAATACATCATTCACAGACTTTGGTGTTTTAAGTGCTAGCTCTCATTGATACAATGAATGAGATAAGATGAGACACATCTCCTAACAAATAGAAATTCACAGGGTGTGCTGAAGGCTATGGCTTGGCACAGCTGCTCTGGAACCACAACACTGACTTCAGGAGCAAGAGATGAGAGTCGGAGATACCACTTAAGAGTCTGTCTTTATGCAGCTGATCAAAGTGACAAGCTCATTCACAGCCTAATGTGGCCTGATGGCTAAAATAAATGAAGGGGGAAAAGCAAGCGTGGAGCTGTGGTCAGACTGCGTGTGCCCCCGTTTGTGTACAAACAAGTGTCCTTAAGACGGGAGGCATCAGGGAATGTCTATACCACTGCTTGGAGCTACCCAGACCATCTTTGGAAGGAGACACCAGGAACTGGAAACAGTGGCTGCTTCCAGGAGGGTCCCTGGAGGCTGGGGCTGGGGAGGGAGTGGGACTCTTTTTACTATCCATTCTTTTGCATCTTGACAGAATGGAGCTGGGGCAAATGCATGTTGTGACTCTCCCCAGCCATGGGGGCAGATGGAGGCCCCAGAGGCAACAGGAGGCCCAGGGTTTGGGATCTGAGACTTGTGTTTAACCCATGACCATGAATGACCACCCAGAAATGAACCAGTGCGGGCCGCCTCTCAGGCATCTCAGCTCATATGAGGACAAGTCCCACTGCTGGGGTCAGAGAGGCCAGGGCTTCTCACTAAGTCAGACGCGACCCAGAAAGACCAAAATGTCCTTGATCGAGAAGCTGAAAATAGTTGCTGTGACTCATCACACATGATGGACATGTCCTGTGGCCCCAGCAGGGCCTCTGGGTTGTGTCCCCAGCTCCTGTGTGGCCCCTGTTCAGGAGGCTAGGGAGCGACAGGGGGCAGAGCCAGAGGACGGGCTGTCCTGCGCCTTCACCTCAGGGCTGCCCTGGACGTCCATCCTCCAGGCGGGAGCTCCTGCTCAGACGCTGTTGTAGAAGAGGTGCCGCCGTCCTCTGCAGGGGAGGCAGCTGCCCATGGCCTCTCAGTTTCCTGCATCTTCTGGAGACAGAGGCTGAGCTGCTCTGTGCCCCGTTCAGTCCACTTGTGAGGCAGGCTCCGGTGCTGAGGCTCAGCCTTTTGAGAACAGGAGGCCTGGCTCTTTGGAAGTGGCGGGGGTGAGGAGTGCAGACTGACAGGTGAATGCTGGGTTCCTTACAGACCATAACAGGGCCACAAGAAAAGGCCAAACAATGTCCAGGCCAGGCTGTGTGCAGAAGCAGGGTTCATAAGGAGGGAGGGTGGGGCCTTCATGCCTGCCTCAGCTCCCCTTCCACATGACGGTCCCTGGGGGCTGTGTCCCCCACAGGCATTTCCTTCAATCTCCAATGGGTCCTCTTCCACCCGGAACTGCTGCTTGCCCCATCTCAGAGCCCACCAGCTCAATCCCCCCTCACTGGGCCGGGCCTCGCTTCTCTGCCCAGGATATGGAAGAGACTAACAAAGTCTCTTCCAAGGATGACCCATACCTTTGCCTACCCTTGAACTCAAAATCCTCTGCAGGCTTGAGCATGAAAAGCCATCACCATCCTCACTCCCTGGGACTAGCCCCCCATCCCTGCCTGCTCCTCTGGCAGGGGCACCTCGGGAGAACCAATTTCCCCAGGCCCACCCCATCAGGATGTCAGGTGGGACTGGGCCAGCTGACATCAGGAGTGACTACCTGACACTCCACTGCCCATCTTCCACTCCCACCACATTAAGTACCAGGGCACACAGTAGGTGCTCAGTTTGAGCTGCTGTTAAAAAACTACTGGCTGACATCAACTGAGCGCTTACTGAGGCTGGAAGCACTGTGTGGCCTTCTGCGTGGGCCACAGTGCGCGGACCTCTGAGCTTTGAGCCAAGCCCAAGCCCTGCAAAGTACCCAGGAGGAAGGGCTCTACCTCACTGGCTGGGTGACCCTGGACCAGGCCTCCATCTCTGCACCACAGTCTCCCATCTGGAAAACAATGCATCAGGAGGATTTTCCTAAGATGCACAGTCATGAAAAGGCATTCTTTAGCCACCACTGCGGTACTGACCTGTCCCACACCTGAGTCTGCACCTGAGCGTTTGCTAGGGAAAGGCTCTCCATCCTGAGTCCATGAGAATTTGGGTGCTGGCTGTCTCTGATTGTCAAGCTCCTCTCCCGAAATGGCAACTCCCTCTGTCTGCCTGAAACGTGTACAAACACACTGCGGTACCAAGATGAAGCTGGGTGAGCTTAACTTGCTGTTCGCTTAACTTGCTTCTCAAGGGGGCCCGAGGGTGGTGATGACATCAGGGCAGGGCTTGTGATCTTAGGGCCACTGTAGGAAGAGGCATTCCCAGCTTCTAGGGAGGGAGAGGGAGGAGGGGACTATTACAGAATGGTGAAAAGCCAGAGGGAAGCCCTCGGGGCTGTGGGAGCACCGAGGGGTTCATCAATCCTGGACTGGGGGGTTGGTCTAGAGTGTTTGCTGGAGTGAGCGATACTTAGACTGGGTCTTGAGGGATGAGTAGGAGTTTGCCAGAAATGAAGTAGGGGTATAGCTGTAGGTGGAGGGCATGACACTTACAAAGGTGGAAAAATGAAGGACAGTGTGGGGACTCCCGGGACATAGAGTGGACTCTCTGGCCATGTATGTCTGTCCCTGCTCTCTGGACAACTTCAGAGAACTGGCATATGGGCTGGGAGTGGGGGTGGTGGACGGAGGTGAGGCTGGAGGGGCCAGGAGCACCGTCTTTCTTCTCTTCCCGGGGTTGGTCCACCTGCCCCCAGCTGCAGACAAGCCCCATACTAGGCCTGAGGCCCAAAGGTCACCTTGCTCAGGAATCTGTCTGCCATAATGAAGGAGCCGCTACTCCCTCCCCTGACTCCATCTCCTTCTGCTGCCTCAGTTCCATGCTCTGCCCCATCTCGCCAGATTCCTGCGGCAACCCTGCACTGGTTCCCAGCTTCAACCAAACCCCACCCTCCACATGGCCCTGGACGACCTTCTTCGTGCATCCTTCACTTGTGAAGAGCCCCTCAAGGAGGCGGCATCACCTTCAGGATGTGATGGACGCACTCACAGGCAGGAGGGGAGGCAGGTGGGACCAGACCCTAATGCTCCAGGAGACAGGGACAGTTCAAATCAAGGGCACCTAGGACCTCTGTGATGCCAGATCCCAGGCTGTGGCTGCACCTGACCCCACAGCAGCGTCAGCCAAGCTTGATCCCACCCTGCTCCTGAGGCTGCTTCTCCACTTGATTGCTGGACACAGGGGGCTCTCCTGGTTTCACTCCTTGTTCTCTTTCACTTCCTCCTCCACATGCATGTTGTCTGCAGCAGGAATGAGTCCTGGCCCTTTCTTGTCCCTCCTCTCTGGGGCAATCTTCTAACAGTGGAGGGAGTCAGCCTAACCGACTCCATTTTGCCTCTGCCCTCATAGTAAAACCTTTTAGGTAAAACTTAAGCAACCCATGGCTCACGGGCCTTATGCGGCCTGGGAGGCTTTGAACGCAGACCAACACAAATTCATAAACTTTCTTAAAACATTATTAGATTTTTTTTGCGACCTTTTAAAGATCTTCAGCTATCACTTGTTTTTTTTGTTGTTGTTGTTTTTGTTTTTTTGAGACAGAGTCTTGCTCTGGCACCAGGCTGGAGTGCAGTGGCGTGATCTCGGCTCACTGCAACCCCCACCTCCTGGGTTCAAGCAATTCTCCAGCCTCAGCCTCCTGAGTTGGGATTACAGGCATGTGCCATCACACCCAGCTAATTTTTTGTATTTTTAGTAGAGACGGGTTTCACCATGTTGGCCAGGATGGTCTTGATCTCCTGACCTCGTGATCCACCCGCCTTGGCCTCCCAAAGTGCTGGGATTACAGGCATGAGCCACCGTGCCCGGCTTCAGCTATCATTTGTGTTCGTGTATTTTATACGTGGCCAAAGACAATTCTTCTTTCAGTGTGGCTCAGGGAAGCCAAAAGATTGGACACCCCTGCTTTAGGTTAAAAACTTCTGCTGGCAGGGCATGGTGGCTCACGCCTGTAATCCCAGCACTTCGTGAGGCCGAGGCAGCAGATCACGAGGTCAGGAGATTGAGACCATCCTGGCTAACACGGTGAAACCCCGTCTCTTCTAAAAAAATACAAAAAATTAGCCAGGCTTGGTGGAAGGTGCCTGTTGTAGTCCCAGCTACTCGGGAAGCTGAGGCAGGAGAATGGCGTGAACAACCCAGGAAGTGGAGCTTGCAGTGAGTGGAGATCACGCCACTGCACTCCAGCCTGGGTGACAGAGTGAGACTCCGTCTCAAAAAAAAAAAAAAAAAGAAAAGCTTCTGCTTAGCTTTGCATGTAGGCTAGCTAATTACTTGCAGTTCAACTTTAAGAAAATAATGATAACAGCCCCTTTCCAAAACTAACTCCCGAGGAGATAAGGACGTGTACACACGAGGAATAGTATTTCGTTAAAGATTTATAGGAACACTGTGGCCTGACCTACTTCATCTGAACTGAAGTCAACTGACCAAGAACAAAGATGTTTCACAACCTCCTCAGACCCTTGCTCACACCCACATGGCTGTGGTCGTCGGTCACTTCTTGACCTCAACTCCCTCCTCTTCCCTTCTTGACATTAAAGGGAGCCTGAAGTTCCTACTAACTTAAGAAGGTTCTTTAGAACACTAGTCCACCATCTTCTCTGTTTGCTGGCTCTCTGAGTGAAGTCGCTTTCCTTACCCCAACACCTTGTCTCTCAACTTACTGGACTTACTGGCTGTTGGGCGATGACTGGTATGAGCTTGAACTCAGCTAGACTCTCATCCTGGCTTCAGATGCCTACACACTGCGGACTCCCACACCTGACCTCTCTCCGAGGATCCAAACTCAAATTTCTTTTTCTTTTCTATTTATTTATTTAATTATTTATTTATTTATTTTTTGAGATGGAGTCTTGCTCTGTCACCCAGGCTGGAGTGCAGTGGTGCAATCTTGGCTCACTGCAACCTCTGCCTCCCAGGTTCAAGCAATCCTCCCACCTCAGCCTCCCAAGTAGCTGGGATTATAGGCACGCGCCATCACGCCCCGCTAATTTTTGTATATTTTGTAGAGACAGAGTTTTGCCCAGGCTGGTCTCGAACTCCTGAGCTCAAGCTATCCTCCCACCTCAGCCTCCCAAAGTGCTGGGATGACAGGTGTGAGCCGCGGCGCCTGGCCCACACTCAGATTTCTAACTGCCTTCGTGACCCTGCACGTGCACTGCTAATTGGCACCTCTGATTTCTGGTGACCAGAACGGAACTTTGGATTCCTTCCCCGAAGCTGGCCTCTCCCACAGCCCCTGTTTCCTCAGAAAACAGCCCTTCTGTTTACCTAGTGGCTCGGGTCAAAACTGAGGGGTTACCTTTGATTTCTCCCTCTCTTGAAAGCCCCACACTCACCCTTGTCCAGGGAGCTCTACCTGTAAGGGCCTCACCCTCATGCCAGGCTCCAGCTTGACATTCAGGTCTCAGCTGAAGTGTCCCCAGGGCCTCCCCGACCTGTCCATGGCCCTGTTGAATCCTCTGCCTGGGGCCCATCGCTGCCGGAAGCTCTGTTTGCTTAGTTAGTGTCTGTGCCTCCCCCACAGTGGAATGATCTGGGGCCTTCCTGGGGTCCTGCCACATCCCCACCTCCAGGAGATGACCCGGCACTGAGCAGGTACTCCAGGTGGGTTTGCTGTGGAGCAGGTGGAGGGTCCAGGAGTGCTCAGGACTGGGAAGGGGACACTGCTTTGGAGGAGCAGGGAAAAGAGCTCAGGCAGAGAGAATGAGGGTGGGCGGTAGAGGGGACCAGTGGGGGAGGCCACATGCCAGACCCCCGGGGCTGATGCTGCTGCAGCCCTCAGAGCACCCTCTTGGAATGCTGTCTTCGACTCTAGCCTTTGCTTTCACCGTGGCCACAAGCCTCCTGTGCCACCACACACTCACATTCTGATTGAAGCCCCTCTCTTCACCATCTCGGAAAGCAGCACTGCCGATGACCTCTCTGCACGTGTGGACTGGCTAAAGTCCTTTGCCACGCCTCCTAATGCTGCAACTTAATCATCTGTGTCTCGGTCTCACTCGCTCTTGGGGTGCATCCTCCCTGGGGTCCTGAGAGCCCAGCTTCCCCACCCATGTCAACATGAAACCATTGACCAGCTCCTCCCGGGGGCTCCAGACTCTGCAGTTGGAAGAGGCAAAAGTGCCCTCTGCTGGCCACTGGCTGGCTCCCTGCACCCCAGAGCAACAATCAGGAGTTGAGAGATGAGAAGCCAAGCTCAGCCCTTGTCCCTAACCCTTCTTGTCCTCCCCAACCCCACCCATCACCCGCCCTGTGTTCCCCCAAGTGCACATCTCCCCTCCTGGAACCCTCCTCTTCAAATCTTCCCTCTTGTTCTTCCACTGGTTCATCCACACCCAATCTACACCCCATCCACACCCCCATCATCTGTAAGACTCAAGTTAGTGTCACTTCCTCCAGGAAGCCTCCCCAGACTTCATCCAGGGGAACTGGCCTCGCCTGCCTTCTACTCTTGCCGTCCTTATGAGGACACTCCTCACAGTTTCTGCCACTGCACGGTCCTCATCTGTCCATCTGCCTCTCCCTGCAGGCGACTGCACTCCCTGGGGATGGGGACAATGGCCCTGATGTCCTCAACACCCAACCTAGAGCTGTGCAGGGCAGAGGCTCGCACGGAAAATGTTTGCTGAATGAAGTCAACTGACTTCGGAGGTTCTGAGCAGGACTTCTCTGAGGTGGGTGCCCTGGAGCAAAATACAATATACATATTGGGGAACAAAAACAATATACATAAATATGTGCTCATTAAGAAACATTTCAAACAACAGAAAAGTTTACAAACTAAAAAATGCAACCCTTTTCAATTGTTTCCCAGCCTACAACCTTTCATAAATCACTGCTATTCTCAGTGTGGGGTGTGTTTGTCCCAAACGTTCCCAAGCATTCCCTTTGACTTTATTTTACCTTTCTTCTTTTTTGTTTTTAACATAAATGGGGTGATACAGTACCTATAATTGTATCCCTTTTTTTCATGAAAAGATCCATCTTGAGGTCCTTCTAAGTCAGCAACTGTAGGTTTATGTCATTCTTTTTAGTGGCTGCAAAGCATACCGTACCCAAGTTCTGCCACAGTGTCTAAATCCGAGGCTTGTCAATTATATCTCAGTAAAGCTGGGGATAAATGCTAGGTGTTTGGTTTTTTGATTTGGTGGCTTTTTATTTTACTGTTTTTTGCAGTTGCAAACAACATTTCTGCAAACATCTTCATGCCCGACTCTTTGTGTCCATGTGCACATATTTCTCTAGAATTGACTCTTAGAAGTGGAAATGTTGAGTCTGAAAGCATATCTATTTCACATTCTAATGATACTAGCAAACTCCCTCCAAAAAATGGGTACCAATTGACACTCGCATCAACAATGCATACATGTCTGTTTTTTTCCACATTCTTGACAGCGTTGGGTGTTATTAGATGTAAAATTTTTTTGACACATCTAATCATCGCAACCTTCAAATCCGGCTTAACTCTGATTAAAGCGGGTATTTCCAGAAGCCCTCAGAGAACAGAGCTTCGGAAAGGGTGCATGGTAGAGAGATGAGCCTCTAGCCTCCCAGAGCAGCAGCTGGTAGCTCCACTTCCTTTTCCTTGTCCAGGGAAGGAAAGTCTCTCCCAAAACTCTTGGTCCTGGAGTCATAGCCCAAGCCCCTCAGCAGTTCCCTCAGGAGCAGAGGGTCTCCTGGGTCAACCAGAATCCCCACCGAGGTGGATTTGCTTCTGGCAACATCTCCAGTCTGAATGTGATCCCAGGCGATACTTAAGGAAGCAGCTCCCTCCTGTTCTCTGAAAAATGCCGTCTGCAAGGGAGAATATGCATTTGGGAGAACTGGAGAATTACAAAGGCGGTTATGCACAGTGAGCCCAGGAGAATATGAAACAAAGTGTATGTCCTGCAAGAACCACAGGTTTTGGAGATGTTAAGAGTGGCCTGCTGGGCCCACAGAAGGGGCTGCTGGAGCATCAGAGGGGCTCACCTCTTATTCCACTCCCTCCCCCCACGACCCTAGACAAGAAGGAATCTATTTGGAGAATGACACTTGGAAAGAGCTTGCCATTTGTGTTGCCTAAAAAGATATAGAGAAAGGAGCAACGGGGCATTTCCAACATTCAAACAGTGTCCCATTCATCCCAGATTCCGAGGTCCTCCTGGTCAGCACATGGGAGGTGCGGGGGCAGATGGCCCACAGACACCAGGATTGTGTTTGCAGACTTTAATCTCCTAAGAGCCCAGGGATGGCCTCCAGGGCTTGCTGGCTTGCCTGCCTTCCTGTTTTTATCCTAATAGGCCTTATACAAAGACTTTAAAATGACTCATGGAAAAACCCAAGCTAGGGAAGAGGGCTGGAGTCAGCCACCAAGTGGAGGATGGTGGGAGGCCCACAGGGACGCTCATCAGTGACCCAGGAACCTGAGTGGTCTCAAAAATGCATCTGCAGGAAGGTCAGGACAGGGAAAGTGGGTGCTGGGGGACACAGAATGAACGCTTATTGGAGAACGTCCTGGGAAAGAGAAAAACACCGGTGCTAAAATACATCCCCGAGATGGGCATGGTATTTAATTTCCAACCTGCTTCCATTTGTATGTACTCAGACATTCTTTCCTCCTATGAGGAAGGCAGAGTGGGTTTTATTAGCCCTATTTACTGATGCCCAGAGAAGGGGTGTCCTCCCAGGTAGCACCCCTGACCCAGAGGCAAGGCTCCTCCTCCCAGTTTCTTAGGAACTTGTGGGCCTTATTTGCCTGGCCAACTATTCTGCATCCTTTACGGCTCAAATCTGCCACCAGAGCTGTCCCCAAGGCCTCTACTATCAGCCCTTCTGCTTGTGTCCAACTAACACTCCGAGCCATGTCCTGTCATTGTGTGCTGTAACTCTGTCATCTTCGGGCTACACAGTAGGTAAACTCCTCTCCCACCTCCTCCACCTCCCCTGGCCTGGCCTCTCCCACCCGGCGTGGCTGAGCAGAAGTGTGTGGAATAGCTGGATGGGAGTGTCAGTAGATGCTAAGGGACAACTAGACATGTCACTGCAACCCTGAAGCCAAAGTAAGCCAGGGTGCCTCAAATGTGCACCACCTGCCTGGCAAAACCACTGTGGGGTTCTGAGGATCCCAGTTCTACTCAGGAAAAGGAGAAAGACAATCCTGGGATCCAGGTGGAGGGTGGAGGTAGAGAAGGAAAAGGAGCCGGAGTCTGGAATGCCTCAGAGGTGCTGGCACAGGGAGGGAAGGGGCAGGGCGGGGGCTACTGGCCTAGGCGCCTTCAAGAACGGACGGAAAGGCTTCTTTCACCGGAAGCACAGAGGCCCCGAGCAATTCCAAGGGCTCCCTCTCGTGGCCATTTGAGGCCAAAGCTGAGTGTTCAGGTGAATCCTGCATTTTCCTCTGTTAGCCAAGGGTGCAGAAAATGGGTTCAGAAGAGAGAGGAGGAGCACTGGTCTTGGAGTCAGGATTCATGTCCTGACCATGCCACTAATTCACCAGGTTGCTTTGGGCAAACCACTCCACCTCTCAGCCTCAGTTTCCTCACCTGGTTAATGAAGTGGTCTACCTGGCACCATGGCTCATGCCTGTAGTCCCAAAGCTTTTGAGGCCAAGGCAGAAGGATCATTTAAGGCCAGGAGGTTGAGACTAGCCTGGGCAACATATCAAGATCCTGTCTCTACAAAAAAAAATGTTTATGTAATCCCAGCACTTTGGGAGGCCGAGGTGGGTGGATCACGAGGTCAGGAGTTTGAGACCAGCCTGGCCAATATGGTGAAACCGCATCTCTACTAAACAATACAAAAAAAAAAAATTAGCCAGGTGTGGTTGCACATGCCTGTAGTCCCAGCTATTTAGGAGGCTGAAGCATGAGAATCACTTGAACCTGGGAGGCAGAGGTTGCAGTGAGCCAAGATCATGCCACTGCACTCCAGCCTGGGCAACAGAGTGAGACTCCATCTCAAAAACAAAAAAAATGTTTAGAATTAGCCAGCATGGTGGGGCGCATCTGTAATCCCCACTACTCAGGAGAATGAGGTGGGAGAATTGCCTGAGCCCAGGATTTCGAGGTTGCAGTGAGCCATGATCATGCCACAGCACTCCAACCTGGGTAACAGACTAAGACACTGTCTAAAAACAACAAACTAAGAGGGTTGGATGAGATGAATGGCTCTCACAAATGAGAGTCCTGAGATAAACACTCTGCACATGTTTCTGTAGCCTGTCCCAATGACATGGCAGGACTTTGGCTTTGAGATGATAGTGACATTGATGGGTTGTTTCTGTGCTTAGCTCCGTAGCACAGGCCAGCTCTGGGCTGAGCCCTCCACATGTGATGGCAGGCAGGTGCCACACACAGAGGAAGAGGCTGAGGGTCAGAGAGGTTACATGACTTACCCTTGGCCACTCAGTTGGTGAGTGGCAGAACTGGGACCTGAAGCCAGGTTTATGGCTCCAGAGCTCCCCAGTCTCCTCGCCCATGGTGTTTCTCATGGTTTCTAAGGTCCTTTTCATCTCCAACTATCTGTGATTCAAGGTGTCTGACGAAGAAAAGAGATTCACAGGAGAGAGTAGGGTCTTGGCAGGTAGATAAGATAGGAACCAAAGAGACAGTTGACAGGACAGTCAGGCCTAGAGCAACCTCATAGACGAAAAGCACGGTCTTTACAGGAGAAGAAATTATGACCACCACTCAATTAGCCATCAAAACTATGTTTTCTGGGCCACCAAGGAGCACAAGAAAGGGCCCCATTGTCCGAAAACATGTTGAACTAAAATATCATCAGACTTTTAAAATAAACTTTGCAACTGCCCACACCAAACTTGCTGTCTCTGAGCAGCCTGGAAGTTCTCGAATATCCATCCATTTATCCATCTGTCCAACCATCCATCCATCCACACATCCATTTATCCACCCACCCATCTCCCCATGCCTCCATCCATCCACCCATCCATTCAATTGCCCACCTATCTACTTATCCATCCAACCTGTCCATTCAGTCATCCACTTCCCCATCCATCCATCCACCCACCCATTTCCCCATCTTTCCATCCATCCATCCATCCATCCATTTACCCATCCATCCAACCCTGAAGCCAAAGTAAGCGAGGGTGCCCCCTCGCTTACTTTGTGCACCCTCATCTACCCATCCATTCATCCATATGTCTGTCCATCAAACATTGCTGAGCCCTGAGCTACTGGTGCCTTATTCTCAAGAGCTCCTAATTGGATATTATTGGATATTATATGTCTCAGACATGTAGGGCAAAAAATGCAGAAATGTGTTGCATTAATTATCTATTGCAACAGATTGCTTAGCAGCTTGAAACAACAAGCTTGGATTACCTCACACAGTATCTGTGGGTCAGGAGTCTGGGAGTGGCTGAGCTAGGCTCAAGGTCTTTCATGAGGTTGAAGTTAAGATATTGACTGGGAATGGAGGATGTGCTTCCAGAATACTTGCTTATATGGCTACTGACAGGAGACCTCAATTCTCCACTGGCTTTTGGCCCAAGTCCTCTCAGCTCCTCATCACATGGGCCTCTCCTCAGGGCTCCTTGAGCATCCCCACAACATGGCAGCTGGCTTCCCCTAGAGCTGATCCAAGAGATTAAGGAGGAAGCTGCTGAGCCTCTTATGACCTCATCTCTGAAGTCACAGATGGTCACTTCATATCATTCTATTCACTAGAAGAGTGACTAAATCCAGACCACACTAAGGGGAGGAGTATTAGGCTCCACTTCTTAAAGGGATGAGTATCACAGAGCTTTCGACATACTTTAAAATCATCGCATGTGTGGAAGGTGCTGAGATAGAGTGTGAAGGATACTGAGAGGCAAGAGGGAGAACGTGGTCAATTCTACCTAGAATAATAGAGGGAGTCAGAGAAGTAAAGTTCTAACGAGGTGATAACGAATGAGCTGAGTTCTGTCCTAGACCTGGAATGTGACCTTAAACAACCCACCATCCCTTCCTGGGTCTCTGTGTTGTGGAAATAAATTGGGACCACCCAAAGGAGATCAAACAGAGGCCATTTATTGTGTGCTTGGTATGGCAAGGGAATGGGCCACTGTCACTTGCATTTGACAGAGACTCCCAGGCAGGCAGGGTGAGGGGAAGCATCATAGTGAAAAGGGGGAGGCCTCAGGTGTGCCCTGACTGGAGGTTGTTGCATGGGGAAGCGGGAGGTGGCTAGCTGGAAGCCCGACATCTTATGTGATTGCATTAGGAGCATATTTGGCTTTCTTTCATGGGTGTTGAGTTGGAAGCAGTAGTCAACAATAGGGAAGCTGACCAGGATTGACAGAGCCCTGACCATTCTGGGCCCATTGCCACAGAGGTTTGGTTTGGCTTCATGTGCTGCTTGCTGCAGAAATTGTGGGCCAAGGTTCTCTTTTCCTACACAGGCAGGCCATTGTCTGTTTGTACTTTGGGCTTTCGGGGTCCTCCCCTGAAAATCAAAGGTTGGTTGGCTGAGCTCTGAGGTCCTGCCCAGCCCTGACATTCTGAGGATCTGGCTTCTTCACCTGGAAATGAGGTGTACAGAGATGGAGATGTACTGGATGGAAAAAGGACTGGCTAGTCTGAGGGGTGGCCATGCCAGAGGTGAGGCCTTGTGGACAAACTGGAGATGAAAGACAGGGAGATGCCTCGAATGGACCCTCTTTCCTGCGGGTACTCCCAGGAGTTTCCAATTCTCAGCATCCCAGCATCTTTGACTCTGGACATGGAAGGTTACAGGTCACCTCAGGCAACTTCCCCAGTGCACACACTGATGCTTAAATCTGCATTACTATCTTCTCCCCAACTGTCAGTCTTATTCTTGCTCGATTACCTCTGGAGACAGCAAGCTCACTCTCAGTGGAGACAGGGGTGTGGCCCATCTGGTCTGGCACATGAGGTGGCTTCCAAGATGGCTGGTACATGTGCTGTGCTCAGCCCCTGAGCACTCATCCCACCACATCCTCCCCAGGCTGACCCTGCCCTTCCCTCTTACCCCGTGCAACAGCGGCTGAGGATTTGCCTCAGGAAGGACCCTGGCAAAAAGAGAGGGGAAGGTTAGAAGGGAACCCAGCCTTTTCCAATGCCACCTCCATAGGGAAGCCTTTTTATCAGATTAGCAATGGTCTGGAGGAAACGGGACACAGGACTGGTAAATTTTGACATGGAAATGGAGATGAGGAAAAACCTGTAAGTGCTCTTCAACTGTTATGTCTTTGCTATGACAGCACAGACCTCCTAGTGTCCCCATCTCATCTGATGGTCACCATCATCCTGAAGGGCATGGCAGGGTCCCTCCTCCCAGGTCCCCCCTCTTAGGGTGTGACTCCACCACCTGCCTGCTTGCCCAAGCCTGCAAGTCTCCCTGAACTTTTCTTCTCCTTTGTGCCCCCATTTCTGACCCTATAAAGTCTATTTCCTAATGGGCACAGAAACCCATCCTTCCTGTCCCTCCCCGGCCACTGTAGTGCAATAGTCATGCCCAGAGGCTGAGGCTCAACAACCTGGGCGCAAATCATGGCACTGACATGAATAAGTTGTGAGGCCTCTGGTGCCCGATCCCCCCTTGTTAAGCCCATCTCTCATCCTCATAGCGTCCCTTCCCCACCATCCAGCAGGATGAAGCCCACCCCACCCTCCCTTCCTCTGTCCCAGCCTCTGCCCCATCAGCCTATCCTCCAGGTTCTATCACACCCAGTAGCCCACACAGAGGTCGGTGAGCAGAGGACTCTTTAGCCCAGCTCTTAATGAAGGAGATGGAGGGGTGGGGGCTTGGGAAATAAATATACCAAACAACTCAATGACACAGGCCTTTTCTGCATGGAATTAAATTCACATGCAGATGGAGGCAGTAGCCCTGTAGGTGGACTGCTGGGGTTTGTGTCTGGCTCTGCCATTTACTAGCTGTGACCTTCAACAAGTCACTTCCCCAGTCTGTACCTTAGCTTCCTCATCTTAAGATGGGCTGCTAATAGTATCTACTCATGGGTTGTAAGACAGATAGCCCTTCCCAATGCAGGTGGACACCATCCATTCTGTTCAGGGCCTGCATAGAACAGAAAGATGGAGGGAGAGTGAGTTTGCTTTCTGCCTGTGACTGCTTGAGCTGGGACATCGATCTTCTGCCCTCAATGTTCCTGGCACTCAGGCCTTCAGATCTGAACTGGAATCTCCACAGTGGGCTTTACTGGGTCTCCAGCTTGCAGACAGTGAATTGTGGGACTTCTCCAGCTTCACAATCACGTGAGCCAATTCCTTCTAATAAATCTCCTCGTATGTGTGTGAGCTGTTGGTTCTGTTTCTCTGGAGAACTCTGATTAATACACCACATGCTTAGAATAGTGGCTGGCACATAGTAGGTACTCAATGAGTATTAGCAAATATTACTATCTTACCTGGTTCCATAAATACTCTCCCACTGAAAAGGTGTTCCTTTGTGTCTCACCTTGGAAGTGACAAGGCCACCAAACCCAATCCTTGCATGTTTCTCCAGGAGGCCTCTCTGGTCTTGTCTGGTGTCCATGAGCCCAGTTGCACCAGGGACTCCAAGGCCAGGCCTGTGGGGTGCTGAGACAACTGGCCTCTTAGTGCTGAGTGGGCGCCAGGGTCCCTCTGATGGCTGCCACCTGCAGCCACCTCTAGGCCCCTGCTGGCCAGGAGGTATGGGAAGCTCTGGGTGCACACCAGTTTCGGGGATGAGGCTGGGATCAGGGAAAAAAGTATGTCTGCTTGTCTGGTAGGGTCTGCCTCCCAACTCCACATGACTCAGTTTAATTCAGTTAATTCCCAAAGCACTTCTGAGCCCCTACTCTGAGCCAGTTGGACTGTCAGGGCCCCAGAAATAAACCAGACCCAGTCCCTGTTTTTAAGATATTCCGCAGAGCCTCGATCTTTCTGCAGATGGACTTCAGGGGTTTAAGAGGGGGACTGCCGCCCCAGCCCACCCAAGTCACAACCACAGCTGATCCCTCCAACTCATCTCACATTTTGGTCTTCAGTGAGACAGTTGCTTAAAAGAAAAATTTGCTTTTTTCTTTTTCTTTTTTTTTTTGAACAGCCTTGGAAATAGGGCTCATATTAAACGTGGCCTTGATGTATGCGTTTAATTTTGACAGTGAATGAGGGAGTGAGAGGAAAGAGGGCAGCCCAGGTAGAGGAAACAGCTTGAGCAAAGGTGTGGCTGTATGTTTCTCAGAGGGGAAGGAGGGACATTTACTGAAGATTTGCCCAGAGCCGAGTGTGAGTGAGCACCCAGATATTCAGCTCTCATGAGAGTCCTGCAAAGAGTATGCTATTATCCTCATTGACTGATGAGGCTCAGAGAGGCAAAGTAAAGGTCAGGGCATAGGCTTGGGAATCACACCCAGCTGGGAGATTTCCAGCACACATGCGCTTTCTACTGCCAGAGGCTACTTGAGGGGAGGCAGAGTTCCAAGCAGGTTTCATGCTGGGTGTGGCCAAGACAGACTCCAGTTGCTGGGCTTGAGTTAGCATGGCTCCCAGATGTTAGAGCAGGCTCACTTGGCAGAGTTGGGCTAGCAGGGAGGGCTTGGGGCTGTCATCATTCACGGCCACATGGACACGGCTCAACCATTTATAATTAGAGTTATAACTTAAAACAATCAACAAAAAAGACTTGGTAAGTACCTTCACCTCCCAGCATACACCCATCACATCTATTATTGCCACAAAGAATTCGTGACCAAAGGAAGCTGGTTCAGAAGCCCAGCCCTGTGTTAAGGTCCCGTGGGGTCTGAGCAATGTGAAAATACCCTGGGAACAGATAGATCTCTTCTGTGTCCTCCCAAGGCCTCTGGAGTTCCTAGGATAGTCATCTTATAAAGTGGTTGGTGGGAAATAAGCCATGAAAACAATAGAAACGTGATAGGTAGGTAAGTAGATAGACAAGGGGATTGGATGGATGGATGGATGAATAGATGATAGATAGATAGATAGATAGATAGATAGATAGATAGATAGATAGATAGAACACAGATAGGAAGGGAGGGGGCCAGACTGGGAGTTGGCAAGGATAATGCCCCACAGTCCTGCCTAGCTGGACAGGACCAGGGCCAGCTAGGAGCAGGGAATGGACCGAGATGAGGCAGAGCTGCCACTGTCAGAACCAAAGGCCCAGAGGCTGCTCTGTGCAGGGGCTTCATCATCCCCCAAATACAGGGTTTGAATGTACAGCTAACTTCCCCAGGCAGAGATCTTGCTTTGATCAAAGCTGTAAGCCCAGAAAGTGCTGGCACATAGTAGGTGCTCAAGGCACACTTTTGAGTGAATGTGTGGAAAGGCTTGCCCACATCCTAACTGGACTTCGTAGGCAAACCGTCCTCCCAGCTGCCCCAGGCCTGGAAGAAGCAGTATGTGTGCCCCAACTTGAAGGGCAGGTGGTATCAGTAGCACTGGCTGTGGGGCCTGAGGATCCAGTGCAAGGCCTGACTTTGCTATTAACTGAGAGTTCAGTTCACCTTATACAACAGCCCTCTGAGGTGGACACCACTATCCCCATTTTACAGACAAGGAAACTGGGACCTCAAGAGATCAAGCCATTTGCCCAAGGTCACAGAATGTGGCAGTCGTAAAACATGGCCCCTCCAGAAACATTTTTAAAAGAAACAAAGAAAAAGAATTTAAAAAAAAACAAAAGAAAAAAACATGGCTCCAAAGTTCTTTGACCTTCCTCCCATTGAGAGATGCGGTCTACATCCTTACTCTTGAGTCTGGGCTCTGTGACTGCTTGGCTAAGAGAATACTACAGAAGTGATGTGGTGCTGGTTTTGGTTTCTAGGCCACAGTCATAAGAAACTAGCAGGCTCCACTTCCTGTCTCTTGAGATGTTTACATTTGGAACCCAGCCGCCATGCTGTGAGGAAGCCAGGAAGCCACAAGGAGAGGTCACTGGAGCTGTGCCTGCAACAGTCCAGCTCAGGCCACAGCCAGCAGCCAGCATCAAGGCCCAGACATGAGTGAGGAGGACTTTGAGATGGCTCCAGTCCCGGCTGTCAAATCACCCCCGGTCTTTGAGTCTTTCCAGCCCCAGACATTGCAGATGGAGATATGTGGCTCTCACTGCCCTTTCTGAATTCCTGACCCATGAGTACCGCTGAGTTCAGGGAGGTTGCTACAGCAATAGTGACAGGGGCACACATCTGACAGCAGTGGGGCCATGGCTGGAAAACAGGTCCTGCTGACACCAGAACCCATCTCTTCTCCACTGCCTCAGTTTACCTGGAGCATCTGCATTTCAGATGCACTGCCTGAGGTGATGGGGCCCTTGAGGGGTGATTGGGCCAAGCCTAGGAGGTTCATAAATAACACTCCCAGCTGCTCCGTGGGCTGGCGCATCTGTGTAGGGCTGGCCCCTAGGAAGAGACAGATGTGAAGTGTCACGGAGCTCCCTGAGCTCAGATGGGCGTGGATTCTGATCTCAGGTCTGCCAATTCCTAGCTGCATGAACTTGGGCAGGTCACTCTGTGCCTCAGCTTCCTCCTCTGTACAGCGGGGTTACGAAGAAGGACCCGATAGCCCTGTCGGTGTGTGAGATTGAGGCCCTGTGTGCCTCTGTGAACTGAATGTTATCAAAGCTCTTATTGGGGCTTAAAAGTCTCAGAGCATCAGCTTAGGATGGGCCAGCATTCAATGGGAGGGTCACAGGCCCCAGGGCAGGGCTGTACGGGAGGGGGAGATCCAGGCGAGGTCCGAGGTCCGAGGTCCTGAGTAGAATGCTCTCCTGCACTGTACCAGGGAGCTCTGTGCGGGAGTCAGAAGCCTGCGTCCTAGCATGGAGCTAGGGTGTTTCTGGGGACTGTGACCATTCACGATAGGACTCAACCTCCTTGGGGAGAGACCTGGCAAGGGACCTGCCAAGACCCTGGCTCCATGGCAAGAGAAACTGAGACAGGGGCCAAGAGGCGTGGGCTGAGCCAGTGCCCAGGAGTGTAGGAAGCTCTCATTCATTGACAGTGTATTTCCTGTGCACGTCTGGGTGTGAGGCTCTGTTCTAGGCATAGGGATACAGCAAGAAACAAGAACCCAAGTCCCTGCCCCTGTGGGACCTGTGCTGTGGTGGGCAGACAGGCAATGAATGCAATCAATACCCAGAGATCTCATGTACCCAGCGCCAGGGAGAGGAAGAAAGCAGAGAAAGAGGTGAGGTTGGAGAGTGGGAAGCCCGCACTAGCGAGTGAGTTGAAAAAAGACAGAAAAGCTGGGGAGGGTGAGCCGTGCAAGTATCCAAGGCAGGAGCTGGCAACATTTTTCCCTAAAGGACCAGACTATAAATACTTGAGGCTTTGTGTGCACTCTGGGGTCAGTCACAACCCTCAACTCCACTGTTGTAGGGCAAAAGCAGCATAGACAATATGTCTATGGCTGTGTTCCAATAAAACTGGCCTGGCTGTGTTCCAATAAAACTTTATTTACACAAACACGTGGCAAGCCTATCAATGCAACCACTCAGCTAAGGGAAGAGAATTCCAGGAAGAGGGAACAGCAAGTGCAAAGGCCCTTGGGTGGGAGTGAGCCTAGTGCCTGAGGAACAGCAAGAAAATGGATGTGGCTGGTGAAGGATGACCAGTGGATAAGGTTAGAAAAATAACTGGCAATGGAACAGGGAATGGGGAGAGAAGAGGCTCTTGCTTGACTTGGCCCTGTTCAGGGCTCATCCAGGGACCCTCACCCTGGGGATGTGGCTACAGACCCAACTCTAAGGTCCACTGAATACACCTGAACTCACATCCACTGCCATGCTTCTTGCTCTGGGGAGGATTGGCTGAGATCTGTTGAAACATCAGCAAGAATTCTCACCCTGGGAGTGGTCTACAGCCCTCCAGCCCACGTCTTCCCAGTCTTCTCCTTTATCTATATGCTTGTTACCAGTGGAGGGTCTTGACTATAAGTTGTCCAGGTTCTTGGCATTTTGAACAAAGAATTGGACAAAATGCACAAACAAAACAACAAAAGAATGAAGCAATGATTTACTGAAATCAAAGTACATAGTGGGAGCATACTTGAGCAAGTGGCTCAAGAGCACTGGTTGCAAATCTTCTAGGGTTTATGTACCCTCTAGAGGTTTCCCATTGGGTATACAGAGTTACACCCTATGTAAATAAAGACTTGGCCCATGACCAGTCTGATTGGTGACAGGAGGTGACCGATCAGAGGTACTTTACATTTTACATGTGCAACACAGTGGGAAAACGGGTAGGGTTTGCAAAGGGAGTAGCCTCTAATCCTTGTTACTTGGGTGTGGAAAGATGGTGTTTTCCTTTTGATTCAGTTCTAGGAGGTCCGTGTGAATTGCCTTTGGGTCCCTGCCTCCAGACCCTATTCTCCTGCCTCACGCTCTTCCTCCCAGTCTCCCCTCCTCCCCAGACCAGCAGAGCTAAAACAACCCCTATTCATCCTTTAGCCTGCTGAAAGTGACCCCAGCCCGGGAGCTGGGCACTGTTTCCACCAAGCTTATCAGATGAGGAGTGTGAGGCCCACACAGATGAAATCACTGCCCAGATGAGCGAGGCAGGAACGAAATGCAATTGTCTGACTCCTAAGGTGTGTGAGTGACCTCTGTGGGTGACAAACACGCTTCAAGGGCTTTGCCATGTGCCAGGCACTGGAATGCCATCCAAGGGGCCAACGTTGGTCTAGGAGAGCTCACCTTGGTGCTAGGGTGGAGGTATGGGGGGCCGCAGCGCTCACAGCAGTAACTCTTCATAGTCCCAGCACGCCCCACCAGGACCAAGTCAGGGAGCACGGGAATGGAATGCTGAGGCAGGTGAAAATGGCCCTTTTGCTGATGATGCAAATGCCCCTTTCCTGAGAGATGATGGCATATTCAGAGAAATTTGAAAAAGTCTGTTATGGGCTAGATTTGGGCTACAGACAGAGTTGTGATCAGAGGCCAGGAACTAAATGATAGATGCCGATGAAGAGTCTTCTATTACTCAAGTAGGACAGGTGCTCCAGGTGGCTGGGGTGGGGGCTGGGAATATGTAAGGCAAGAGGGCACAATGCCCACCGCCAACCCCACCTTCCCCTAAGGGCACTGTAGACACTGGCTGAGCCCAAACCCCAGCTCCTCTGCCACTAGGGGAGAGTTCTATCTCCCTGGTCCTAGTTTCTGAATCTGTCAAATGGGAAGAACAATACCCATCTCGGGTTTTATTGACTCATTTTGACTCATTGGTTTGTTTGTTTGATGAGGATTAAATGAGATGACAAATATCTAACTCTTGGGGCATTGCAGTATTCAGTGCAAGTTAGACCCCTGCCCCATCACTTTTCCCTTGGAAGCTCCCATCCCAGGAGGCAAGGGATCCTCTCTGACGACGAAGGTGTGCTGTTTGTGCAACATACCTGAGGGACAGTGTGGCTGGAGGGGTGGGAGCCAGGCACTGAGGATGCACTTGCTGTTTACAGATTGTTTTATGACTGGCTGTTGGAGCTCCTAAAATGGCTCAGGAGCCAACCAACCATTTTACTCTATGTTCTGATTTGTTTATTCATTCATTCATTCAGTCAGTCAGTCATTAAGCATGTATTATGTGCCTACTGCATGCAAAGATACATGGGGGATTCAACCTTTCTACTTAACCTTATCTCACCTCACTCCCTGCAGCGAACTCTCTTCGCCGCTGCACTGAGCTTCTCACTGTCTCCGCTCTCCAAAATGCCTAACACTCTCCGTCTCAGTGCCTTGACTCAAGGTATGGCTGTAGCCATCACTGCTGCCTCTCACCCCTGAAACAAAGCAGCATGTTAGAAGGATTTGGGTTCAGAGTCAGGAGGTAAGGATTCAAATCTTGGCTCTGTCTCTCACTAGCTGTTAAGGTCTTTAGTCTACCTGAGCCCCAGTTTCCTCATCTGCCAGATGGGAATGACATTAGGATCTATCACAGAAGGTTGTTGTGAGAATAAATACTATGAGATGTGTAAGATATCTATTATGGCTAAGTCAGTGCCTGGCCTGGAGTTGAAACTTAGTAACAAATGTCTGTTGAATGGACCTGATGAATTCTGGCCTGGGAGGTGGGAAACTTGAATCTTGGTCACAGGAATATGTGCTTGAATAAGTCACTGCTTTTCTCAAGGGGCTCCAATCCCTTGATTAAAATGGCAGGCTTGGATCACCAGAATGCCAAGTATTGACATCCCTGGCTTCCCATCCTGTGATTCTGACCTGGATCCAGGGACACTTGGCACACAGCCGGCTTCATCTCCATCCTCCCTCAGGGAAGACATCACTAGTAGATCAGAGTGTTCTGTCTACTGAGCCCTTGGAATCTCTCCACAGGGCACCTGCCAGTCATCGCCAATCAAACCCGAGATGACAGTTGAGATCAAACAGACTTTTCATTCCTGGTTGGTGCCTGGGAGAGTGACGAGGCCTATCAGTACTGGAGGACACAGTCAAGGTGATGGGTGTGTGGGGGTGGGGGAGCGTGCAGAGCAGGGGCGTGAATGTGGGGCGGTGGTCCATCTGGGATGCCCCGCAGGGCAGAGACACCACTACCATGTCACTTTTGTCCCACCAGCCCTTCTTTACAGCTTCACCTGAGCAGCCATTATATCCAGCCCAGGGGAGAGGCAAAGGCAAGGGAAGGGCACCGACTATGAACCAGGAGATTGATGTGTTTGTTGAGTTTTCATGGCTGATGTCTTAATCCTCATTATCAACCCTGCCAGGGAACTGCCCTTAGCTACACTTCAAGGGTGAGGAATAGGAGGCTCAGAGCTTACTGATCATGATGATTAATCATAAAATCACAGTAATTGGCTTGGGTTGCACTTCAGCTTCACCCCTTTTGGCTGTGGGGTCTTCGTCAAGTCACTTAGTCAACCTGTGCCTCAGTGTCCTCATTTGTAAAGTAGGCGTAATAGCAATATCCACCTCATTATGAAGGAGTTAATACAGAAGAAGTTTTTGAAACATTATTAGCATTTAATAAGAGGTGAGTAAACTATTTTCAAGGCTGTTGGCATGGATTTCGTATTCATTTTGCTACCCCCAGCACTTCAGAGAATGTCCTGTACATAGTAGGTGTCCACTAAATGCTTTAGAACCACTTGGTGAGCATTATTGACTCCCCAGGGAAGTCCCACGTGGGTCTTCTTGTTGCCGAGAAAGTCCCACATAGGTCTTTCTCGTTGCCAAAGAGGACATCTCAAAGAAAATAACAAAAATATACTGAGCCAAAGAAAAATGCAAACACAACATATCAAAATTTGTGAGATGCGGCCAAAGCAGTGCTGAGAGGAAATTTTATAGCACTAAGAGGCCTACATTAGAAAACAAGAAAGATCTCAATCAATGATCAAAGCCATGCCCTCAGAAAAAGAAAAGTGAAATAAGCCCAAAGCAAGAAGAAGAAAGGAAGTAATAAAGATAAAAGCAGAAGTCAATGATATTGAAAACAGAAAAAGAAATAAAAATAAAAAATAAAAAATAAAAAAAGAGCTGGTTCTTTAAACAGATCAATCAAATTAACAAGCTTCTAGCAAGGCTGACCAAAAGAGAGAAGACATAGATTATGATATTAGAAGTGAAATGCAGTCAGGTGTGGTGGCTCATACCTGTAATCCCAGCACTTTTGGAGGCTGAGATGGGAGGATAGCTTGAGCTCAGGGGTTTGAGACCAGCCTGGGAAAAACAGTAAGACCTCCTCTCTACAAAAAATTTTTAAAAATTAGCTGGATGTGTTGGCGTGAACCTGTAGTCTCAGCTACTTGGGACGCTGAGGTGGGAGGATTGCTTGAGTCCAGGAGGTCAAGACACCGCAGTGTGCCACAATTGTGCCACTGCACTGCAGTGACAGAGCAAGACCTTGTCTCAAAAAAAGAAGAAAGAAAGAAAGAGAGAGAGGAAGGAAGGAAGGAAGGAAAGAAGGAAAGAAGGAAGAAAGGGAGGGAGGGAGGAAAAGACAGAAAAGCAGGCTAAAATAGTAAATGTTATGATGTTATATCTTAGCATAGTACAAATTGTAAATAGGCTAAAGAAAAAAACACATGATCATATAAATTGATGCAAAAAATTCATCTGACAAAATTTAACATCCATTCACGACAAGAACTCCCAGAAAATTAGGAATAGAAGAAAGTATCCTCAACTTGATAAAGAGGATCTACAAAATTCCCACAGCTACATCATATCCCATGGTGAAAGACCAAAAGCTTTTCCCCTAAAATCAGGAACAAGACACAGAGGTCTGTTTGCACCACTCTTCTTCAACATAGAACTCTTTGCCTGAACCCCATCCCTCCTGAGACTCCACATGGTGAAGATGGGCTGAGCTCTCCTCTTTTCCTGGGGCTTGAGTCCTCAGACTCACCAGCTCTAACCCCACTCATTCATATCCCTTTCAAGAATGCACAGGGGAGTGTAAGTGGGCTTACCTGATTTTATGATGTTGAATCTGCTCAGATTTATACTAGGAAAAACCAAATCATTTGCCAAATATAAGTAGCACCGACTTGTGGCACGCTATCATATAGCACTGTATCACGATAGCACCATATCAATACCCATGTGTGCAGCACAGAGGTCAAGCATTGATGATGTAATTCAACCAGGAAACTGAGGCCCAGAGAGGGTGAGTGACTACCTCAAGATCACACAGCCAGGTAGGGGCAGAGTTCAAAGATCTTATCTCTGAAGCCCGTCTCCCTTTCATGGTACAATAATATGGTTGAAAGCACTTCCAACGTGGGACTTGATCACATTGATAGTGGTCTCTGTCACTGGAGGTGGACTGCAGCCAGGGGTGCTGGGGCTGGCTGAGCCGGCCTGTGACTACTCTGGGGCATTACAAGGTCTCTGCCTCCTCTGAGGGCACAGCCACACCAGGCAACTTCACCAGCACAGGAAGCCCTCGGCCTGCCAGCCAGAGGGGTTGGCTTTGACCTGGTGCCTCCTGTTCCCAGGAAGCAAGAAGCACGTCCACTCTGATTATAGCTGACAGCCTGCCGTGGGCTGGTCTTTGATAGAAATGCTGCCATTATGTAAGAGGTTACATAAATCATCTTGTGATGTCTGCGTCGCATGTCCACAGAGGCGCTGCCAGGCCACTCTGTCCTCCGCGTGGCCTTTGTTATGTTCCCCGAGCTGGTGTGGTCGGTCGGGCCTAACTCTCCAGGGCAGGGGTGGCTGGGAAGAGTCTGTAGCCCTGGGCTAGCAAGGCCCCTGGGAGGGAGATGGGGCCCTCATATTGGTTCACAGTTGTCGGTGGGAGCAGCATCTTAGGATCACTCCCACCCTAGCTTTGTCATTTACTGCCCATGGGACCTTCAGCAAGTCTCCTAGCCCAATTTGTGCCTCAACTTCCTCATCCATTAAAGAGAGTAACCGTGGCAACTGGGAAGAACAAATGACAATATATGACACATATTTCCATCAAGTAGGACTTTACACTCATATGATGAGGTGTGAGAAACAGCACAGGGTGGCTGGCAGAGCAGAGCTCCCTCCCAGGTGCTTCTCCTACCTGGCTCTGCCTGGCTTTGCCTTGGATGAATCTCTTCCCCTCTCTGGGCCTCTCTGTCTTCATCTCTAAAATGAGAAGTCAGCCCATCTTTTGGGACTGAATTTTCTGTAGAGGTGTGAAAATGTAAAATCTCCTTTAACATTTATTTTTGGCAATTTAAAACATTACCAAACATGTACCAACAAACAGATACATTTAAACGCATTTTAACTCACAAGGTGACACGCTAGGCTGCTGACTGGTGAACTTGGGCAGTCAGGTTAACTCCTGTGGGGACCAGGTAATAGTTTCTCCAGGGACTCCTTTCATTTGATGACCATCCTAAGATCATAAGAGAAGCTTTTTTAGGCTGGGCGTGGTAGCTGAAAGCTGTAATCCCAGCACTTTGGGAGGCTGAGGCAGGCGGATCACCTGAGGTCAGGATTTTGAGACCAGCCTGGCCAACATGGTGAAACCCTGTCTCTACTAAAAATACAAAAATTAGCCAGGGGTGGTGGCACACGTCTGTAATCCCAGCTACTCAGGAGGCTGAGGCAGGAGAATCACTTGAACCTGGGAAGCAGAGGTTGCAGTGAGCCGAGATCGCACCATTGCACTAGAGCCTGGGTGACAGAGCGAGACTCTATCTCAAAAAATAAATTAATTAAAAGATAAACTTTTTTAGAAAGTTGACATCTCAACTGCTTCTCTCTCTAAACCAAGATTTTGTAAATGTTCTGCAACCAAAACAAAGTATGGCTGATGGCTGATGTGAGACCATAATCCATATCTCCTGATTTCAAAGTTTTATATCATCAGAACAGACTCCTTGTTCTAATGCATTGTTTGCAAATAAGTAGAAGGTATGCATTTGAGCATGGAAAATAAATTTGTACTCATAGCCCATAGTTGTCATGGTTTTACATGTTGAATCTCCACATTTTTTTTTTTTGAGATGAAGTCTCACTCTTGTCCCCCAGGCTGGAGTGCAATGGCACAATCTCAGCTCACTGCAACATCTGCCTCCTGGGTTCAAATGATTCTCCTGCCTCAGCCTCCCGAGTAGCTGGGATTACAGGCACCCGCCACCACACCTAGCTAATTTTTGTGTTTTTAGTAGAGACGGGGTTTCACCATGTTGGCCAGGCTGGTCTCGAACTCCTGACCTCAGGTGATCCATCCGTGTCGGCCTCCCAAAGTGCTGGGATTACAGGCGTGAGCCACTGCGCCCGGCTGAATCTCCACATATTTTTAAATGGGCATCTCTGCTTCAAAGCAATTTGAAAACCCACTGCCCCAGATGAGCTCCTTGGGTCCCTAAGGCTTGGCCTGTGCATGCCCTGCCAGATGCCTCTTCTCACTTGCAGCTCCAGTCTACACATGTGCTGGCTGAATCCTATAAGTAGATGGTGTCTGTTGACATCCAGAGGTTCTGGAGGGGTGGCTCCCAGGAGACTGCTAGGTAGTTGTTCTGCTTCACTGATGAGTGGGCAGGAGACAAACGTTTACTTATCAAGATAAAGCAGGGAATGCCACCTCCACACCCTCTGGTCCCTGCACACAGTAGGTGTTGAATGGAGTTGATGCAAAGCTGGGAGTCCCTGCTGCAGGGTCAGCACAGTGGACTGTCGGGAAACCAAGGCAGCAACAACCGGTTGGGAAGGGTCCATCAGCGGCCCAGCTTATCCAAGTTCAGGGCAGTTGAAGCCAGCACAGCTCATGTGCCTTTAACAGAGCTTTACAGAACTCGGGCTCTGGTGCTGGGCGATGCAGTCGGAAAGAAGCGCTTCCAGCTTTCATGTGCCATAGTCCTGTAGGATTACAGACAATTCGTTGTCATGTAAGCCATAGCAACCACAAGCATCCTTCACTCAGGCCTGCTGTGTGCTGAGTCCATTCAAGTCACAGGAGATACAGAGACAGAAAGCTGTGAAAGAACTCCCTTCCCTTCTGGAGCTCACCTGGATGGGGCAAACAATAAACAGACAAAATTTAAAAAAATAAGACAGGAAGCAGCTGTTTACGGTTCACAGGAAAAATCCTGCTCATTGGAATGGGCAAAGTATTTAATTCTTAAAACATTTAGTAAGAAGCTACTCTGTGCCAGGCTCTAGTAGGAGTCAGATTACAAAGGGCCTTCTGCATTTAGCTAAGGAGGTTAGACTTCATCTTTGACTCTAGGAACACAGGGATGGGAGAGGGCGTTATTAACAATGCTAGGAGTTGGCGGAAGGCATCCTGGAGGAGGGGGTGTTTGAGCTGGGCCTTTAAGAATGGCTGAGAGGACAGGGTTGGCTGAGTTGGGCCCAAGAATCAGGTTTGAGGCTTCTGTGGGTGTGTCACCAACTGTAAATGGGAAAAATAATCCCCTCTCTGCCCAGACCCAGGACAATAATGAGAGAACACTGGGAGAGTCTTATGACTGGTGTGATTACTGCTGTCTTTCCACCTGCCTATATGGCCAATCAGAAAACACAGAGGAGCCTTCCCTTGTGTGGGTCAGAGGCATCCAGAGGCCTGGCCTCAAGCCACAGTTGCCTCCTCTCCCTGCTCCTGACTTCCCAAAGCTGCAGCTCCCATATTCCTGAGTTGGGAAGGTCCAACATTGTGCTAGAAGAGTGGAACCCAGGACGCATGGAGAAAATCTGGTCTTCCTGGCCGGCAGCGCTTAGGCAGCATCTGGTGCTCACGGGAGCTCCAGGAGGCAATGTGGCCAGGCAGATCCAACTCAGCCTTTGGACACAGACGGGCCTGGCTTCAAGTTCAAGCTCTGCTGGTTAACAGCTGTGAAGCCTTGGGAAAGTAACTCAACCTCACTTCATTTGTCAGGGCAACCACAACACTACCCTCACGGAGCTGCCCCGAGGGTCAGGTGAGGTCTTCATGTGGTTGTGGAATACGGCTCTTGGCACATGCTGGGTGTCCACAAAGAATCCATTTTCTTCCACTTTTCTCTCCCTTTCCTTTCTCTCTTCCCTCTTTTCTTCCTTCTCTGTTTCCTCAAAAAGTGTTTGGTGGAAGAACAGCCCACATTAAGAGCTTTGGAAAGACTTTCGTAAGACACCAACTCACCTCCCACGGAGTCCACGGGCCTGGTGGGGAGGCTTACTACTGGCTAAGAAAGGAGAGACAGCTTCATGAGCGGGCAGTGCAGAATGGGCCAGCAGGGCTGCAGGTGCCGTGGGATCTCAAGGAAGCTGGGAGCTGAGCTGAGTGGCTCTAAAATGTCTTGATGCCCTTAGAAGAGAGAAGATCTTCTGGAGAGAGGAATGATGCAGCCCCCACAAATCACAGAAGGCCTGGGGAGAAAAGGGCGAGCACAGCAAAGCAGGTGGTTACGTAGTCAGATGCCAGCTGCTGGAGAGGTTCAAACTGTTGGCTGTGCACACCAGCCTCACACAGTAGGCAGCAGGGAGCTGGCCCTGGTGGCCACAGGCCCTCAGGGCGCTCTCTTCAGCCACGCGTGCCAGATGTTTTGGAGCAGAAAGGATGTTTCCTGCTTGTACCAGTCAGGGTGGGCTGGGACGTGCTGCAGAAACACATAGCCCTCAAATCTCTGGCACTTAAAATGATGATGGTTTGGCTCTCACCCATGCAAAGGTTGCCGCAGGCAGGAGCAACCCTCCAGGGCACGTAGTGGCCAACAATCTAGGATGCGTCAGTCCAGCGGCACTTCCATCTCGGTCCACACTTCCCCGACCCCGCAGCAGGGTAGGGGCATGGAGAATACAGTGCTGGCTTTCAAGGCCTAAATTGAGTCACAGCTTGTCAGCACCGGGCCATCTCCTCCAAACCCTTCATTTTGCCTGTAAGGACCCTCAGGCCAGGGGTAGGGGAGATGGCTTGGAGTCAGGCCACAGCAGCTGTCTATTGGCCAGTGGGAAGGAGCAGGGCCATCACTTCTGGATGGAGGCCCTGGCTCTGCCCTGCCAATGCCCCCAGTCTGGGTAGGGAGACTCCAGGGAGGAGTCCTGCAACCTAAGATGCCAAATCTTAGGTTGTAGTACAGAGGTGTGGGTTGGCGCACAGGCCACCAGCCATCTGGCTGGTGAGGGAGACAGGAGGAGAAGGCAGTAGAAGGGGAAGAGAAAAGGAAGGGGAAGGAGAGGAGGAGGGAAGAGGAGGCTGAGTCTGGGCAGAAAAATGATGAGGCGTGAAAGGGGCCCGTGAGCTGGGCTGGCACGGAGGCACGACCATTAGCATTTCCCAGGCGGCCGCCCTCGCCTTCAGCCTCACCTTCCCTCTGGCCAGTTGGTGGGCAGGGCCAACAGCGGCTCTGGGCTCCCTTGCTTGCTCAGAGTGGCCCTGCTTGCAGCCCCGCCGGCGTTGGCACGGTGACAGTAGCCAAGTGTGCAAACTTGTCCCATTGTCCGCAGGCCAGGGGGAGCCATGGAAACTGGCTAATATGACACAGGAAAATGTTTGCTGATGGCAATTCTATGGGCTTTGTCCACCTCTTTCTCCATCATGACGACTCGATTTAAGTCCCTAACTGTTTGACTACAAATGCAAGGGGACCGTGCAACGCCAACCTTTTGTCCGGCTGCGCTGAATGGGCAATTCAGGCTTTGTGCAGCTCAATTGAGGAAGCAAACATAAAGACAAGATTCCTGAGAGCTCCAGCTCCCTTCCCATGGATATCCCAGCACCTCGTTAGAGAGTCCTTCCTCGGCCACCTTTTCCGACAGGCATCAGCGCACCTCCTGACCTTGAAGGCCCTCCATCCCCGATCCCTGGGGGATCCTGGCAGGGAGGGTGGTGGGGGTGGCAGGGGGAGACAGAGAGAGAGACAGAGAGACAGGAGAAGAGAGAGTGAGAGCGAGAGAGCCACTCAACACTCAAGGACAGCGGGAAAAGCAGCCCGCCCCGGCTTACCCCGTCCGATTGTCTGTCCGCACTGGAGCATGGCAGCTGTAGGCCTGGAGTCTTTGGGGGAGGTTTGCAAGCCTGTCTCCACTAGGCCCAGCCCCTTCTCAATCCTGGACATTTTAAACACACACACACACACACACACACACACACCCCACCCCCTTGAGAAACCAGGGAACTGAGGTCAAGGGGAGGAGGGGGGTGGAGGCTGAGGAGAGTGGGGCTGAAGGGTAGAAATTTACCGGGAAATGATTGCATTTGGGAGCTGTCTTTTTTGTGATGGTCCCCATGGTGACAATTTGTGACGGCAAAGAATGTGGGAACGGGGCGCCGCCGCCTGATTGGGATGCTTTGTATCTGGAGAGGCGCTCCTGATTGGCCTGAGGGGCCCCCCAGCTCCGGGGAGTTGTCCTCCATTCAGCCCACTCAAGGGTTGCACAACTGCTTCCAGCCGGACGGAGCTCGGCCGGCTGCGCCGGGGCCTGTCCCAGGTCTGCAGTGGGGAACCTGCCGGGCCACGTTGGTGGGGCCTGGGCCGCACCTTCGGTCAGTGTGGAGGCCCGGTGGCTCTGGCCCGACTGGGTGGCGGGTGTGGGGGCAGGCTGGGGCCTGGGGGAGGGGCGAGGTGCCGTGGGTGGCGGCCGAGGAGGCATGAAATTGCTGCAGATGCTTCTTCGGGGGAATCCCTGCTGCCCGCAGCCTGAGATCAGCCCGCAAGGCAGGTCTCGATTAAGTGCCAGACAGGGGTCCTGCCTGGTCCTGCGTGAGAGCTGGGGGTGGAGCGTGGGGACTGAGGAGGGGGGCTGGTGCTCCTCGTGCTGGGGGCAGGAGTGGTGGGAGGGGGAGGCTACCACCAGGGAGGAAGGGGGCTTGGCCTTGCTTTAAAGAGGAACAGTTGCCTCAGCTCAGAGAATAAACACCTCGCTGGCAAGTTGCACACGTTGGCAGCGTGGTGTGTGGGAGATGGGGCAGGCTGGGAGTGTGTGCCAGCCCCAGCAATGCCACCTGTAGCTGGGTCACCTTGGGCGACTTGCTTGACCTTTCTGAGCCTTGGCTGCAAGAAGGGGCACCAGACCCAAGCAGGCTGGGCGAGGCTCTGCTGGTGCCTGCCGCATCCCAGGTGTGCAGGAAGTGCTCAGCCACTTGCACCCACATCCCTCTACCCAGGACTCTGTTTAGGGCTGAGAGGTGCTGGGGTGGGGAGACTGTTTGTAGACAGGTGCTGTGGTCTTTTGGGAGGGCTGGGTGTGGTTGCTTGGAGAGACTCCGATGGCCTGTTTTGTCCCCCAGGTCAGCTCGGTGCCCTTCCTTGGAGCTGCCGGCCACCAGCAGAGCCTACCCTCTTCATGGAAAGCCTCGTGCAGTGGCCCCCTGGTGATGGCATCCGACAGTGATGTGAAGATGCTGCTGAACTTCGTGAACCTGGCGTCCAGCGACATCAAGGCAGCCCTGGATAAGTCCGCACCCTGCCGCCGCTCCGTGGACCATCGCAAGTACCTGCAGAAGCAGCTCAAGCGCTTCTCCCAGAAGTATTCCCGGCTCCCGCGGGGCCTTCCTGGCAGAGCTGCTGAGCCCTACCTGAAAAGGGGGTCTGAGGACCGGCCCAGGAGGCTGCTCCTGGATTTGGGCCCTGATTCCAGCCCCGGCGGGGGTGGGGGCTGCAAGGAGAAGGTGCTGAGGAACCCCTACAGGGAGGAATGTCTTGCTAAGGAGCAGCTCCCACAGAGGCAGCATCCAGAAGCTGCCCAGCCTGGCCAGGTGCCCATGAGGAAAAGACAGCTGCCCGCTTCCTTCTGGGAAGAGCCAAGGCCCACCCACAGCTACCATGTGGGGCTGGAGGGGGGACTGGGCCCCAGGGAGGGACCTCCCTATGAGGGTAAGAAAAATTGCAAGGGCTTGGAGCCCCTGGGACCTGAGACTACCCTGGTGTCCATGTCTCCAAGGGCCCTGGCTGAAAAGGAGCCGCTCAAGATGCCTGGGGTCTCCTTGGTGGGCCGCGTCAATGCCTGGAGTTGCTGCCCCTTCCAGTACCATGGACAGCCCATCTATCCGGGCCCCCTGGGGGCACTGCCTCAGAGTCCTGTCCCCAGCCTGGGCCTTTGGAGGAAGAGCCCAGCCTTTCCCGGGGAGCTGGCGCACCTCTGCAAGGATGTGGACGGCCTGGGGCAGAAGGTGTGCAGGCCCGTGGTGCTGAAACCCATCCCCACCAAGCCAGCCGTGCCCCCACCCATCTTCAATGTCTTTGGCTACCTCTAGCCACGCGGAGAGGGCCTCAGCCCCCACCTCTGGCCTGCAGGAGTGTCGAGGTCCCCGAGGCGCTCTCCTGTGAGGAGGTGGCTGGGCCACAGTGTGGCCTCTTCCGTTTGTGTGCGCATGGGAGTGGAGGGCAGGATTGGGGCAGGGCTCCTCAGGCAGTGACCCTTCAGCCTTGCAGCCTTGGAAGCTGGGAGGCTGGACCTGGTTGGCCCCTCCCCAGGCAGGCCAGGGCCCAGCAGCTTGTCCCGCTGTCCCTGTGCAGACCATAGGTACTGGGATGTTGCCCTTCCTTGCCTTGCAGTCACCCCAGAAGCCAGAGAGACGCATCTGTTTACCTGCCACCCACTCTGCGAGCCAATCTCAGTTGTTGTTCTTGTTCTTCTTGTTCTTTGTAAATATTGAGAAAGTTAAAAGAATAAAGACATTTCTTTTGGAGTTTCCATATCTTGGGTGTCATGAAGTTGAATGAGCCCCACCCAGGCTGAGGGCTGCTGGCAGAGGTGGCTGGTTTCAGGGAGGCCAGGAGCGGCTGAAACCTCTGAGATATCCGGGAATGGGCGCTGGGGGCCAAGATCTTGGTTCAAAGGAAGGAGGGTGAGGAGGGGAGCGGAGGAGCCACTAGGGAAGGACATGCTGGCGTGGACCCCCAAGGGGGTCCAACGTGCTCTGGAGAATAGGTGCTGGAACCAGGGGAGGTGGGGCTGCAGTATCAGCGCCGCCCTGTGCTGTGCGGCCAGACGCTTCCTCTGGGGGTCTCCTTGCCCCACCTGCAGGACAGTGAGATGAGAATGGGTCTCTCTGCAGTGTCTTCTGCTCTGTGTACAGCCGCAGGGCAGCCTCTGTGCCAAGGTGGTTGTGCCCAACTCTGGTCAGAGGGAAAATCAGGCCAAACAGGAGTTTGGTCCCTGTGGACAAAACAGGGGGCTTGACCAAATTGTTTCTCTTGTAAGCATGGTCTTGGAGTCTATGTCCATGGGGAAAATAAATCAATTTAAAAAATAATAGCGAATTCCCCTAAACCTCGTTCTCTCTGGCACATACAAAAGGATCCTCTCTAGCTAATTCAGACTCCAGGTTACCTGCTGATGGGTCTCTCCCCGGGCCTGGCACACACCAGGTGCCCCATCAATGGAATAATGAGGCCTCTGCCTGTGACAGTGCAGAGGGGAGCATTGGTGGCAGGAAGTGGCTCTGGATTTTGCCGTTAGTGTCCTACTAGCAAAGCTACCTGAGGGGCCTCCACCTGCACACAGGCCCAGATTTTCTCTGCTGCTGTGGACGTGGCTCCACGGCTGAGAGAGGGTGGGCCTGCTGGCCTGCCGAGCTGCTTATTTTATCAGAACACAGTTTCCACAACTAAGAAGGGTGCAGCAGGCCAGTCCCGGCTGGGGACTACGGTGCTCTCATCAACAGCGTGATGCTGGACAAGTTAATCCTCACTCTGTGCCTCAGTCTCCTCATCTCTACAATGGGGGACTAGGAAACAGGTGCAACGACCTCTTCTTCACCCCAGGCAAGTGTTGGCTGGTTGCAGGATCCCTTCTTTGGAGTCCAGACATGGCCTCTGATTCTTCCTCATTAACACAGGATGCAGGATCCATGGTCACCAAGGGCCCCTCCTACTTGCCTTGTTTTACTCCAGGATTCCCCTGGCCTGGGGAGTCCCCTGGAGGGGCAGCCCCAGCCCCAGGAAGCCAGCCAGTGGTTTCTGTCCAATGGCCTCTGAAGACTTCAGAGCCACAGAAACAGGCATGGCCTGGGCAGAGCTGTTCAGAGTCATTATCTGGCCATGGGATGAGGACAGTCCTCAACCTAGACCCTCAGCCTCAGACTGCTCTGGTCTTAAAGAGCAGCAAGGGGCTGGGGGGTGGGGTACCCTCCTCTGCCCTCTGTGTGGCATCATGCAGGCCCTCTGGATCCATGTCGATGAGCCTCAGCTCCCTGCAAACTGCATAGCAGCGGTTTAAATGCCTGCATCCTAGCCTGCCATCTATCAGCTGTGCAATCTTGGGAAAGTTACTTAACCTCTCCGTGCTGAAATTTCCTCATTTGAAGAATGTGATTGATAACAGACCTGCTGTATAGGCTGTTGTGAGGCCAATGTGAGTGCTCGGCCCACTGTGCTACCCAGATGCTCAAAAGCTTCACCAACCACAAGTCGCCTCTTGTAGTTATCTGGCGGTGTCTGTAGGTCCTGTCACGCTGACATTTTAATACCGTTTATGGGCTGTGCTGCCCAGGGAATAATGTGCCTGGACCACCCAACCAACCGCACCTGCTAGAGAGGACCTGAGCTCCAGAGGCACGTCTTAGTCTTAGACTAAGATATCTTAGTCTTTGGGGAGAAAGCTCTGGTCTCTCTGATAAGACTGGCCTGTCCCTGCTCACAGCCCCAGGGGGTACCTGATGATCCATCCATTCAAAAGTTGGGAAGCAGAAACCTCTACTAAGACATGGCCTGACAGAAGCCCCTGGCAACATGATGCCCCCACGTGGAAGCGAGGTAGGCAGAACACATGCATTTAGGAAAGCTTTGGTATTAAAAATCAGTTTTAAATCCCGCTGCAGTAACAACAGCAGATACTCCCCTAACCACAAAGTGAACGGCGCCGGTTCAAAGTAAAACCCAGAGCCAGTCCAGGCACACCTCCCCCTACCCCTTCACCATCCCCGACACCCACCGCTGGGTCAAACAGGCTCCTGTTCACAAAGGGGAATCTGTGCCAGACTTTCAGGGCTGTGTCTACTATGCTGTGAGACGTCCCTGAGGCTGCAAACCTCTTGGGGCTGGGTAGGTGCGGCTGCAGGAGGGGCCCACTTCTACAGAGGGAGGTGGCTGTAAAGTGCTCTACGCAGGAGTGATGGTCAAAATACATAATGAATGGCACAATGTGAGCACTGACCAACTGGAACCAACCCATTGGAGCAGTCCCAGGCCAGGAATGAACCCCTTAGCTGCTGGGTTGTGGGAAGATGGGGGCAGGGACCTGAGGAGGCCAAGGCTGGGCATGGCGCTTGGGGGGAGGGGTCCTGAGCAGTGTTTGACTAAGTGGCATGGACGCATGTACATTAATATTCTAAGAACCCAAATGTAGCACTAGTGTGTCCCAGGCCAGGAGGTGCCACATCCTGCAAATGGTGACTATAGAGAAAACAGTGGCTGAACCCCTCCCCTACACCTCCCACTCACCCCTTCGGCCTCACCTCCCCCAGAGTGGCACCTCCCTCAGACCAGCACACTGCCCTGCCCAGTGCCCGGGTCTCTGGGCTGGGAGATTTGTGGCTGCTGCCATAGGACTGTTTGGGACATAATGCGGCCCAGGAGATGCTGTAGGTTAAGAGTCTGCCCAAGACGCATCTCAGTACACACACACGAAACAACTCACACACTGGCCCTGCGTGCCTCATTCCATCACCACCTGCCACCCCTCGGGTCAGTTTGACCAGCAGTCACCCGAGATGCAAATGCCCTCCCTTTGGCTTCTGGGTGAGCAAAGGCGTTCTTCCATCAGAGTCATGTGGGGTTTCAGAGTCAGCTCCCCTGGGAGCTGAACCCTCCTTGGCAATTTACCCTCTGGGCTCTCAGTGTTGGGCATCCCCCAGTGGGGGAGAGTGCAGGTTTCCTTTGGGGCTTTCTTAGGATCCCCGCAGGTTCTGCCTGGTATACAGCAAGGCCGCATGGGACTGTGGCCCAGCACTGTTGAGCTGGAACCCCAGGGACTTGCTGTGTGTGCCCAGGCAAGTCCCTTCCCCTCTCTGGGCCAGTTTCTCATTTGTACCACGAAGGGGTGGGCAAGACCTGGTTGAGCCCCCTTTGACCTGTGGCCATAAAGTGCTGCTTGGAAGACTTTTTCTCTGGGAGTTACTGATTCCATAGAAGCCCAGTGTGTCTTTAGCCGGGCACAGTGTCATGCCCCTATAGTCCCAGCTACTTGGGAGGCTGAGGTGGGAGGATCACCTGAGCCCAGGAGGCGGAGGTTGCAATGAGCCAAGATCATGCCAGTGTATGTCAGCCTGGGTAGCAAAGTGAGACTCTGCCTCGAAAAAAAAAAAAGAAACCCAGCGTGTCAGAGCCGGCAAGGCCACCAGGGGCCATCATGTCTCACTATACAGATGAGGAAACTGAGGCCCCAGAGATGTAAGCCAATGGCAGAGCTGAGCCTGGAACCAGTGCTCCCCTCCACCAATCTAGCTGCTTACTTTCCAAAGGCCAGAAACTACCTTTGACCTTGTTTAAGACACTACTAGATCCTGGGGCTGGCCTAGTACAGACTCTCGGCCAGGTGGCCTGCTCCGGTGTTGCTGCAGAGTAGCCTGGACTCAGCGGCTTCATTCACACTTGTAAAGGGAGTGGTGATGAGTTACCGCAGCTTCCATGGAAATAGGGCATTCTACCTCTCAGCCCTCGGGGCCTGGAGAGACCCCCCAGAGTGCCACGTGGTGGCGAGCCTTAACTCTGCCCTGCACCACCTGAAAACAGGATGACAATTCCTGCTCTACTCAATCCACAGGGCCACATGAAGACAGAGGGAGGCACGCAGGGGCCAGAGCTCTGTGCACTCTCAGGCTTGGTGCCTTTGCAAGGGCTGACCATGGCCATCACTCTAGCACCATTGCTCACAGTGGCCAGTATTTAATTTTTTTTTCCTAGTTTCTCAACAACCAGCAAAACAGGGGTGAGCAGCGTGTGAAAACAGAGTGCCAGGAAACATGTATAAGACAACCCCAGGTGTCGGGAGACATGTGGGCCCTGAGACTGTGATGGAGTGCCTGTTTCCATGGTGATTGAACCAGGAGAGGAAAACCCATTGGGCCATCATCCGGTCTTGCCTGGGGAGTGAAGGACACAGCCTCTTGGGTCTTTCAGGAGCCCAAAGGTGACACGTTCAGGGGTCCTTGTGCCCCGTCCCCACATCTGCCTCGCTCCCGCTACTGCCAGGAGCAAGGCTGAGGACCTCAGGCTTCAGGGAGTCTGATGAGAGGGACTTCACTGGGCAGGTGTCACATGTGTAACATTTATTATATTAATACTTAACAAAGCCCTCCAAGACCCAGGCTCCCCCTACCCCCTACCTTGGGCCACGTCTTCATCTTAGTCTTTGGAGAGAAAGCTCTGAAGTCAAGTGGTGAGTTTTCCAGAACAAGTGGAGGGGCACAGGGAAGGCTCTGAGCACCACCTTCCCCAGAACACCTCAAGCTCTGCCCTGGCCCCAGGAATAGAGGTTTCTGCCATTCCTGAAGGTAGAGAAGGTCTGGGATCTGCTCATCAGTTTGTAAACAAATGATTCTTCTCCTTGACACATTCTGTTCTCTGCTCTGGCCAAAGCTCTGGGCCCTGAGACCCAGTGAGATCCTGGTAGCTGTCCAGGCTGAGAGGGAGGCAGCCTGCAGCCTCGTCTGTCACCAGGTCCCCTTGGAGTTGGGAACACCGACGTCCTGAGACTTAGTAAGAAGAGTCTGAGGGGCTACTCCTCTCTCCCCGTGGCCCCAGTTACTGGGTGTTCTCGTATTTCAGGTATCTAATCAGCCTGCCTGGGAGCGGCAAGGTGTCTAGGAGTTTTATACGGTATTTCCCAATGGCCTTTCGAACCCGCAGTCGGCAAAGGTGAGCCAGAGGTCTTGGAGGTTCTGAAAAAAGGAGGGAAAGACAGAGGCTGATTTGTCATTTGCAATAAGCAAAGGGATTGCATCTGTGACCCCAGCCTATGGGAGGTGCCCAGCTGATGTGGCTGGGTAAGAGAGGGAGTGCCTGCTGCTGGTCACCCCAGTCCCTGCCAACTAAAGAGATCCAGCAAGCCACCTTCCCATTGTTCACCCCTCATTGATCTGCACAGCCCACGCAGTGCACAGCGTGGTTAGCACACCCATTTCACAGGTGCGGAAACCGAGGCTTAGCAAGGTTCTGAGCCTTGCCCAGGATCCCTCCTGGGACTAGTGGTGGTGTCTCCCTCCTCTTGAGCCTCTTCCTCTTCACACACAGCCTGGGCCCCCAAACACAGCCTTAGCAATGGGGTCAGAGGGTTTGACCACTTAAGTGCCCCTACATGTGGAATTCAACTTGGAGCTCCCAGTGGTGCTGAGAGGCCAGGATAAGGGGGCAGAGACTGACAGCTCGCCTCGAGCTCCAGAATCCCACCTGGCTGCCTCCCCCAGGAGCCACGTAGTGGAGTTTTCTGAGCTGGGGAGTGGGTAGAGGTAAGAGCAGGGATGAACGCATCCAGTAACGGAGTAATTAAAGGGCTTGTAGAATCACAGAATGTCATTCATTCATTCATTCATTCATTCACCAGGCGAATGCTGAGCCCCTCTGTTGCACCTAGCTCTGTGCTTGGGCCAGATATGCAGAGGTGCCTGCCCAGAGGCTCTAGTGGAGGCTTCCACAAGAGACGGTGCCCTCTGAGTGAGGTCCTGGGGGAGGGGCAGGAATTTCCAGGTACGGAAGGGGGACAGGGGCATTCTAAGCAGGGAAAACAGCAAGTGGCAAGGCAAGGAAGTCATGCAAGCCTGGGGCTGGAGGGGCAGGTGGGATGTGGAGCAAGGGCGGAGGGCCAGGCGGCTGCAGCGTTGCCTAGCGAAGCATTCACACACCCATCACTGTGTTTCTGACACTTCCACTGCCCTCTGAGTTCACTGCCTTCTGAGCTCAGATTTTTCTACCACATAGTACGCCAAAGAGCAGGGAAGCATCATTCCTGTTGCCCGGGCAGCTTGCCTGGTTAGTTCCTATTACTATCTCCTAAATGCTGTGGTCTGGATAAAAAATAATGTGGTTACCTTGTACACAGAAGGTCTTGAATATATATTCATTTAATGGCTGAATTGGAATAATTAATTACAGGCATTGAGGCCAGTTAGGACACTTTTTTAATAGTCCAGAAAATAGATGGGGAAACCCTTAGGTAACAAGCTTAGAACATAACCTCCCCTCTGGGAAACTCAGCACAGGCTGCTGGTGAGCAGAGGACACGGAACCATGAGGGCTGGGCTGGCCAATCCATGGGCTCTGGGTAGTTCCTTCCCAGAATAAGGATGTCAATGTTGTAGCATTAAACAAACAAGCTCGTGGGGACTGTCTTGCAGGTGGAAAGTGGGCTTTAAAGTAACCCAAATAGATATTGGTTAAGAACGATTGGTTTTACTGGCTAACAAATGCGTACTCCACACTAAGGTCTCTGCAGGGATTTCCCTGGGGCATGGTTTAGTTGTGGGGGACCACCCTTCTCTAAGGAAGGCAGGAGAAGGTGACAGAATGGGTAGGACTGATACCTAGGCATAGACTGCTCCACCCTCTAGTGGCCAAGGATCGTGGTGACAGCAACTAATTATTCATTAGTTCCCTGAAGGTTTATCATGCGTCTAGAGTTAAGCCCTGAGTGAATGGGCAAGCTGACGCCTCCCTCCTCCATCACTGCCCCAGAAACTTTATCAAAGGCTTCAATTCAAGTGGCTTCCAGGCACCTGTGCCAATGAAAAATCCTACAGCACATTTGGGTTCACAGGGGTGTGGGGATCAAGGAGGAATGTGGTGAGTCAGAGTTGGGGCACAGGGGTGGGCCCCCCGAGGCTGCACAGTCCCACCTGGGGACAGGAGCAGTAGTGGTGGAATGACAATGACCTGCTGCAGGTCAGCCTCCTTGTAAACACTTGGCCAGGGCAGGACTGTGCCCTCAGAGCCAGAGAAAGCCCTAGGGTAGCTAGAATGCCACTGCACAGATACCCATTTCTGTCACCTGTGGCATCCTGTTTGCCCAGGTGAGCTCCAAAAATGCCTAAGAGGGATTCTGGCTTCCTCAGCCTGACTTAGCCAGGCAGCCCCATCTACTCTGCACACATCAGAGGGACAGTGGCCGAACTCCACTTCACTGTGCCTGGCACAGTTCAGGCGGGTCCAGCTGAAAGGAGCTGGACAACGAGCCTGCCCAGGCCCCTCTGTTCAGGTGGGGAGAGGCCTCACCCAGCAAGGCCCTGGCAAGGCTGGCTCCAGGGTTCAGGGGCCTGTCTCCCACACCAGGGTGTTCTGTGCACCAACAGCCTTGGTGTCACCTGGGAGCCTGTTGAAATGCAGACTCCCCGGCCCCGCCCCAGACCTGCGGAATCAGAAGCTGCATTTTTAACAGGACACTCAGGTGCTTCATGTGCACTTTAGTTTGAGACATCCTAGACCACCATCCTCCCCTCTCCCCTCCTACAATGCCTCTTGGTGGCCCCAAATCATTCACAACCTACCCTGAAGGTCCCGGTACCCCTCAGGGAGCTGTAGCTGTTTAAAACATCATGGAAAGATGTAGCGGAGAGACTCTGGGGTTGGTCAAACCTGGGTTTTAATCCCAGCTCTGCCACTAACTAACTGTGACTTTGGCCCAGGTGGCACAGCTCTCTGAGAGGCAGATTCCTCATGTTTCATCCAAGGAGTTACAGAGCCTGGCAAGCAGCAGGTGCTCACAGGGTTAGGAACAGTCGCACTCCCTGAGGCCTGGGACTCTGAGTCAGGCAGGGAGATCTGCCAGCCTTGGCAGCAGCAGCAAGTCCCTACCTGCCTTCTCCTTGATGACGGCCCAGTCCTCAAAGCTGTCGATGTGTTCCTTCAGCCGCGAGCAGAGCTGCACGTTGCCCACGTAGTCCAGGAGGACATCGATGATGGGCCCCGCCCAGCGGCTCACCTCTGGGGCAGATACGAACTCACAGAACTGAAAGAGAACATGCCGGGACCAAGAAGTGAGTTCATCCCACCTGCAAGAGCCTGCGGCCAGGGACGGCAGCGGATGTGTCCAAGCACAGACACTGTGCACACCCAGGCTAGGATCCCCTGAACCATGTCCCCTCAACACAGGCTTCTGCTGCCCAAAGTGGAAGACGGGCAACTTGAGCAAGTCACATCACCTCTGAGCCTCAATTTCCCTATCTATAAAATAGGTATATGAAACCAACTCCAAGGGGATTTAACATGAGAATTAGGTAATATGAACATAAACTTTGCACACAGTAGGCAGCCCATGAATGATCGCCATTAACCATTAAAACAATGAGCTCCAGGAGAGGAGTGTGTCTAACTTCCTTTTAAGTTCTGACTTTTTTTTTTTTTTTTTTTTTTTTTGAGACAGAGTCTCGCTCTGTGCCCAGGCTGGAGTGCAGTGGCGCGATCTCGGCTCACTGCAAGCTCTGCCTCCTGGGTGCACGTCATTCTCCTGCCTTAGCCTCCCGAGCACCTGGGACTACAGGCGCCGGCCACCACACTTGGCTAATTTTTTTGTATTTTTAGTTAAGACGGGGTTTCACCGTGTTAGCCAGGATGGTCTCGATCTCCTGACCTCGTGATCCGCCGGCCTCGGCCTCCCAAAGTGTTGGGATTACAGGCGTGAGCCACCGCGCCCGGCCAAGTTCTGACTTTTAAAGTAACAACATGGACGTGTCCTGCCTCTGGGTCGCTGGCTTTCTGCTTCTGACCTGACCCTACACCAGCCTGCTCTTGACATGCCTTTCCGGATCGTGCTTGTTTCACATCGCATTCCAGGTGTAGGTTTGCTGGAGGTGACGAGCCTCTTAGTTTGGCAGAGTTCTCCGCTCCATCATTGGTTCCTTAAATTCCCCAACGCAGTGGACCACAAGAAGGATTTCACCGTTCCAATGCACCACTAAGTTCTGCGGCCTCTTAAGTGTGCTAACCACCGGTTCCGCTGCCTCCAAAGTGAGCTAACCCCTAGTTCCCTCCAAAGCTCCCTCCAAAGCGCCCTAAGCGCTAACCCACGCTACCCAGGACGCAGGTTAACCACCGTGCTCTGCTGCCTCCAAAGCTGGCCCCACTTCCCCCGAAGGGTGTTAATCACTAGTCCACGCTGCTCCCAAGGAGCGCGAACCACCCGGCCCCGCCCGCCTCCCATGCGCGCGCGCGTCCCTGGGCCACACCCAAAAGGCGTGCTCCCCACCGCCAGCGTGCGCTGCCCACCTGCACCACGCTGGGCTCCTTGTCGGCCGCGGGCGCGTCGTTGAACCTGCTGGAGGGCTGCGGGGCCGGCGGGTGCGGGCCGTTGCCGTAGAGGCATGAGAAGCAGGGCTCGCCGTCGCAGCCCAGGTCCATGAGGAACTTGAGCAGCGACAGGCACTTCATGGCGAACATGATGGTGGCGGGGAAGGCGGTGGGGTGCGTGGCGATATAGGCGTCGATGTTCGCGCCGTGGTCCAGCAGCAGCTGCATTGTGCGCAGGCAGCCGTGGCGGATGGCCACGAGCAAGGGGCTGATGACGTCGCGGTTGGGGTCGGCGCCGTGTTGCAGCAGCAGCTCGGTGGCGTACACGTTGTTGTTGACCACCGCGAAGTACAGCGCGGAGCTGCGCCGGTCTTCGTAGAGGCGCGCGCGCTCGGGGGCCAGCGGCGTGTTCACGTCGAAGCGCGCGCTCAGCAGCGCCTCCAGCACCTCGTCGTGGTTGCGCTCGGCCGCCAGGTGCAGCGGACTGACGCCGCTACGGCGTATGCGCGTGCGGCTGGTCACCGGCAGCAGCATCTGCACGATCCTGCCGGGTCGAGGGGCGGGCGCGGGTGAGGGGAGGGTCGGGGTGTGGACGGGTAGGGCCGGCCCCGCCAGCAGGAGAGCTCGGGCGCCAGGCTCGGCTGGTCGCCCTGACCGCGGGCTGCGACGCGGATCCCACCGGCAGGGGGCGCCGCGGGTCAACCATTCTCACCCCACTGGGCAGGGTGGGTCGGCTGCCGTCTCCGCTTTACAGATAAGGAAACTGAAGCTCAGAGAGCTTCAGCCACCCTCCCAAAGTCACATAGCCAGTAAGGGGCAGAGCTGGGCTTCAGACCCAGAACCCTTGGCCTCCGAAGTCTGAGTTCTTAAAAACCTCAGCCAGACTGCACTAGGGTTTCAAGAAGCTCCCACTAATTTATTTCAGGCTAAGCGCTGTTGCCCATTGCCAGCTCAGTTATTTGGAGGAATTGCCTGGAAGGCCCCCAAACCCAATGAATGTCCAACCTCCTCCCTGCAGGAGGCAGTAGAGCCTAGTGGCGAAGTTTGGAGCCAGACCCTGCTCTCTCTGGGGGAGGACGGACAGGGACAGCCAGATCCCAGAGCCCACCGTGTGCCAGGAGGCTCCTAAAGGCTTTACAAGTGCGATTGGGTTTAATCTTTACAATAACCCCTAAAGCAAGGCTCATCATTCCCATTTTGCAGATGAGAAGAGTCAAGACTCTGAGAGATTAAGGGGCTTGCCCAGTCATACAGTCAGAATAGGGGAACCAGGGTGTGTGCCCTCCTCTGACTCCAGGGCTGAGCTGTCCCTATCTTGCTGTCCTGGGACCCCAGTGGAGCCACGAGATCCTGAGGACAAAAGGGGACAAATGTGTTTGGCCCCAACTAATTTGGCCCCAACTACTACTGCCCCAGGCCCCAACCAGCCCATTGTGACCATGAGGTCACTTACACTCCTCTCCTGTCAGTCTCAACGCCTCCTCCCCGAAGGCTGACGCTAGCTTCTCCCAGTCTCTCTGCCTCACCTTCTGGGTGTGGAGAACTTGGTCAGCCACTGCGGAAGCCTGAGCTCCCTGCAACCACCAGTTCCTCTCTTCCCTAAAACACGAGCACTGATCTCAGCACTTTACCTCTATTCATCTGTGAAATCCTCCCAGTAGCCCTCTGAAGTGAGTACTGTAATATCCTCATTTCAGAGATGAGGAGACATAAGCCCAGAGAAGGTATGTGACTCCTCCAAGGATACACAGCCAGTAAGTGATGGAGCCAGGATTTGAACCCAGGCAGTCTGACCCCAAAGCTACACTCTTAACAATGCCCCTACCTCTTGTGTAGCAGTCAGGGTGACAGTTAATATATCCCGGGGTTTTGCAGTCTTCATAATGTGTTAACTTGCCTGCCCATTTTACCTTCACTTCAGCCCTGGGTGGGAGTGGCCGGAGCAGGCCTGTGGCCTTCTTTTTAACAGATGTGGCTCAGAGAGCCGAAGTGACTAATCAGGGGTCATAAGACAATTCTGGGGGCTCAACCCCAGGACTCTTTACCCCTTCTCTTGGCTCTCTTCTCCTACAGCCCTGCCACCTGCAAGAACAAGCTCCTGCACCAATATGATTCCAGACCCTAATCCATCCAATCCCTGCTGACAGGTGACCTCACAGCCTCCTGTGGGACTCCAAGGAGGTGGCCATTACAGGGGGTGGGGCGGTGGGGGAAGGGGAGAGAAGCAGGTGCCACCAGGCCCATTCCCACGCCTCTGGCCTCCTGGCACACAGGCTTCCTGGAAATCTGATGCCAGCGACCTCCTGCTGGGATCTCAGTGGAAAGTATTATGATTGTTAGTGATGCTGTGTTTGGCTAAAATCTGACTCTAAAACCTCAAAAGGAAATTCACACACCCGGGGGGCTAATTGCCTCCTAATTTCTATTTGTGTAGGCACAGGAGGCCTGACTTTGCTCTGCAGAGGTGCTGGTCAAAGGCAGGCCTGGGCCTCACCCTGGATGGCGGCCACGGCCAACAAATGCTCTGCTAACAGCTGTAACGTGCCCAAGAACGGGAAAGAACAGTGAGAGGGGCTGCCCCGGGGCCGCTGGACAGATGGGGCTGGTATCTCTGGCAGGTCACAGCTGGTCTCCGGCAGTTCTCCACGAACCAAGGGAAAGTGGCAGAAATGTGGGAACTTGAGCATTGTCTCAGTTATGTGGTGAATCATCTTACTGCGGCAGGACTCTGCCAATCAGAAAGTGAATGTGTAACGCCGGACAGGCTCTGGAGATCAGTGCGTCCAGCTTTCCCATTTTACACAGAGTAAACCTGAAGCCCAGGCTTGGGGTGGGGAACAGAGTGAGGTTGGACAGAAGGTGGGTGGTGCACAAGAGCAAAATACAGGTCTCTGGATGTCCAGGGCCAAGCCTTCTACGATGCCCCTCTCCTCCCAACTATGGGAGCGGCCACGTTGGTAGCCCCACTGCACATCATCACTCCTCTTCCCAGCCCATTTTGTGGGGCAGAGGACAGGAGGACAAGGGGGTGACCCCACCAAACAGTCTGACTCTTCCCACTTCTCCCACAGGCACGTTTTGGATTCTCAGAGTATAATTGCTCAAGCGGCACCTCATGAAGAGGAACAAAGGTGACTATTGTCTGATAGAGCCGTAGGTGTCTGGAAGAATGGCCCCCTACCCCTTCCTTGTCCCCTCCCCAATGCAGAGGCCACAACTACCAGCTTAGCCTTTCCTGTCTGGGCCCTGAGACCGGAGCAGATCCAGCTCAGGGTCATTCCAGGAAGACCCAGTGCAGCAGTGTGGCAGGTGCTGAGCTGTCTCTGACCTTGGACCTCATTCCGAATCACTGGGCTCTTGTCTTGTTCCTAGGACCCACCAGTATCTGAAGCCTGACATCCTTGCCCCAGGTCTGGGCTCCCACTCCAGGATTCTAGTTTCCTCAGAGCAGCAGCCTTGCCATACCACCTGGCCCTGGCTCTGATGTCCTTCCTGAATCTAGCCCAACAGCAGGGGAATGGGCAGAGAGCTTTGAGCCAACGCAAGCTGTCCTTAGCTAGAGAGGGGCCCAGCATGGGCAGTGGGGAAACTGGGAGGCTCAGAGTCAGGGGTACATGGGTTACACACCAGCTCTACCCTTCAGCACTGGGCCAGCGCAAGCATGTCACTTAACCTCTCTGAACCGCACCTAAAGCAGAGGGGTAATTAATTGTAATAATAGTGATGATGATGATGATGATGATGATGGTGATAGCTATAGCTACCCTTTATTGAGCTCCAGTGGGTTGCTGTGAGCACTTTACCCCTTACCTTCTTAAGTCATAATTGTGCTAATATTGCTGAGCGCTTACTGTGTGCCAGGTACCATTTAAAGTGGTCCTCACATTTGTTTACTTCATTTAATCCTAGCATGACCCTCAGAGCTAAGAACTTAATCTCATTTACTCATTTACTCATAACAATCCGGCAAGGTAGGACTGCTTACAACCCCAGGTCCAGGTTACAAAGCACAATGTAATGATCTTTCACCAAGGCTGCTTCTGAGTATAAATGAGATCTTTCCCATGAATCTGATTGGCCCGTAGTCGGCAGTGAATGAACAATGCTCTTGGTATCTTGACCACCACCACAACTGCAGCCTACTGCCCCTGCTACCCTAAACACAGAGGCATTCTGGATCACCAGGTCACTGTGCTTTGACCCTTGTCAGTGTTCAATGTAAATTTGGATGGAGGGCCGGGCGCGGTGGCTCACGCCTGTAATCGGAGCACTTTGGGAGGCTGAGGCGGGTGGATCAGTTGAGCTCAGGAGTTCGAGACCAGCCCGGGCAACATGATGAAACCCGGTCTCTACTAAAATACAAAAATTAGCCAGGCACAGTGGTGGACACCTGTAATCCCAGCTACTTGGGAGGCTGAGGAAGGAGAATCACTTGAACCCAGGAGGCAGAGGTTGCAGCGAGCCAAGATTGTGCCACTGCACTCCAGCTTGGGTGACAGAGAGTCGGTCTCAAAAACAAACAAACAACAACAAAAACATTGGCTGGAGGATTGACATGGGAACCAGTTGCCCACAGACGGCTCCATTGCCAACACTTCTGAGCTTCACTGTGCCACCCTGACTTGTTTTCTATGAAGTCTTGAGCTCTGAGCCTCAGTTTCTCTTTTAACTAATGGGGATATTAACTTGCTTGTCAGTGTGCTTTATAAGCTGCTTTTTAATTTAATGTGTTAAGTGTTCTCTATTTTGCCTTATTCTAGGAAGAATTTCAAGTGGCTTGCAAAGATTGATAAAATACAGCAAAAGTGTTATATGTTGGAACTAAAAGAGAAGGAATATTTAAAAACGAGGGAGGCAGAAGTAAGGCCCAGAATGCAAGTCTGTGTTTTCTGTTGGCCACAGAAGAGGCTCTAAGATCCTGATTCTCTACCCAGGCTGCACAGTAAAATCTCCCGGGCAGCTCTTAGACACCTTGAAGCCTCAGCCACGGCCCAGACCAGCGGCAGCGCCATCTCGTCAGGTGGGGCCCAGGCATCAGGGTTTCTGGTGCAGCCAAGGTTGGACACTACTGTTTTGGGTGCTATTCTTGGGGCATCTGCTCTGCGCTAACTCACACAGTTTCTTAATACGTCTATCTTTGGTGTTGATCTTTGATTTCATACGGTGGCTTTGCTAAACTGGAAATGAACAACAGGAAAATGCGTGTCTTGGAGGTGACTGCGACATCGGGACTTTAGGGCTCCTTTCTCAGCACACCCGCATGTCACCCCTTGCGGTTAAGTGTGCTGACGAGAAGACACCATCTGGCAAACAGCCTTCGGCTCCTGGTGCTGCCTTCCATGCCTGGGACGGATGGCCAGGGTGTGTTGGCAGGTGGCAGAGTGTGGAATGCCTATGGAATGTCACATCAAATCCCCGAGCAGAGGGCCTTTAATGCTGTATGCCCAGGGAGGGAGTGATGAGCTCGGGGCTTGCTGGCCATGGGCTCTGCCTGGTGGCAGAAGCTGCTGGGAACCAGGCTTTAACCCTTTGTTGCTTAGCCCTAAAAAGTGGCCCAGGCCCCTCTGAGCCTTGGGGGACAGAGGGAAATGGGGCCCGGGGGTGGAGGTTGAATAACCAGGGAATTCGCCCTGGGAATCCACGTGAATCCAAGGTAGATGAGTTTACAGGAACATCAGCCATGGACACAGTGTTCCAGGCAGGACGCGCCTTACTCTCTGATCATCCGCAAGGCCACCTAGTGCCCCTTCAGCTTCTCCTCCAGCTGGGGCCAGACTGCCAACACCTCTGGGTTCACTTGAAGGCAGCCCAGATGAAGGTCCCAGCCCTGCCGCTATCTCAAAAATCACTTCCATATCTGACCTTGGCTTCCTTCTCTGTAAAACCAGGGCCTGAATTAGATCAATGGTCCCTGCAGCTATAGACAGGCTGTATCTGATTTGCTCAGGGAGCTTTTCAAAGAGACAGTGGGGCTCCTTCTCTCCTGGAGATTCTGATTCACCGGATCTGATATGGCATTTTAAAAATAGCCCAGAGGGACATGGATGTGCAGGCTAGAATTGGGGGGCAGTGGGCCAGGAGATTTCCAAAGTGCACCCACTTCCCGTGTGTTCACTCTGGATCTCTCTGGGGTCAGGCTCAAGGTAAACTGTGTTTGCCCAACTCTGACTGATGCCCGATGATTTGTGGAACTCAAGAGAAAGGAGCCGTCTTGTCCATGCCCACTGCCTGGCTTGAGCTGCTGTCTGAACCGCTCAATCATGGAATGCACTCTCCCTAAGTAAGAGTGGGTGAGCATAGGACGCCTGAGCACACACTGGGTGCAGGCGCTCTGCTAGGTGCTTTTTTCCATTCTATATCCGTACGTATCCATTTTACTGGTCCTCCGACAACCCCATGAGGCGGGTGTAACCATTTCCCATTTTATAAATGAGGAAAATGAGGCTCAGCAAGGTTAAGCAACTTTCCCAATGGCCTCAGCAGGGATTCACACCCAGATCTGTCAGCCTTGTGGACAGCTGTGCTGTCCAGAAAAGGCTGGGTCTCCTCTGTGTATGTACTGGGGGGTGTGGGGAGTGGGGAGGGCATCTTTGGGTGGTCTTGGTGCAGGCAACCTGCACAGAAGGGGCTGGAGCTTTAAGGGGCGGCTCTGAAGCCTTGAGTCTTCATTTCAGTCTTTGGAATGTCACTTTGACCCCATTTCCCTCTGCCTTAGTGAAGACAACAAACATGCCCCAATACACGCAGTCTGTGCTTCTCACTCTCCTGCCTGTCTGGAAGATTCGGGTGTGTTTCCCCAAGTGTCATCAGGGTACATGAGATGGGATTTTAAATGAAATGTTTTTAAAATTGATTGTAAATGGATAACATACTAGTGTGATAAATGTTTCCTCTTCAAAATAAATTCATTGTAAGTAAAAACATTATTTAAAGGAAAAATTACTAAACGATGAGAGTATAGATATTTAAAATCAGGAAGAAAATCTGTGAATGGACAGTTTGGGAAGCACTGTCCAGCAAAAAGGGTCAGATGCTGGGGTTTAAGTCCTAGCCCTGGGGACGGGGCTTTCAAGGGGCAAATCTCTTAACTACCAGAGTCTTCGTTTCCTGTCCTGTAAAATGAAAATCCGGGTTGACCCGCATACCCGCAGCACAGTGTGAGGCTCACATGGGAGGCAGATGAGTCACACTCTGGAAATGACCAAGCCCTGTCCATCCTTCAAGGGCAGCTGGAGCTTCACCTCTGCGGCCCAGGCTTCCCCATGTAGCAGTGCTGCTGGGAATGCTTAAAAACTGGCTCAAGCAAGGGCAGAGAAGGGGGAAAGGACTCTGGTTTGTAGCATTTGCCTATTTCCCCATGTAAATATTCCCCCATGGCCAATTTTAAGCTATCAATGTGAGGTCAGTAAACACAGAGTTGGGAAGAGGTGTGCAGTCGGTTCCTGAGAACAGGCACGAGCTGGCTCTAGCACACCTCTGCCTCTAGCCCCGGCTCGTCTGTCTCCACAGGAGCCATGCAGCTCTTCGGCATGCTCTTTCATGATGTCATGAATTCACATGTCTGTGCTTCTTCCCTTCCTCCAGATTGCTCCTTGGGAACTTAAGCCTCTCTCTTCTCACTCAGAGTATCTAGCACTTAGTAATTGCTCAATAACTGCTAGTTCTTATCATTGGTGCTATTTGTGTTATTGTAGGTTTTCCTTGCATGCTTGCTAATTGCCTGGGAGGTTATCCTTGCATTCCTGTACTCCCGGAAATATTCATTAGCTCAGACTCATATCTGCCCCCCAGGATAGAATTCCTGTAGCTGTGACCTTTGGAGCAGGTGAGTACCTGCCGCCTATGAGCTGTGTGACCTTGGGCAAGTCACTCAACCTCTCTGTGTCTTAGCTTCCTCATCTAAACAACAGAGATAATAATATCCACCTCAGTGAGCTGTTAAGCAGATTAAATAAGTTTCTGATGTGAAGTACTGGTAAGCGCTGCATAAGGGTTTGCTGTTATTATTTCAGTTGCTGTTGTTACAGGCATTCACTCCATGTTGCTAACTGCTAAGGGGTTTCCCTCCTTTCCATGGGAAAGGTGATGTCCATTCTGACCTCTCCTGGGCCTCCCTAATCCTGTGGGTGGGACATTCAGGGCAGGCCCACCCCTCCAATCCCCTACTCCCAGTGTGGGCCTCGGGAGAGCTGCCTGGGTGCTGGCGGAGCCTGGGCTGACCTGTAGTTGCCCTTCTTGGAGGCGATGTGCAGCGGGAGCAAGCCGTCCTTGTTGGTCTTGTTGGCGTCGGCACCCTGTGACAGCAGAAACTCCACCACCTCCTCATGCTCATTCTTGCAGGCCTCGTAGAGGGCAGACGCGTTGTCGCTGGCCTGCGTGTTGATGTCAGCACCTGGGGAAGGAGAAGAGATCAGCAAGTGGCCAAGTGACCGGGAAGTTGCTGTCCTCAATGTAACGCCACCGCGTGGTGGGCCTGCTGTGCTAACCACGGTAATGCACGGGACCTTTAACAACGACCCTTAGGAAGGAGGAGTCTACCTGGGGCTACCCCCAGCTTCTTTCAACAACATCAAGACCTAGGGGCCTGGCCAGGCGTGGCTCATGCCTGTAATCCCAGCACTTTGGGAGGCTGAGGCAGGCGGATCACCTGAGGTCAGGAGTTCGAGACCAGCCCGGCCAACATGGTGAAACCCTGTCTTTACTAAAAATACAAAAATTAGCTGGGCATGGTGGTGGGCGCCAGTAATCCCAGCTACTCGGGAGGCTGAGGCAGGAGAATCGCTTGAACCCAGGAGGTGGAGGTTGCAGTGAGCCGAGACTGCACCATTGCACTCCAGCCTGGGCAACAAGAGTGAAACTCCGCCTGGAAAAAAAAAAAAAAAAAAAAAAAGACCCAGGGGCCTGCCAGCCCGAACAGAGGCCTCTGAGAGGCTACAAGCAGCCACGATGATGCTGGTTTTTCCTGAGCACCTACTACGTGCTGAACATCGTGCTTTCCACAGGCTATATCTGAATCCACAGTGGGTGGTCACCTTGTGAGGTCAGTACTGCTCTTATCTCCAGATTACAGATGGGGACAGTGAAGCACAGAACACCTAGACCACTTGCCTCAGACCACCCATTTCATAAAGATGGAGCCAAACTTGAACCCAGATGGTCTGATGGCAGAGGCCATGGTGGATATTCTGATGGTAGAGGCCATGCTCTTAACCCTCACTCCATGTAAGAGGGCCTGGGCTCTGCCCTGAGAGAGGCCTCACAGGTCTAGGAGGGCACAGAGCCCCTAATAAAGGAAAACCCCAATAACATTATTAATTGCAATTTGCTATTAATATTGCTATTATTATTGCTAATGTTACCATGCTATTAATATTGATCCTTACTGCTATCAATAACTTCTAGCTCTTATCACTAGTGCTCCTTGTGCTAGGTATTCCCTGCATGCTTGCTAATTGCTAATTCTCTGCCTTTCACTTCAAGGAATAAGAGAATTACTTTCTGTCTCCTCCCAAGAAAATACTAGGCCAGGTGCAATGGCTCACACTTGTAATCCCAGCACTTTGGGAGGCCAAGGCGGGCAGATCACTTGAGCTCAGGAATTCAAGACTAGCCTGGGTAACCTAATGAGACTCTGTTCTCTACACCTACTGAGTAGCCCCTGGCCGGGCATGGTGGCACATGCCTGTAGTTCCAGCTACTTGGAAGGCTGAGGTGCAAGGATTACTTGAGCCCAGGAGGTTGATATAGGCGGCAGTGAGCCGGGATCACACCACTGCACTCCAGCCTGGACAACAAAGTGAGACCCTGTTCCCAAAACAAAAACAAAACAAAACCCAGAAAACATTAATCCATGCTGCTAGAAGGAGGAATCAGGCCTGGTGACAATCTGCCTTCAGCTCAGTCTTCTACACCTGCTTCATCTCCTCGGGCAGGGGGTGAGGGGGAGAACTGATGTGCACACAGCTTTCTCTGCAGAAAGAGAATTCAGCAGTCCTTCCTTGTTCTGGAAGGACATGGAACTAAGATGCTTGAAGATGTCAGTGGGGCTAAAATCAAAAGCATCTGCTAACCACAGGTCATCTCTCTAAGCATGTTGCTGATCTCAGGCTTTCTGGTAATTTATTATTTTTGATGATGGTGTGACCAGTTTCTGATCCAGCGGAAACAGCACAGGCTTTGGCGACAGATGAGAATCAGCTGAGGCATCTGTTTCATGGCTCACAAGCTCTGCAGTCTCAGAAAGCCTTTAGGAGCCTCGGTTTTCTCATCTGTTGACCAGGGATAATAGTACCTACCCCTCGGGGTTACTGCAGGGAGTAAACAAAATAGTGTAAGCACATCTCTCAGCGCAGTGCCTGCCACAGGGAAGCTGCTCAGCAAATGCCAGTTGCTCAGGATGGAAGGAGCTGGGCAGAGGCCTTCGTCCTGCCTCCGGCCTGAGGGAGAGCCAGTGAGCCGCCCTAACCCTCTGTTGGGCTCTCAGAGGCAGGTGCCCTGGAGAGCCTGGACCCTACCAGCAAAGCCGCCTGCTTGCACAAGAAAAATATTTGGGTTGGAAAATGGACTCAGCCCACAAAGTGAACACACCCTGACTCAGAGTGTCGGTGGGAGACCTGGACAGATGTTTGGAGTTATTGAGGTCACCCTTGCCTGCTGAGCATGCTGTCCGTCACCAGGACCCCCGGCCTGGGCTCCCAGGACCCTGCCTGTGCCCCTTTGTTCTTACGCTGGGCAGTCCAGATTTGTTCCTGGCTGCACGGAAGGGCCTGCACCTATGTTCCCCACTGCTCAGGCGCGTGCTGAGTGCATGGATGCTTACCTGGGCAGAGTCCCGTGCTGCCGACTCTCACAGGGTAGGGTGGCTGGCAGAGCACAAAGCATGTGCAGTTTGGAGTCAGATGGCAGTGGGTCAGCATCCAGGCTTGGACTGTGACCAATTAGTTAACCTCTCTGAACCTCAGTCTCTTCATCTATAAAATGGGACGAGCATACTACCTACCACATGGGGCTACGGGGAAAGCTCCATTGCCCCGATCTGTGTTCACACTTAGCAAGTCCTCAACAGATTCCTACAGTTCAGCCTCAGCGTCTGGATTACCTCTGGCTTCTCTGTTGCTAGAGAGAGGGTTACTTCCCGTGGAGAGAGAAAAGAAATCAAAGGCATTCTTGGGGAAGATCAGGATATAATGTTCTGAAACCAAAAGCAAGTCTGCCATGTCTCGTGGTCTTTTGCTACTGGGCCATCATAATGCAGGCCGTATTGTGTTATTTTCTCCCATTAAGATATTTCACAGGCAAAGAGGGCAAAGAGCTGGGTTCAAGTCCCAGCTCTGCCACTAATTTGCTGTGTGACCTTGGACAAATCACTTTCCCATCCTGGTCCTTGAGTTCATCACCCATAAAAGGGGGAGGTGATCTAAATGTTGCTTGAGGTTCCTTCTGGCCCTGAAGTGTGATGTGGTGGAAAGAGAAGCGGTTGGGGTGTCAGGAGACCAAGAGTCTAGCTAGTTCTACAATTAATTTGCTATAGGACTATAGATAAGTCACTTCCTCACTCTGTGCCTCAGACTCCTCGTTTGTAAAATGAAAATGTTGGACTAGATTATAAATGGCAAATAGGTGGTCCGTGGGCCAGACCCCCCCATATTTGTTCTAATGGCAGATGTCACTAGTGGATCCCGACGCTCTTCCCACTGAGCCTGGACACAGCCTCAGCATCTTTCTCAACACAGCACTCTAGGAGGAAACTCTCACTCCATCAGTGTGCGCACAAGATGACCCCTAACTCGCCTTCCCTTAGAGCTGACCTCTGACATCCTTCCCGTGTGCCCTTTGGGGACTCCATGACCTAGGGACCCTTAGCCACTCACCGTACTTGGCTAAGAACCTCAAGGCCTCCAACTGTCCACTCTGGGCGGCCACGAACAAGGGGGTGATGCCGTAGGCGTTCTTGGATTCCACCTTGGCTCCTCCGCTCACCAGGATCTGCATGACCTCCAGGTCATTGCGAGACACAGACTCGTGCAGAGCGGTCCAGCCGCGGTTGCAGCGGTGGTTGGTGTCTGCATTGTGCTGCACCAGAATCTTCACGGCCTCCGCGTTCTTGCGCTCGCAGGCTGTGCTCAGGGGGAAGCAGGGATGGTCAGCAGGGCCTGGCAGGAACTGGCCAGCAGAGACTGCATTCATTCGCCTGTCCATTCACTCATCCACTCATTCAGCTTTCCACTGCATGTGTATTAAGTTCCAATCCCTGCATTGAACCTGGGATAGGCGACTAAAAGTAATACTGATACTAACATTAGCAAGAATACTTGCTGATTCATATGCCTAGTACTGGTTCTGTGCCAGGCTCTCTGTTCTAAGCACATTTTACAGGATTAACTAATTTAATCCTCCCAAATCCCCTTAAAGGATGTAGTGATGTTATCCCCTTTCACAGATAAGGAAGGTGAGGCACAGAGAGGGTAAGTGGCTTGCCCAAAGTCACACAGATACTAAGTGGCAGAACTGGAATTCAAACCCTGGTAGTCAGGCTGAAGGTCTCTGTCCCCTGGGATGTCCCAGGATGTCCCTATCATTTCCCCTTCCAGTGGTACCTGCTTCAGTCCTCCACATTACCAAGGCTGGAAGAATCTTTCTAGATGAGGAGTCAGCGGTGTCATAATCCTGCTGAACTTCCCCCTGCTCCAGCAAAGGCTACTAATTTAGTTCAGGGTAAAATGCACGTTGTGAGTACAGCTCCTCAAGTCTTTCTTGACCTGCTCTAACCTCCTTTATAAGCCTCATCTCTCTCTAGACCCCAAACGTGCCCTTGGCTCTGGCCCCAGAGTTCTCACCAGGAGCTGCAGGTGGTATTGGAGTCACCTGGGCACTTTTCCAAATTAACCAGCCCTGGAAGCTTCTCTGTGTCCGTGTCAGTGGGAGGAGGAGTGAGGAATGGGTCAGGGAGACTGGCAGCAGGGGGAGGAGGGCTGCCTGTGTACTGTTTCAAATAGAACCATAGGCCAAGCCTTCTACCTCTCTAAGCCTTGACTTTCTCATCTGTAAAATGGAGAGAATAAAACCTTCTTGAGCAGATGCTATGGGAGTGAGACTGTGTGTAAGGCATGAGCATAGTGCTTGGCACATAGTAGGTGTGCTTGCAAGACCAGGGCCAAGCTCTGGCTGTGGGCTGCCCAGCTTCCTGGGCACTCCCTTTGGACAGCTGAGGTTCCAGGTGATAGCCATGGCGCCCTGGCAGGCACGGATTCCAGGGAAGACACTTCCATGGTGGGTCTGCAGCGGATCCAGTGACCTACTACTCAGTTCCTGCTGCCCAAGCTGTTCCAAGCACTGGATAGACACATGGGAAATCAGGGATATCTGTAATTTTTCCAAGTACAAAGGCCTGATCATTTGTAAGACCCCAGCTGATTGCTTCAGCATGTAGGCATGGACAGGATGCTTTAGAATGTAGTAGTTGAGGGCAGTGTGACATCCACCTCCCTGAGTTTAAACCACTGGGGTACCCCTTGCAAGCTGTGTGATCCTGGGCGACCCATTTAATGTCTTGGTGCCTTAGGTCCTCATATGTGAAAGGGGATACCAGCAGTGCCTACTTCATGTGCAGATGGACATGAGGGGTCCATAAGAGAACGGTGCCTGGCACATACTAAACACTCAATCAATGCTAGCTATTGTGATTATTTAGACTTTGACTCTGGGTACTGCTAGGGCAGCCAACAAATGTCCATGGATGATGTACTGAGTAAGCCAGGAGGCCTTGTTTTTCTTAAACAAATGTCCCAGAGGTACATGCTCTCGCATACCTTCATGCCTTTGCCTGTGCGGTTCCCGCTGCTTGGCCAGCAGGTGATTCCTCCTCTGTGGTTCAGCTCAGGCACCCCTCCTCTGGGTGCCCCTCCCCCATGCTCCCACAATGCCTCCTGCCAAGCCCTTTCCTGCTCTCTGTGTGTGGGTGCCTACAGGGCTGGGAGGGTGCACAGGTTGGACTATAGCTTTTCAGCTCCAAGCCCTCAGTGTCCCTCAGCATCCTGGCCCATGGGATGCAGTTGGAAAATGTTGGTAAAATACATGCAGGAATGAATGATTCAGTTACATAAATTGTGCATTTGAGCAGGGCCACGTTGGGGGTTATGCACTTAACGGGAGCAACATTCCCTGTTGCTCACCCAGCTTCTGGATTCTTCCGCAGGAAAGCTCACTCCGGGGTGGGGACCTCACCTTTGTAGAGCGGTGTCTCTCGGGATTTGTTGGAGATGTCCGGCTCTGCCCCTGCTTGGAGCAGTGACAGGAGACAGTCCAGGTGGCCCCTGCACGTTGCCAAGTAAACGGCTGTTTCCTCCTGCAGGGTGCGCTGGTCGATGGTCCCTGGGTACGCTAGGGAGGGCCCACCGGGAAATTCATGTAGGAGAAAGATACTCAGCCCCGCAACACAGAGGCTTTCCCGATTGCCTCCCAATTTCAAGAACAATGTATGACATCCTCTGAAATTTACCAACTACAGACTGCATTCATCTGGCCCTTTCACAGGGCCATTTTAGCTTCCTGGTCGTACACGTCCAAGCTCAGATGCCACGTCCTCTGAGAAGCCTTCCCTAATGGAGCCCCTCCCTCTTCGAATACTCCTGTCCTTTCCTCGAACTCACACCAGCCATTGCTGGAAACCCACTGTTACATGCCATGGTTTCTTGGAGTGTCGGGGGCCGTGTGGGGTCTGTGCTGCTTCAGGGCAGAGGTGACACCTGCCTGCAGGAGTTGCCCTTCTGAACCTGGCTCAGTAGGAAGACAGGGCTCAGAGAGGAGGCACGGCTGTCCCGCGGTCCCACAGCAGGTGGGGGATAGCCTTGGCCGGGCACAGGCACAGCTGCAGTATTTTTCACACCAAATCAGCCCCTGGGACATTCTGGAACAAGTTGGCAGTGGTTCTTCTAAAAGTCAGCCCTCCCTCATTCCTTTTCTAGGAATTAGGCTCTCCTGTCCTTGGAGGCCTGGAGAGGTGGCAGCAGGGGGTGGGGACAACTCATTTCCCCTCTCGTAACTCCATGACTAACTGACAAATGAAAGTGACAGCCTTGCCTGCCCTTCTCCCAAGATGATTGTGGGCAAAGAACATGAAGCCCCAGGAGCGGCAGCCCTTCCCCTAGTCCCTTTCCCACCTCTTGCCACCGTCAGAGCCCAGCCCTCACCTCGCTGCAGGACTTTCAGGCAGCCCACCTGGCCATAGTATGCGGCCTCGTGCAGCGGCAGCCAGCCCTCCTTGTTGGGCTCTGCGAGATTCTTCCCTTCCTTGATCATGGTCTTCAAGGCCTCTTCATCGCCATCCTTGATGGCCTTTATCAAGGGGTCCGCAGGCCTGTGAGAGGAAGGAGTGGGTCAGTCCTCAAGGTCAGGCCAAGGCCAGGCCAGGGGGCCTCTCTCTCAGGAGTGCTGGCAGTGGAGTCACTCGGTCCTCGTCCCTGCTGGTTCCAGGATGAGCACTCAGCCCCCTGCAGCCCAGTGGCTGCAAGAGGACTGGGGGATCCCTCCATCTCTGTGGCTTTCCATGGCTGCCGGGAATGTTATACCAAAACCAATTCTACCAAGAGGATTCAGGCACACAATGCCAGCCTCCTAGAGGGTGGCTAACCACCCACATGTGAGGCACTTGTGATAATTAAATGCTTTCCCTGAGTATAGCACTCTAGCATTTACCAGGCACGCCCATCTCGGGGGCCCCCTCTTAACCCTGAGCATATCTCTGGGGTCTTCCAACTCCTCTCCTTGCCCTGTCGCTTATTCCTACTCCCAGTACATCCAGCTGCAGAAAAAAAATATATACTGGAAGGATTAATAAATTTGAAGCCTTCACAGTTTAAAACTTCTGAATGTCAAAAAGATTTGAGGGCTAAAGTGAAGCCGTTCCTTGCTTGGCTTGTTAAAGTCCCTTTGTTCATTCATTGCTTCCTTCCTTCCTTCATTCATTCACTGAGCTCCCTACCTCATCCTTGGAGAGTCCGTGAGAACCACGATGTCTATGCCTCTCAGATCCACTTTTGGGGAGGCTTCTGCATCAATAGTCCCATTTCCCAGATGGAGAAGGTGAGGCTGGAGGCAGGCCTCATTCCCAGGACACCCACGCCATGTTGGGCTAGGATGGGCTCTGGGCGGTCTCTGCCACCAGCCCCTGCACTCTCCCAGCCACTTCCTCCAGCGTGAGCAGCACTTCCTCCTGACTCTCAGACTCTGTGGTTATTAATGGTGTCAGAGCACAGATGCCGGTGAAGCAACAGACCCAGCAAGGACGATGGGAAACTGATCAGATAAGTCCTGAGGTCCCCATCAGCACCGTCACTGCCACCTTGACGAGTTCCACTTAGGAACAGCCAGAGCAGCCCCTGTCAGCATCAGGAAAAGCCCAGTGGGGGTATGTGCCCCCCTTTTCCTGGAGTGTCTCCAAAGGGACCCCAGCTGAAGTGGAAGGGAGGAGGGCTGGCTTTTCTCGTGGCCTTGGCGAGCAGGGCGTGGTGCAGTGTCGTGAGAACACTTTCAGGACCTGCCGCCCAGCTTGGGTCTCTCCAGCTGTGATGCAAGGACCCTGGAGCCCTCAGCCCACATATTCACAGCTTCTCCATGACCTCAGGCAAAGTCCCCGCCCTATGAGTGGGGGAGGGTTCTGGGGGTGTCAGGCCATCAGAGTAGTAAGCTGGACGGGACCCTAGAGGTCACGTTGCCCTCTCCAGCCGTGTCCTGCAGAGAAGGGAGACTCAGAGGGGACAGCGACTCTCAGGCAGTCATGCAGGAGGTGGCAGTAGCTGAGACCAGCTCTGGGTCTCCCTTTTCCAGATTGTCAACCACTCCACACACCCACCACACCAAGGAAGTGGAGGGCGACAGGATTTGAAAAAGGCTGGGAAGGAGAAAGAAAATATTGGCCAATTGCCTCCTCCCTTCTCTACAACGTAACTGAGTGAGGAAATGCAGTTCCAGTGATAGGGTCCCTCTTTTGCTTTTGGCTGCTTCCGGGGTCACTATTCCAGGGGTACAGAGAGGGGAGGGAGGCAGAATTATTTTCTAAGGAGCGCATTAGCCCTGCCCCCTGGTGCCAGGCAAACAGAGCCCCTGCAGCTTAGATTATTTCTGGATTTTAGCACCTGGCACTTCACAAATAAGGGCAAATAAACAAAACAAAGGCTGTGGGTGTGGGCATTTTGGATGTACCCACAGCGATGGCATGGGGGAAAGTGAGACTGGGACAAACAGAAGGGTGCAGCCAACTCATCAAGTTCAACTCCAAGCTCTCCTGGGCCTCTGGGGTTCTAAGGCCATCTCCCCAATTTCCCTCGTGCTGGGTCCCCAGTTTCAGAGCCCCATGGGGCTCCTCCAGCACTCAGGTCCCATGCTGGGGGCATCTGAGGGGGGGATCACCAGCATGCCTGGCTGGAAGTTCCTTGAGGACTGAAGTCTGTGGCCACCAAGCCCATCTCAGCAGGAGCAGTGGGGCCCCAGGGGGGCACCCCTAGAAGGAGCGTGCCTGGCAGGTGCCTCCATAGTGCCCTCTGCCCTCCTGGGGGCTGTGGGCCTGCTTCCCACCCTCCCTGCCATCCCAGTTAGCGGAGTGAACTTGGATGGTCCTGGGGCCAGACAGGAGTCACTTACGCCAGCTGGGAGGTCTTGAACAAGCTGCTGCTGTATTTCTGCATGACCCCTTGGAACAAGCCCATTGGGGCCCGGGCCGGCGAACTCTCAGGAGGTGCAGTGGACCTGGAGGGTGCAGAGCAGGAGTGAAAGAGGGAAAAGTACTCTGCATAGGAGAAGCGGGTCATGGCTTCAGGCAGGAATGAGGATGGAGGGAGAGCCAGGGAGAGACTGACTGACAGACACAGGGCTCTGAACCAAAGCAGATGGCCGGGTCCTCTGTGTGCTGGACACAGCTGCTGTGTCTCCGGATTATTTTTGGCCCTTGGAGGAAGCCCTGGGAGATTTAAATGACCATATAAGACAACAATGAGGTTAACCTCACCCCACCCCCCGGTCCCCCTCCCCAGCCAACCACGAAAGAGGCAGATAGGAAGCAAGGTGACATTCTTCACCCAGGAGGATGTGAGCCGTGGTCGGCAGGTCCCAGGATGAAAGGGGCTCAGGCTCACTGCTGGCCAGGCAGATCCCTGCGGGGCTGGATGAGAGATTCATGGCAAAGCAGAGGATAGGGGAGCAAAGCTGAGAAGCCAAGCTGTACCTGTGCCCCCCACGCCCACCTGCCAGCTCATTAGGGGATCTTGTCCCAGGGGTAGGAGCAGACACTATAGTAACCTCTATAGTGTTATTATAGGATGCATGAGGAAGGGCGTCGGAACCAGGGCTGCAGTCAGACAGACACAGGTTCACATCTGGGCTCTGGCACTCCTTGGCTGTGTGACGTGAGACAGGTTGACCTTTTCTGTGCCTTAGTCCCCGCTCCTGCAAGGTGGCATGAAAACAGCCTGTGCTCGAGGGCCGGTGAGGCCTGAGTAAGTGAATGGTGTGAGGAGCTTAGTGGAGTGTGAGGCACAGAGGGTGTTCCACATGTACTCACTCTTCATTTTATCATCATTTTGCCTCTCTAGGCCTCAGTTTTCCCGACCCACCAGGCTCCTGTGAGGGTGGAAGAGCCGGAAGGAGGTGGGATGGCCGCTCCACAAATCTGAGTTGGCCTGGGGTTGTCGTGAGAACAGGGTATATGGCCCCTACTGACACCACCCCCAGTAGGTCAGGCCTGGCACTCTCGACACCCCAGTGGCCCGGGCCTTTCACCACACTCTTCTGGGGGGGATTGGGGAGGACTCTGCTACCAGTGACTCACACCCTGTGGGGCATGGGGTAATTATGACCCTGAGAAGCACCCACACTCTTTCTGGCTAGGCCAGAGCCTACAGATTCTGTGGGTACACCCCAGCAAGGCCAGAGCCTGGTAGAGAGGAGCAAGGGTGGCAGGAGGAGGGGAACCTGCTCACCCCTCTGCTTCATGCTCTCAGGGCTGCCTGCAGGCCTGGCTGCCTTCCTCATCCTCGCCGCTGTCACGCCCTCCCACCTGCCTTCTCCCATCCCCTGCTTCTGGCCTTCTACTGACCCGCACTGGGGTGGGCAGGACACCGCCTGCATGTGTCCTCATTTATCCACATCCATCAACCGTAGATGGGGGTGCCTTTTACAGATGAGGACAGGGAGGCTGTGAGAGGGGACTTAACTGTGCAGGGTCACCTTCAGCATGACAGCGAGTGGAGCAGAGGTTCAGACTACCACTGTCCGCCCAGCTCCTGATGCCACCCTGTCCTCTGAAGGCCTGGCCTCTTCCTGCCTTTTCGTCCTCTCTCCAGCTCTCCGACCTCCACACTGACTGTCCCTGTGACTTTGGACAAGCCCCATCCCCGCTCTGTGCCTCAGTTTCCTTATTTGCAAAATGGAGAAGTGGGACCAGGACCAGACTGGGGATGTCCACACTGTTTCTGTAGCTGTGGAGAGATTCAGTGTCCAACAGATCCCAGAGCCAAGGCCCCTCCTCAGCCCTGACAGCTGCTGGGTTCAGTGTCCTTTGCATTAGTGCCTGGTCCTGAGAAGGAGAGACAGCCGGCAGGTGGAGGCAGCCTGGGGCCAGGCTCACCTCAGCTGTCTCCAGCCCTGTCGTCTTGATGAGGCCCTGGGCTTCCACCTCCCAGGATCCTTGGGTCACGGCCACCCTCATACTTAGTGCATGTGTGGCCTCCAGTTACCTGCCATTGTTAGAATGTTTTTAGCAGGATAATAAAGCACTGGGAAAAAGCCCACTGCACCATCTAAACGAGGACCTGTCTCTGCATAGTAATGGCAGCAGCAATGGTGGCCGGGATGTTGAGGTTGATGGAGGTGGAGGGAGCTGGTGATGATGACAGTTTCTAACAACTGTGCAGGGCAAATGTTCACAAAGTCATGCCGAGCCTCTCCTCATTTCCATTCTCCTGCCACCATTGATGGAAGCAGCGGGTGTGCTGTTCCCATTTTGCAGATGAGGAAACAGACAGACTGAGTTCCATTCAACAAAGAGTTCCCAGCTCTGGCTCAGTCCCAGGCCCACTCTGGGTGGTGATGCAGCTCATTAAAATTTATCTTTTTGTGGATCCTGAGGATATTTGGAAGTCAGCAGAGAGGGAGACAAGGCCACACACAGCCACAGAGTCACAGAGGACGGGCTGAGATCGGGGCAGAAGGGCTCATTCTGGGAGCACTGAGATCCGAGTGCATCCACTGGCTTTGGGGCTGGCAACTGGGCAAGGCGACCGCTCAGAGTTACTGAGTCGTGAGTCTCAGGGCTGGCTGGGGAGCCAGGGCCCCTGGCTGGGTTTCGTGCTCTCGCCAATCAAGGCTGGAGGCCCCATTTCCCCTCGGGCCCCAAGCAGGGGAATTCCCAACAGAGCAAACCTCCTGGGCTGAGTCATCACAGGCGAGAGGAGCCTGGCCTCGGCAGGATGTGGGTGTAGGTCATGCCCTGGAAGAGCCCCAGGTAGGGCCTCTGTCCTTTGTGTGTCACTGGGCAGGTTCTGGGGTGGAGAATGTGTCACCGTCACCTGACCCTGGAGTCCAGCTTGTCATGAATTCAGGCACGGTCAGCCTCAGTGAGAGCAGAGAATGGGCTGGCAGGACAGTGCTCCTAGCCTCTCGGTGAGTCAATGGATGGCTGCTCTGTCTGAGTTAGTAAGAAGCCCAGGTCAGCCCCAGGGAGGCAGTGATTGGGCTGGGCCTGGCTGAATGCAGGGGGCAGGTAGGCACCTTAATAGAGGAGGGAGCTAACAAAATCGATTCCGCCCCACGCCCGCCAACATGTCACCAGTCCACCCCACACCCGCCACTGTGCCATGAGTCTACCCCACGCCCACCCCATGCCACGAGTCCACCCCACGCCCACCACTGTGCCGTGAGACACATGTGACTCATTGAGCACTTGTTATAACAGGCACATTGCACCAAGCATCTCATTTAATTCCCCAGTCCACTTGGTGAAGGAGATGTAATTGGCTTCCTTTGCAAATGAGAGAACTGAGGCTCAAAGAGGCTTGCTTCCTCTAGTCTGCTTGATGAACTCCTATTCATCCTGCAAAGCCTACTTCCTTGACTAAGTGAATTGACCTTTTCCAGGGTCCCTCTGTAACTGAGGAAGCTGTGCTCTCCCTGCTGTGTCATCAGGTAGTTCTGGGCCTTCACCCTCATTAGACTGTGATCTTAGGGAGAGCAGGACCCAGCCCTGATTCACAACCTGGCATATCATAAGTGCAGAGTAAGTGTGGGTGGCTTGATTTGAATTGTTTGAAGCTGTGCACACAACAGCCTCAGCCAGTTCCTGCTTCATGTTTTCCTCCTTTGTCTTCTCAGAAATGTATCTTAAATGAAATGCAGAGGTTTAAAGATTAGGAAGACCCAGCCTCCTGGACTCACTCTGGCTGGTCCATTCATGGAAACCTTGGGCTCTGCACTTCATGGGTTCATGGACCCCACTTCTCCATGGAACAGGAAGCTAGGTCTGTCCCTTTGGGGTCCCTTAGGGGACCAAAGCTTGGCAAATGATCCTCATTTGATCCTCATCAAATTCTGTGCCTTACGTTGAGGTGAGACAGAAGCAAATTGGGAAATGGTTTTTAACAGAATTCTGTTTTCTTTGGGATACTGATCTTTCATTTCTAAGATCCAGAAGACTCAGTGGACTCCATTTTGGTCACAATATAATAATGATCAATTGCATTGCTAGAGCTTTTTATTGGTTTCAAAGGTATTTATTTGTTTAAAAACATTTATTAGGTAGCTACAATGATCCAGGCTCTAAGCTGGGCACTGGAGATAAATAAATAAATAAATAAATAAATAAATAAATAAACAGTATCAGCTCAGCTCTCTGTCCCCTAGGAGGTCACAGTCTAGTTGGGAACACTCTCAGGAGGGTGTCCCAGGAAGACCCAAGAAGCTTGTCTGTGAAGCAGAGGCCATCATGAGATTGGTGCTGGAGCACTCAGACAGGGCCGGGGAGGTCAATACGAGCTGCAAGATGTGGGAAGGCTCCAACGCCCACCTCATCTTATTTGCTTTTCACAGGAATACTGCAAGGGGAGCACAGCATGTTTTTGTTGTTGCTGTTATAAAGATGAGGCCACTGGGGCTCAGATAGGGTTAGCCACCCACCTAAGGTTGCACAGCCAGTAAGTGTAGAGGAAGAATTTGAATCTCTAGACCTACTTCTCTTTCCACTCTGCTGCCTTTCCATCTATTCCTTTATTCACCCATTCACTCATTCACAGATAGCCATGTGGTGCCTGCCACAGGTCAGACACAGCGCTTCACTGGAGGCGTAGGTTAATGGCAGAAGCAGAGAAATAAATAAGAATTGTAAGTCAAGGTGAAGGCCACAGAGGAAACAGCCATGAGAGCAAGTAAGAGGTGAAAAACCAGCTGGCCCGGGAGAGTGGTCAGGGCAGGACTGGCTGAGGAGGTGATGCTTAATCTCAGACCTGAAGATGAGAAGGAGCTGCTATGTGGATTGCCTGGGGACAAGGGTGACATCCTATTGCTAAACTTGCTGTGAATTTATTTGGACAGATAAAAGTGAACAAGGACTGTCTCGGGTCCTGCATCCACTGTAATGCGTGTCTGGGTGTGAGGGCACAAGTGCGTGTGTGCCGTGTGAATTTGGGGACCCTGGGCCTCTGTGAGTGGGAGACGGACGTAATGAGGTCAAAACTTCACCTCAAGGTGGGGTAGGGGAAGGAAACAGAGGCCTTCACAGCATCAGCAGAGCCTGGTGAAGTGTCTGAACTTCAGAGCGGGACAGACTTTGGTTCCATGCCTGGCCCTGCTGTGGGCATGTTTTGTCGTCTGTAAAATGGGCACAGAAGCAATCCACTTTGGGTGGCTTTTGTAAACATTAAGTGAATTAATGTGTGGCAGGCACATGGGAGGTGCTCAATGTGCATTTGGGGGGAGAAGAATTTCATTAAACATTCTTTTTTTTTTTTTTTTTTTTTTTTTGAGATGGAGTCTCGCTCTGTCGCCCAGGCTGGAGTGCAGTGGCGGGATCTCGGCTCACTGCAAGCTCCGCCTCCCGGGTTCACACCATTCTCCTGCCTCAGCTTCCCAAGTAGCTGGGACTACAGGCGCCCGCCACTACGCCCGGCTAATTTTTTGTATTTTTAGTAGAGACGGGGTTTCACCGTTTTAGCCGGGATGGTCTCGATCTCCCGACCTCGTGATCCGCCTAAACATTCTATCTAAGGGGTTTTTCTTCCCAGCAGGGCCCAAGCCCAGCCTCCTTCCAGAGGCGAAGGCGCAGAACCGAACCTAGGAGGTTTCAGGTCACTCCTAGAGTAACAAGATGCAGGTTGACCCTCCTCTGCTATATTGCTTGTGGGGCTGGACCTCAGATGAGGGCTGCTCGACCTGGGAGAAATGGTCTCAATTCTCTAGGAGAGCTTTTTCCGCAGGAAGCTGAATAAATGTTCATGGCCCACTGTGGGCCTCCATTTCCTTACCCTCCAGATGAAGGCAGAGTCAGGGTCTGGATGCCGAGGGCCCACTTCTTTCTAATGTGTCCAAGCATCCCTGGGACTCCTGAGGGGGCTCCTATGCTGGGGAGAAGGCTGCAGACACCTGAGGGGACGTGCTGGCTTCATGCAGCAGGCCCTGTCTTCAGAGGAAGGATGCCCTATCTCTATCTGACCCCCTCCTGAGGAAGAGGAACTTGTGGCCTGTCTTCCGCTGAACCGGCCAGAACAGGAACCAGGGCCACCTTGAGCATGAGCCAAGATGAACCCAGTCCTTGGCTTCAGGTTTCTGTTTCTCAGATTGGGTTTCAGAATGGAACGTCCTCGGGGGCAGCTTAGTAACCTGGAGTCTTCGTACTCTTTCCGGCTGCCCAAAGTAGCTGCCTGCCTTCCCCTTTAAAAGGGGCTCCTCAGCTCTGGGCCTCTGCCCAGCCAGCCTGACAGAGATGGTCCAGCCTCGGCAAGGGCAAAGTCACTTAGGGGACAGGGCTGAGATGCACCATCACCCACCTTCATCCCCTGTCAACTGTGACTGCACATCGGAAAAAGTCTGTTTGTTGTTGTTGTTATTTGAGAAGGAAGCTGAGGTTTTCAGAGGTTAAGTGACTTGCCTGAGGTCACGCAGGGAGCCAGCTGGCTGCTGTACACAATGAGATTTGTGGCCTATGCCTCAAAGTAACACCAACACAATTGTCACAGCAATTCCCATGCCCTGCCATTCATGCCCAAACACACTTGACCTTGGCTGGGGACGGGGGTGAGGAGCAAAAGCAATTTTATGGCTTATAGAGGTCTTTTCCAAATGCATTTTGAGATCAATCACCGCTCTGCTTAATCACCTCTCTAGCTCCCACCTCCTACAAAGGAGGTGTCGTCTAGATCTGCACCGTCTGATAAGGTAGTCATTGGCCACATGTGCTAGGGAGCGCTTGAAACGTGGCCAGTCTGAATCAAGATGGGCTGTGAGTGTAAAATACACACTGGATTTCAAAGACTTGATGGGCAAAAAGAAATGGTAACAATCTGATTCATAATTTTATATTGATGGAAATATAAGTCTCTTGGTGGAAATGGTGATACTTCAGATGTGAACTATCAATGAAAATTAATTTCACCTGTTTCTCTTTACTTTTTTGGCTGTTGGAACCTTTAAAATTGCATCCGTGCATTGCAGTTGTGGGTGGTGTCATATCTGGATGGCGCTGCTTTAGAAAGTCCTGTGACTGAGAGGATGAGGTGGGGCTGAGAGTGGGGAGCCAGAAGAAGGAGACAGGATGGCTCTGCTGGGCAGACATCCCTTGCTCACCAGATATGTTTTTCAAGGGAGGCTGTGTTGTAAGATAGGGAGCCAGGCAGCTCTGATCTCGGCAGCATTATCTACTGGCTATGTGACCTCGGGCCTCTTTTTCAGCCCTGAGCTTCAGTCTCCTCTTTTAAATGGGTCTATAACCCAGAGCCCACTGAGAGGGTCCTTAAGCGGATGAAAGGAGGCAGAGTGTGTATAGCACCCACTTCAGTACCTGGCACAGCCAGAGCTTGGTAAGTTCAGATAACAAATGTAAATGGGAAAGGTGTGAAAAGCAACCTAGAGACCAGGATACCGTGGTTTTGGATTAACAGCATTAGGGATCTACAGTCTGTGGATGTCCTGGATGGCCCCACTTCCCTCATCAGCCTCGCCTTGCTCACCTGGTCCATGGGTAGAAATGGGCAGGTTGGCGGTTGGTACATGCAGACGCGGTGGCCTCAGCAGTGGTTGGGCCCCTTGTCTTGTCCGCTAGGCTCTGCTCGATGGCCATCTGCACCAGTTCATCCTCGCTCAGGCTGCTGTACAGGCTGTACTCCTCCTGCCCAATGGTACACTGGCTGCCCCGAGTGCTGATCTGCGTGGCCATCCTCCTCCACCTCTCACCCTGGCCTCCAGAACAGACACCCAGTGGGGAGGAGGGAACAGCAAATCAGAAAACCCTGTGAGGAAACCAAAACCATCCTGGTCACGAACAGTTTTGCAGGATAGCTATATTTACCCTCAGGGAAGGGTATGCATTTCACTGACAGTAACACATTCATTTCTAAATTTATTCATTGGTCACATGACCCACCTAACCACCTATCCATCTATATATCCATCCATCCATCCACTCATCTATTCATTTACCCACCAGCCCATCTCACCATCCATCCATTTATGCATCCTCCCATACATCCATCTACCCACCGAGCTATATATTATCTACCTTCCCATCCATCCACCCCTCTATACATATATTCAACTATCCAACTACCCACTCAACCACCCTCCATCTATCCTCCTATCCATCCATCTGTCTACTCATCTGACCATTTATCTGTCTATTCTCTCAGCACTACTCATCATTCATCCATCCATTCATCTTTCTATCCGTCCAACCATCCATCCAACTGTCCTCCCATCCCTCCATTATCCTATCTGTCCACCCAGCCATCCATTTATTCATGCATCATCACATCCACCCACCATACATCCATCTATCCAATCATCCACTCATCCATTGTTTATTTTTCCATTCCAGATAACCTATCTATCCATGTATTTATGCTCACTTGTTGAGCACCCACTCTGTGTCAGGCACTCTTCTAAGCACTGAGGATACAACGATGATTCCAACAGACAAAAATCCTTGCCCTCATGGAGCTTACACAGGATTGCATACCAGTTACCAAGAGCATAGATCCTGGCATTTCTCCATTTCTTTGCACTGTGATGGGCCTGAGAATACCAGAGATGAATCAGACACAGACCCATTACTTCAAATCACATGATCTAGTTAAAATCAGTCATTAAAATAACGTCCCATGTTAATTCCAGTGACTCTTTTCTTAAAAATGCCTCAAAGAGTAATAGACTCCAGTTGGGTGCCAATGCTTTAAGAATATGAAGTGGAATCAACTAAGCTTGATTTTCATTCTGGCTGGCTGACTCACACTGTGTGGGTCAATGGTTCTTGGTCCTGGCTGAACATTGAATCACATGGCCCTCTAAAAAATACCCCGAATACCAGTGCATTACTTTGATTTGTTCAGCAAATATTCACTCCCTTTCCCTAAAGGCAGATCTTTCCCCACCCTTCCCTGTTGATATGGGTCTCAATATGCATGACTTGCCCTGGCCTGTGAGGGCTGATGGACATGCGTCAAGGATACACATGACAAGTATGTACACTGGGGTTTGCTCTTGCTCCTCTGCCATCACCAAGAGAAGAGCTTCCCACTGGAGCTTGCTGCCCCTCAGCCTAGGCCCCAGAGAGAACACACCCGGGCACCTGAGCCCAACCTCCTCAGAGGAGCCTTCTCCTTCTTCAAGGCCCAGGGCAAGTGCCCCTCTTCTGGGAAGCCGACCCAGATCCTTCTGGGAAGAGGAACTTCTCCTGAGCTGTGGTCAGTAGTTCATGGGTGGACTTGACCCTGGATCCTCTTTCCAAGGCCAGCACCTTATGTGAGGAGGTCAAAGTTCACTGCATGGCTGGCCAAACAGCTCCATTTTCATAGGGTGTGGCAGATCCTGCGGATAGTCCCCTCAATGGCCATTTCCCCCATCTTCCCTGATAGCAGAACCTGGCTTTGTCTAGGCAACAGGGTGCCCTGTCCCATGGATGAGTCATGACTGCTTCAAGCCAGGTGGGACAATCTCACCGCCTCAGCTGGTGACAAGTCCAGGGGTGGGACTGTAGCCTAGTTTTATCCAAAGAGTTATAACAGAAAATCTGCTGGGGTGCTCCTATGGAAGACTTTCCTTTCTAATAAAAGAGAGAGTAGTGAACAAAATGATTCCTTTCCCCAACCTCTGCTTAGTGCTTGGAGGACTTGATGCTTGGAGTGGCAGCAGCCATCTTGTGACCATGAGGGGGACAGTGAATGACAGGTTGATACAATGAGTTTGGCATAATGAATAATAGTTTTTCTGGGTCCTTCATTATGTTGCAGAACTGCTGAACCAATGCTGGGTCCGCCCACCCTAGCCTACTTGTTAGGTACTGAAGATTCTTGTGGTTTAGCCAATGTTAGTTGGGTTTTCTCTTATAGGCAGTCAAATCATCTTAACGAATGTCTCTCAGGCCTGGCTGAGAGTCTTGAAAACATGTCAAGGACCTGGTTCAGCCCTGAATCAATGAACTCAAAGCCTCAGGGCTGGGACCCAGGGAATGCAATGCTAGAGGCTTCTCTGGTGATGTTAGTGTGTGGCCAGAGTTGAGAACCCCTGCTCAATGAGATTAATATGTCAGGTGGCCAGTCTGTGGTCCACACTAGAGGAGGGGAAGGGTCATGACCTCACAATCATTTTATGCCCGATGCTTGGAGTGCTGTTATTTACAGCAGTAGCAGCAGTTTTATTTATTGTGAAAGGAGCCCAGGACAGGGAACCAAGGGACTTGGGTTTCTGTCCCAAGTCAGCCATGAGCGCCTCTCTTCCTCTCTTGTGTCCTCAGTTTTTCCATCTGTTAAATGGCAGGGTAGACTAGAGCCTGTCCTCTGGCCCTTGTACTGGCAGGAGGTACCTGTGCAGCTGGGTGGAGCCCCCATCTCCAGCTGGCCCAGGCCTGGCTTCCCACTCCTTTGTTGCTTCTCTGAGGCTGGGGTCCCTGCCAGGTCTGAGTTGGCCCAGGTCTGCCTTCAGTGGCGGGGGGAAGGGGCTCTGCCCAGTGAGGTATGACACCCTTCTCTTCTCTAAAGCTGGTCTGGCTTTACATACCCCACCGCCTGGTGCAAGGTAGGGGCTCAGTGCACATGGTGCTGAACTAGCAGGAAGTGCTGGTGCCCAGGACCTGGCCTGGCATCCTGGTGCCACCATCTAAAGGTGTCTGCTCAAAGCCAGGGCACAAGGGGGAAGAGCACTGCACTAAGAGTCATAGGCTGAGCTATAATTGCCCTGCTAAGGCCAAAGTGCTTTGTGACCTCAGCTAAGTCCCTGTCCTACTCTGGGCCTCAGTTTCCTCATTGCAAAAGGACGATTTGGGGCTGGAAGTTTTCCGCAGATTTTTCAGTTCTAAAGAGTCTGCAACTCAGCGAGACGTTTGGTTTGGCTCTGTGCTATTAAACCTCAAATTCTCTGTCCCTGGGGATCCCCTATGGCCGTGTCGACAAAAAGAGGTTAGTATTGGCCATGGGGGAACAGAAAACCCGGGGGGAGTGGAGGGATCTTGAGTCTGGAGGTCAGGACCCCTAAGTCTACTTTCAATTCTGCAACTTACTAGCTATATGACCTGGGGCAGGTCACTTCCCCTTTTCTGGGCCTCAGTTCCTTTATTAATAAAAATGGGAAGGAGATAAGCTACTTCGCTATGCTGTAGAAGCATATGTGAGCTAAGATGTGTAGGCAGCTTGTAAGGGGTAACATGATTATTTCGTGGGGACCCCTCATCATCTCCAGGCAGCTGCTGGCCCTGCAGCCTGGTATGGGCCAGAGACTCATAGACAGCACATGGCTGCAGTGGCCCTTCCCTGACCATGTGCCTTCCTGGAGGCGAAGGCAGCCAGGTAATGGTCACCCAGAATCACCAATCCCGAAGCTAATTCCAGACTTACCAGGCCCTTCCCAAGCCTCTCCCATGGGTTGACACCACTCAGAGACTTTACATTGGCCAATTATCCATGTCATTACCTCACACAGCCCTGGAAGGTAGGAAGATTTTCACTGAATTAACTTAATTCCTCTACAGCCCCTCTCCTTCCAAAAGGACCCTGATGCGCATACGTTATTGGTCCCATTCTACAGATGAGGCAGGTAAGGTTTAGAGCGGGAGGGGAAGGGTTTATAGGAGGAGAGACATATAGAAAGCTGGGATTTGAAGCCTGATCTTCCAACCTCAAATCCAATGCTCTTTCTGGCAATTCCAGGAACACTGACCCAAGCAACTGACACACACATGGGTTTGGAGCAGATCTGTCCTCATCCAGCTGCAGCCAGCTATCCTCCCAGCTGCCCAGCACCCCCTGGCCTATATCTGTGCCCTGGGCACCATACCAGCCTCTTTGCCTGCTGCATGGAGGGTACACGCAGAGGGAGGAGAAGGGTTTAACCTTGACAGGACCTTGAGAAAGTCTACTCCTTGGACTACCTGCTAGAGGCCTGTCTCCCTAGAAAGTCTGGAAACTTCTGAGGAGCAGGACTATGTCATACTCGTAACCCCAGGACCTAACCCAAGGCTGGGTACACAAAAGGTATTTAATAAATGCTAGATGGACAGGTGAATGATAGGACCACAACAGTGCTCAAACCCTTGGAAGCACAGCTGTTATGGAGTTTACTTGAGAGAGAGGGACTCTGCCTTTGAAGAGGCAAATTTCCTACCCCACTGTGGACCCACATATCTCTTGCTTTTCCCACTGAGGTCCTCAGCCTTCAAGGGTTCTTGGGTAAGTTACCCACCTTTATGGGTAAAATGGATAAAATGCACAAAATGGAGATATTAGCCAGTGTTATTATGGGGTTGGTGGTAGAGTCAAAAGGGTTCATGTGTGTACAGGCTCAGCTGTGGGTCTGGCTGTTAGTAAGTGTGCAATGCACGGGCCGCTTCAGGACAGGAAACTCCCTGTCCCTGAACGGATGCAGTCGTAGGCTGGTGACAGCTGTCAGGGATGCTATGGCGGCGTCTCCTGGGGGACAGGTGGTGCTGCTCAGCCCTGGCACGAGGGGGAAGTTATGAAGCAGCGTGTGGAGCCAGCCTGACTGAGTTCACATCCCAGCTTTGCTGGTTGTTAGCCGGGAGAGCCTCTGGAATAGTAGTTTCTCCATCTGTAAAATGGACAAGGTCAGAGCACCTATCTCTTGGGAGAGGGCATTGATTCGGGTGATGCCTTGCCCCTCTTTGGACCTCAGTTTCCCCTTGTCATGAAGATGCTGCCCAGCTTGATTTCTGAGACCTCTGTCTGGGGGTTGGGCGGCCTTCTGGGCCTAAGTCTTGGAGGGAGGCCAGCAGCCTCAAGGGACACTCTGGGAGGCTGATTGGAATCAAAAATAGCCCTTTCCCAAGGAAAGCAGGAGTCTAATAGGCCTTGCCCAGCCATCAGGGAGGCTTCCTGGTAGAGGGAGGGGCCAGTCCAAGGCCAGTGTGGAGCAAGGGAGGCCTGGCCCCGCAGGGCCTTCAGGAGTGCCTCTCCTGCCCTCTTTGCAGAACCCCAAACATTGGTTCTTGAGAAGCCCCATCTTTCCCCAGGTGACATCTGTAAAGTGGCTGTGACAGGGTTACTTAGGTTAATCCACGTAAATTACTCAGGCAAATCCACTCAGAGCAGTACCTGGTTCATTCACAGCCGGCTCTCTTCTAAGTTGGGCCTTAGTCTCCACATCTGTGAAATGGGAAAAGAGACATGGACCCTGGCAGGGTTATAGTGAGGACCAAAATTGCATTTAAAAAGTGGTCTTTTCCTCCTAGTACCTTCCCCTCTCTACCAACCCAGGTTTGCAGACAGCCAGGGTCTGCCCGGGAACTGGCGGTGGATGGGGTGGGTCTATGTGGTTGTTTGAGGGGCTGGGGTGGGAGGTGGTCACTCTCCAGATGTCTTAGCAGAAAACTGGGGGCTAGAGGAGACACAGCTGGGAAGGCGGGGCCAAGAAGGAGGCTGGCAGCCATCCTCCACCACACCAAGCTCCACCAGAGGCTTGGGTCATGCCAGGGACTTGGGTCGGACATGTGAGGCTGCACAAGCCACTTAGCATCCTTGGCTGTGTTTGTGGATGGAGCTGCTCGTCAGCCTACCCTGCCCTGAAGGTGCCCTTCCAGAAACAGCTCCAGCATCTCCTCTACCAGGAAGCCTCCCTGATGGCTGAGAGTCCTCTGCTGCCTCCAAGGGCCCCCTTCACATTCTACTGCTTGGACTGCCTGCTATGGTCCTGTCTCTCTAGAAAGTCTAGAAACTTCTGAGGAGCAGGACTATGTCGCACTCATGTTGTAACCCCAGGAACTAACCCAAAGTCAGGTACACAATAGGTATTGAATAAATGCTGGACAGACGGGTGAATGAACGATAGGATCATGACAGTGCTTCAAGCCCTTGGAAGCACAGCTGTTATGGAGAAGTTTACTGCACAGTGGTAGACGGTGGCACGGCCCGAGTGCCCCACTGCCTATACTCAACCCTAGCTCTGCCACCTCCTGGCCACGTGATGTGAAGCAGGTTACTCGGTGCCTCACTTTGCTCATCTATAAAATGAAGATATTAATGGCATCCTGCCTGTGGAGGTGTTGTCAGGTGAAATTAGGTGACAGGTATAAATGTGGAGCACCTGGCACACAGCCGGTGGCCCCTAAAAATCTGCTCGTGTTATTCCACAGGTCCCAAGATGCTGCGATTCTCTGCCGTGATCCCAGAAAGTGGGTGAAACAGCCTAAACCTGTTCCTGCTGGGAGGATGCTACCTGAAACTCGTGCCCAGCTGGCGGTTCTCTAGGAGGCTCCATCCAAGGGATTTGAATTCCCACAAGCTCTCCTCCATTTAACAAGATTGAGAGTGAAAGTGAAAATGAGCCCCAAGCCCAGCCTTCGCGTGACAGCTGTGGTCAAAACTGCCGCTGTGACTGTCAGCTCCCCGGGCTGTGCGCAGAGCCTGCCGGGTGGTCCCAAGGGTCAATCATGGGGCTGGAGCTTGGGGAGGAAGGGGATCTCCACGCCCTCCCCCGAAGCCAGCTTGGGTGCAGGATGGATTCTGCACACTCCTTTCAAATTCCCCACTCTCCAGGAACCCTCCTGTCCCCCTGCCCTCTCTGCTCACATCATCTGCTGCCCTAGACTTTGGAGGCTTGAATTTCTGCACGAGGTGACTGCCAACAAATGACAAGAGCAGCCATTTAGTGAGCACGTAATTCATTTAATGGTGCTGAACACAGAGCAAGTGCTGCATGAGTATTTTGGTTAGGGTTCACTTGTACCTTTTAGGTTTAGCTCTTATGCAAAGCCTGTGGTTCAGATCCATGTGTCACCCTCAGGTCACTACGTCCCACTGCAGCAGGTATGGGGAGAATCATAACCATAACACCTTCCCTTGCAGTGAATTTCTCTCTCATATTTGTCTTTAGTTTGAACCACATAATAAATCTATAAGCGTATTATAGTTCCTATTCTATAGATGAGGAGACTGAGGCACACTAAGGGAAAAAGTGACAAGGAAGAGACTAGAGGCTACATCTGATTTTACACCAAGTATTCATCCCACACAATGAATAGCAACCACCGGATGTTTTTCAAGATTTGAGTGAAGGCCAGAATCAAACTGAAGACTATGTGTGTGTGTGTATGTGTGTTCATATTCAAAAACACTACATACACGCTACATGTATTATATATATTATATAATATACACACATAATAACATATAACATATAAGTATATAATAGGTAATTATATATTTTTATATTAATAATATAATATATATTATATATATAATATACACACATATACATACTTTCTATAAATCTACTCCAAAAGCTTCAAGGTCTCCCAAATATCACATGACCCGTAGCTAAGGCAATCCTGAAACCTGGCTGCTTGGGCTAGCCTGGGGACACACGAGGAGTCAGGAACTGGGCTGTTCCTTGGCACCCAGGGCGCTCGACCTCCTTCCTTGCAATGCTCTCTCCTTCTGCCAAAACTTATCTTTCTGATCTGCCTTTCCCCCCAGGATCCAGGGTGGTCCTAGGAAACCCAAGGAAACGCTTCCAGCTGGAGTGCTCGGAGGTGTAGGACATTGTTCTCTTCCCTTCCCGGGTCCTGTTGTTTTAGAACCTAATCAATAAAAATTAAGCTGGTGCCTGTGGGTCCTTGTCCTGTCTCCATCCAGGCCACTTTCATAGGTTGCCTCATTTTACTTTTTCAGTACTAGGGAGAAGAGTGGTCTTCCCATGGCGCGGATGAGGAGACTAAGGCCTGGAATGTATGTGGTACAGAGGTTGAGACCACGTCAGCCTGCGCCGTCTTCATCAGGCCCTCTGACACAACATTAAGGGCATGGCAAGGAGTCAGTTGCTCCGTGACCCTAAACCTCATCCCTCTGGAGGCTTCATCTCTGCTCTGGCTAAGAAATGCTCTGACCTTGGTAAGGAAGGGGGGATGGAATCCCAGCCACCTTGCCCTTGACCCCTATGAGTGGCCAAGTCGTAGCCAGGGTGGGCCTTTGGCCATGGGGGCAGTGCTCTCAAGCCTCTGGCTGCCCTGGGGCCTGGTGTCTAGGGCCTCACAGCTGCTAGGAGTTTGAGCCTTTGCTCAGACCCACACCATCAGCTAAGGAAAGCACCCACAAAGGCCAAGCTTCCAGTTTACCCCCAGCCACCACCACCACCGGCTGCGTCATCTCAGACCTTTTGATGCTGATTTCAAGCTCCCGGCTTTCGGGTGCCAGGGCCTTGGGGCTTCCAAGGCTGGGCTGGGGCTGCTGGAGGTGACTCAAGAGGTGTGCTCAGGGCTGCAGGCCCCAGCTGACTCCACAAGACAGGGCTCTTCTCTTTGTATGGAGTAGGGGTGTGACTGCCCCTACATAACCCTGTAGGAGGTGACAACCAGGGATTTGAACCTGTCCAAAGCTGGCTCTGCTCCCACGCCAGCAGACACTCTGTGCCCATTGTATAGAGGAGGAGACTGAGGCTGCATCTGAAATGGAGCGCCTCTTGCTGATCCAAATCTTGGTGAATCTCTCCCGAAGAGTCTAAGACCCTAACGAAAAGTCTTGGTAATTTATTTACTTATTGATGTACATTGAGGATGCCACTCCAAAAAGAGAGCAAGAATGATGGTGAGAGGAAGAGAGGGAAGAAGGAAAAACACAGGAAAAACCTCCCTGTAGAAGGTTTTTTGAATGTGGAAAGTGCCCTGTTGCAATGATGAGCATCCATTCTGCACAGGACATGCCCACTACCTGCGGCAGTGCCCACACCACCAGCTAAGAAAAGCACCCACAAAAGTCAAGCTTCCAGTTTACTTCTTTGGGCCCCTGAGCTATTGAGTCTCCAGGCCCATGGGTGACCTTCGTCTCCACCTCCTGAGTGAAGGGCCCTTCTGCTGCCTCCTGGCCCTGCCAGAGGCTGGCCCCTCCCCGCATCTGTGTGGCTCAGACACTCACAGCTCAGGACACAGGATTCCAGGCCCCTGACCCATATTCTGCCCAGGCACTACCAATGCCAGGATCTGCCATCTGTGCCAGTGACCAAAGGTGGGGGTGACAGGGGTGGACGGGGCTGGTCAGTCCACCTCTGAGCCTCCCCAGCACCCCTGCCCTAGCACAGCCCGCCTAGCCCTGTTCTGTCCTTTGGGCAGACAAAGACGGCGGACCCTCACCTTGGTTCCTTAGTGGCAGAAGACACAGGGGGTTCTGGAGGCTTTAACTCCAGGCAGCAGAGCGGGAAGGCTCAGGCAGGGCAGGGGGAATCCTCCATAGCCCCTCCTCACCTGCAGGGCTGGCTGGAAATCTTTTAAGTTAGATCTCACCCAAATCGGCGAGGTTCTTTTTCCTTTTTTATCCTCTCTCCTCTGAGTTCCCCTGACCCCGCCTCCATTTAAATCTTTCTCTTCTCTTTTCTCTGCTTTCCTCTCTCCTTTTTTACTCCTCTATGTCCCATTCTTTTTAAAAAACAGATAGTTTAGGAATTTCAATTTACCTTTATTTCAGCACCACCTCCCCAAAAACATTCCTCCCAACCACAAAGCTCTTAATAACTTCATTTATATTCCTGGGCGTTAATTATTCCAAACAATGGTGCTAAGGAAAGAGAACCACAGACACAAGCCACTCCTGTGACAGCTGGCTCCTGTGGGCAGCCTGATCCTCTGCAGCGCAGAAATGGAAGGACACTGGGCAGGCCCAGAGATATTTTTGTGCCTCCTTTGGGAAGGCTCTTTGGATCTAGCCTGTCCACAATATACGGGCACCTTATGATGCCTTGAGTGTGCCAGAGACATTTCCCCTGGGTGCACGATGGTCCTGTTTACCACTGCCACAGTACCTTGAGAGGCCACAGGACGCTGTGGCTTTGAATGTGGACCTTGCAGACCAAAAGGTCAGATTCCTGACTCCAACACTTGCAGCCGTCCAGCCTTAAGCAAGACTTTTAAGCTCTCATAACCTGTTTCCAGACCTGAAAATGGGAGTAACGATCACCTGTAACTCATGGTAGCCTTGACCGAAGTCAGTGAGAGAAATCTGCACACAAGCTTGGGCCAGTGCTCAACAAAGGCTTGCTGGTATGGCCTGTGTTGTTGTTCACTGTGAGGTCACCGTGCGTGGGTTAGACAGTGTCCCCCACCCCCGCCACCACAAGGCACTCATGACCCGGCCTGTTTGTGCAAGAACAGATGATGCAAACCAGCATGGCACCCAGCGGAGCTGCTGCCAGCTTCTTGGGGACGCTGTGCAGCACATGGGCCTGCCACCAGCTGTCAGGACCCGTCCAACTGTTTTGGAAGTGCCTCGAGCATCTGCCACTGTCTGCCTCATGGTGCTTCTGCCCAGGCAGAGGTCAGGGCTGTGGCGGGGGTGCTGGCCCCAGCTGGCTCTGCCTGCGTCCCTCTGAGCCCCCTCAAGCCCTCGCCTCACGAAACAAGCTTATCTTCAGAAGAGCATTCCTGTCCTGTGCAGGGGCTCAGCTTCTGCCCTGCTTCAGGCCTTCCTCATTTACCTGCCCTCCCTAGGAGTCACCAGCCTCCTTGCCTCCTCATTCCAGTGCATACCCCTGGCTTCCCGAAGAGCCACCGAAGCCAAATCTCACATCCTCCAAGGGGAATGGGCCACTGAAATGAAAATGATTCTCCACCTAGAGGCACCAGAAACCAAGTCATGTTTCTGGGCCTCCACCTCTGGGGCCTGAGATGTGAACACACGGGTGGGAGTGTAGGTGCCTGGCTGTGTCCCTTCATATCCCAGATGCTCAATGCATGTGGCTATGTGCATGCCGTCCTCTGCTCAAAAACTCTCAGAAAGTGTTCCAACTTCTTGCTTGGCCTGGAAGGATGTGCCTCTCCCTCTGGCCTCCCCTTCTAGCCTCACCCCCATTTTTCACATGCAGAACCCTTTGCCAGAGCCACATTTCACTTTCCATCATCACCCCAGGTCCCTTGACTTCCCTGCCTTTGCCCAAGCTGCTCCTCCACCTGGAGGTCTCTGTTTCCACCCTGAGGCATCCCACCCATCCTTTCAAAGGCCATGGCCTCCTTAAATGTGTCATGCATATGCGTGTGCACACACATGCATGGTATTCTTGCATCCCTGCATTCCACAGCTTTGTTGGATCTCACATAAATAACATTCCTCCATTTCCTCTCCTAATCCCCAAACAGTTGAAAGCAGAGCACATGGCACCTTGGCTGCTATGGTCTCCCACAATACCGTGCATGCCTAGGCACTCTGCAACAGCTACATTAAATTAACTCCCACTCATGAAAACCTCTATCTGTGCGCCTGGCCTGAAAGCATTTCTGAAAGTCACTTGTCTGACACAGATACCGCCCAAGACCTACAGACCCAACAATAGCATCATTGATAAGTCCTTTTGCATTTCCATTTTTAGAAGTGCACAGCAGAGTGATATTCTGAGCCAGAGTCCTCCAGAAGAATGGGTAAGTACATGCAAATTGCTGAGTCTCTGTTCATTGCATCCAAAACGAAAGTCACCAGCGTGCTGTATAACTCAAGAAAATACGAGAGAGAGGGAAAAGCAACATCACAGTTTGACTACAAGCGGTTTCCAGTAAGTACTGCAGCCGAAAATCCCCACCAGCCAAAGAATCTTTTGCAAGATCTGTATAAGAAAGTTGAAAGCATGCATTACCTGTTAGGCTCTGAAACAAGGGTACAATTCAGGGGTAATACAAAGGATTTTCTTGAAAGTGTCTTAATTCAGAACATGCTCCCCGAGTTTTCCTTCTGCCCTGGCCCCAAGCTTCTGGCTGCTCTGCCAGGCAGTTCTGAAACGCTGTCCTTTGAAGCAGGGAGTTTATTTTGGGGCCACCGCATGACCAACGTTGACAAGCCAAACTATAAGATGTTATACATCTCAGATTTCCTGTTTGGAGGTTGCACTGAGGAAGCTGCAATCCTGCCTTCCGTTCCTCCGGGTGCATCGAATACAGACTCTCACTTCAGAGAGGATCCCGGAGCTTTGGCCCTCACGTGATGTCATCATTTGTGATCCTTGACATGGAGGCCATATATGGGTATGTTTCTGGAACTACCCAGGGGAGAGCCAGACAGGAGAGAGATGCAGTGGGTCAGAGACAGAGGCAGGGAACGAGGACGAGGAGACGCATAGTTGGGAGACAAAGAGTGAGGAGCAAGGGAGGAGGAAGAAAGGGGAAGAGGAGAAGTAAAGGCAACAAAGGAGGGAAGGCAAGACAGCAGGAAGGAAGAGGATGGAGTGAAAGAGAAGGGAAGAAGGGGAGAGAGGAGATGAAGGAGTTGACGTAAAAGGGCTTTGGAGAAATCAAGGTTTGGTGCTGAGCTTGTGGCAGCATTTGGGGATAGCAGGTGTCTGGCTGCTGGATACTGTGGGGTGGGGCTGGGGATACAAAGGGCCAGGGTACAAATGAGCCAACAAACAAACACAGAGGCATGCGGGCAAGCCCTGGGCAGAGATATACAACAGAAGAGAGCCCTTCCTCCTGGTCTAGGGAAGAACGTCCCATTTCTGGAATAGGTCAAATGTCAAAGACAACACATACACAGCCACATGCACTGAGCATCCGGGATGTGACAGGACATGGCCAGGCACCTACTCTCCCACCCGTGTGTTCACATCTCATGCCTCAGAGTTAGGGGTCCAGAAACATGACTTGGTCTGTTCCTCTAAGGGGAGAATCATTTTTGTTTCAGTGGCCCATTCCCCTTGGAGGATGTGGATTTATGATGGCCACAGCATGATTTCTCACTGATTCAAACTCAGGAAACCTCAGGATGCCTTTACACGCACTTCGAATATTCCACAAGGAAATACATCTCAGTATACAAGGTGCCACGGGGTTGAGTCAAGGTTCTGGAGGTCTGACTGGTGCTAAAGATGGGAAGGACACCAGTGGTCCCCAGGCAGTCCCCCAGCTTCCCTGGTACCTGCCAAATTGCTCATCACCCCAGCTGGGTCAGTCTTCCCAGGCCACTGTGGCTGGGTGGCCCTCAAAGTTAGCTCAAGTTCAGCCCCTTCCAGACCCATGTGCTATGGAGGGAGTGTAGGAGAAGGGCAGAGAAGGGGCTGTCAGATTCTTTTTACTTTTTGGAGACTCTGCTACCCAGTAGGATGTTCCCCGAGAGACGTCTCTGTGGGACGGCTCCCCGAGGCCGGGCTGCTTTCCTGGGCTCCTTGCTGGAGGCAAAACACAGGTTCCTCTACTTCCTGCCCACCACCTGCCCCTTCCCAATCTGACCTGGAAGGTGGGCTGTGGCCAGGCCAGGCCCCTCCTAGGTTGCCCTCTGCCTCATGGGCATGCACACATGCACACACACACACACACATACACACCCCAAACTCCATCCAAGATGTGTCTATTCCTTCCCTCCCCTTGAATATGGGGTGGCCTAGTGATGGACTTAACAATAGAATGCAGTGGAAATGATGTCCTGAGACTTCCAAGGCTAGGTCATGAGATGCTTTGTAGCTGCCATGTTGTGAGGAAGTCCAAGCAAGCAACACCCAGGGCCCCCAGAGCATCTAGCACCAGGCAGAGGGGTGAAGACACCCTCTCGGAGGTGGATCCTTCACCTGCAGCTGCCACAGCTAATGCCACGTGGAGCAGAGACAAACCACCCACAACTTCCTGACCCATAAACCACAAGCTATGATAAAAGGATTGTTTCGTGCCACTGGGGATTGAGGTAGTTTGATATGTAGTAATAATCAACCCAGACACTCACCAAATATTCACTGCGGTCTCAGCTGCATGCTCCTCAGCTCTCGTGTGCTACCCGTGAACTTTTTTCTGACTTTCCACTTGTCTTTGTTTCCATTTAAAAGAAGAAAAACAGATTCAAACTAAATTTTTTTTTACCTCACTCTTTACAAAAGAATGTAGTCCCAAGTCATTTCCCAGTTCTTGGGTTTATCAGACCAGAAGCTCCTTTTGGCTGAGATTCTGTCTTACAGGGGAATTGTGGTCCCTCTAACTGGAGGGACTCTTGGCTATCCTGGTGTTCAGAGCCCTCATTTACTAGTTCAGGCCCCAAGAGGTTCTGTGCCTTCTCTGAGATCACCTGGCAATTTGGGGGCAGAATAATTCACACATTGAAAGCCATGCCAGTGGGAACCATGCCCCATGGGATCAGACGCTGATGTCCTAAAGCACAGACACTCTCCTGACAAAGGCAGGGACAGCGTTCAAGCATCTGACTCGAGCCTGTGGAGGGCAGGCAGTGTGACCCAGAGGAAAGAGAACTGTGCTGGGATCTGGCCCTAGCTGCTCATTAGAATCATATTACACTTACCTATGCCTGCCCCACCCCAGAGATTCTGATTTAAATAATCTGTGTCGAGGCCCAAACAGGACTGATTTTTAAAAACTTTTTATTAAAGTTCAGTATACCCACAAAAAAGTGCAACTTTCACATATGTACAGCCCAGTACATTTTCACAGACTGGACACACCCAACATCTGAATATTACAAGCACCTCAAGAGCTCCCACCACCCACCACCTCCTGCCAGGGGTGACCACTCTCCTGACTGCTAGCAGGACAGGTTCCTTTGAACTTCATGTGAATGAAATCATTGCGTCTCGTTTCATTTAACAACACATTGCGAGACCTGCCCATATTGTTTCATGGAGTTGTAGATTGTTATTTTAATTGCTGTGTAGTATTCCATGCTATGAATATATCACAATTTATTCATTCTACTGTTGATGGACATCTGGGTGGTTCCCAGTTTTGGGCGATGATGAAGAGTGTAGCTATGAACATTCTAGTACATGTCTTTTGGTAAATATTCATACTCCTTTCTCTTGGGTATACACCTAGGATGGGGATCACTGGGTCAGAGTTTAGGTCTTCTTTCAACTTGAGTGAAACTGTCACATGGCTTTCCAAAGTTGTGTCAGTTTGCACTCCCATCAACCAGGCATAAGAGTTCCAGTCACTCTATATCCTTACCAACAATTGGTAGATTCCATCTTTTTTCTTTTTTTTTTTGAGATGGAGTCCTGCTCTGTTGCCCAGGCTGAAGCGCAGTGGTGAGATCTCGACTCACTGCAACCTCCACCTTCTGGATTCAAGCGATTCTCTTGCCTCGGCCTCCCAAGTAGCTAGGATTACAGGTGCCCACCACCACGCCCAGCTATTTTTTTTGTATTTTTAGTAGAGATGGGGTTTCACCATGTTGGCCAGGCTGGTATCGAACTCCTGACCTCAGGTGATCTGCCCGCTTCAGCCTCCCAAAGTGCTGGGATTACAGACGCGAGCCACCGCACCCAGCCTCCATCTTTTTTCATATTATCTATTTTGATGGGCATCCGTGGCATCTTGTTGCAGTTTTAATCTGCACACCCCTGATGACAAATTACGGTGAGCATTTGAGCAGCCCTGGCCTCAGTGATCTCTGGAGCCTTTCCGGGGTCCCTAACTTTGCACAAGGCCCACCAGCTACCCTGGGAACAGCCCTCCAGGGAGGGTTTTTGTGGGGAAACAAAGGGAATAGAAGGGGAATAAAAATGCAGAGGCAGAAACTATGCAACTGATCAACCTGCAAGGGAGTGGGAAGAAGAATGTGGCCACCACAGGAAAGCCCCAGGACTCACACCTGGAACCAAGGTGGGTTTCACTCTCCCAAGCCTAACTAGAACCTGCCCTCCCTTACTCTACCCCCTCACCTGGCATTATCCTCCCTGCTGACCTATTCTATATTTATCTCCCATATGTGCATTGCCTGTTTCTTCCATCTAGAATACTTTGTCCTTCTGTTCACTGCTGTGTGTCGGTGTCTATAGCAGTGCCTGGCACATAAGAGATGCCCATTCCATAACTGTTGGACATGTGTGCCCACACTCAAGCCCACAGTCCCTGAGGCAGAATTGGGAAGGGCCTTGGTTCTGCCTGCCAACCCGAGCCTGGCCGGTGGCTACAAAGACACACACACACTTTAGGTCTCTCCCTTCCAGACATCCCTCTCTGTTTATGTCAGCCTGAATGCCCAGGAATAAAGGGGTGCATGTATGTATTGGAGAGGCCATTTGCAGGGCCCTATACCTAGTCGGGTCTAGGGGGAACCAAGACCAGCACATGTTTCTGTGACAGTGACACCTCTTCCAGAAGGAGGGAAGGAGAGTGGAGGAGGAAGAGCCAGCCAAGAGCCCCCGGGAGCTGAGCTGTGAGTCAACGCCAAGTCCTGGGCGGACTCCAGCCCAGCAATGGAACATCATCCGCTAAAATAAGCACCCCTGCGATCCTGGCGTCCTGGCTCCCAGCCCTGGCTGCCTCTTGCTGTCAGTTTATTTTGGTTTCAAGTAACCAAGCTGAAGATGGACAGACAAGAGTCTGATCCTCACCCTGGGCGGTGTTCTGAAGGGGGATGGGCAGAGGGCAGACTGCAGGGCATGGGGGAGGCCAGACAAAGGCCCCAAGTCCTGGGAGGGAGGAAGGAGCATCCATGGAAGGGGAGGAGAGGATCCAGGGAAAGAGTGAGACGTCCTCTCTTCCTTCTTCAAAATGGGCCTTTGCTCTGGAGCAATCAGGAACCAGCTCCCAGCTTACCTGCCAGCTCAGAGGGCCAAGCCAGGTCCCAGGGAGAGAAGACAGTGTTCCCCATTTATCGAGAGCAGAGCAAGGGCAGAAGCCACATGCCTCGGATGGGAGAGAAGGGGCAGGGCAGCCTTCCAGCCTATGGCACTCTACCTGTAGGGGGACACCCACTAAGGTGAGGATCCATTATCCAGCAATGTCCCCTAGGGACCGGTGAAGGGCTGCCCGCAGTTGGCTCAGGGTGGCAATGGAGGCCTCCCCTCCTGTGTCTCCTGCTGTGCCCAGGCCCCACTAGGCCTAACCCTGGCCCTGTTCTCTCCAACACCCACATGCATGTAGTGGGGGCACCAGTGGGATCTCATAAGCGTGTCACCCAAGTTAGCAGTTCTGAGGAGCAAAGTCCATTGCGGGACACTGGGCTGTTTGCAGCTGGCTGGGGGTTTCCTTCAGGCAAGAGTAGCTAAGAGAGAAGAGTGGGACAAAAAGAATGGGCAGAGCTATGACCTCAGCCTTCCTTGCAAGCCCCTGCTGTAAACCCCAACCCCTCATACAAATCTCCAGCCATCCTTGACTGGTAAGCTGCCTGATTTAGCCACTATCCCTTGACTGGTAAGCTGTCTGATTTAGCCACTATCCCTTGACTGGTAAGCTGCCTGATTTAGCCACTATCCCTTGACTGGTAAGCTGTCTGATTTAGCCACTGTGCCTGCCCATTCCAGCCCTTAGTAAGGACCTCTCCACAGCAGAAGCCCTGGCCTGTGAAGCCCAGGACTGTCTCTCATGAATACCTTGCCCCTGGTGGGAGTGCCTACTTGGTCCTGGGCTTCCCGCTTGGGAGTGCGCTTGGTAAGCCCGGTGCAGATGGTGTCTTCCTTGTTGAAGATGCCACCCATGTGCAATCCAAGTTAGCACCGCCCCATCTAGTTTCTAGTCCAGGCACTGGAGTCAGATGATCCCAGTCCATTCCTTGAATGCTGTGGGCCCCCAGCTATAGCCCTGCAACTCTCTGGATTCAGCTTCCTCTTCTGAAACTGGGGGAGTGATGACTCTCTCCCACGGTTGTTAGGGGGATTAAATGAGATCCCAGGACTCCGTAGGAGATACCCACTAATCATACCTCTTCCTCCCCACCTGCTGTCTTCAGGCCTTAAGCTGCACTTTCCTGGAGGCCACTGGCTCTATTGTCTAGCCAAGTCACTTGGCCCCTCCAGGGCTCAATCTCATCCTGTCTGAATCACCCTTGGGAACTCAGGGACAAAATTAAACCCTGAGTGGCCCACAGGCCCAAGTTAGCTGCTGGGAACAGGTTTTCCATGAGCTGGAGCTCTCTGGTGCCCTTTGGCTGGGGGGAAAGGCCTCTCCCACACCAGTCTAGAGTGCAGCAGCCCAGCCTCCTTCGCCAGGGATGCGCTGTGGCTGGGTCGGACCCTACATGTCCTGCTGGATGCAACAGCTCCGGGCCATGTGGGCAGAGCTGAGGTCAGACCAGTCTCCTCCAGCACTAACTGTGATTGGCAGTTGGGAAGGAGGGTGCCTCGTGGACACAGTCCCTGGCTCAGCCATTCTACAGCCTGAGCTCGCAGGGAGCAAAACGATTCACCTGCTCCAGACAGGCAGCTGTTACCCATTTGGCACCTGTAGTGGTGGGGGGTGCCTCCAGCTGGAGGGTAACTGCTCTGAGCTTCACTTTTCACCCTAGGCCTTGCTCCCCAGGTGTACTAGTCTATTCTCATGCTTCTATGAAGGAATACCCAAGACTGGGTAATTTATAAAGGAAAGAGGTTTAATTGACTCACAGTTCCGCATGGCTGGGGAGACCTCAGGAAACTTACAATCATGATGGAAAGTAAAGGGGAAGCAAAGACCCTCTTCACATGATGGCAGGAGAGAGAATGAGTGCCCAGCGAAGAAAGAAGCCCTTTATAAAACAATCAGATCTCGTGAGAACTAGCTCACTATCATGAGAACAGGACAGAGGAAACCGCTCCATGATTGAATTATCTCCACCCCGTCCCTCCCATGACATGTGGGGATTATGGGAACTACAATTCAAGATGAGAGTTGGGTGGGGACACAGCCAAACCATATCACCAGGGAATCCCAAGTGACTAGTGATGAGCATCGCAGAGGTGTCAGCCAGACCCTTGGTGAGGAAGGCCGGCATTCTGGGTGGGAGTCAGGGCTGAGATGCAGGGTTGGCTCAAGGGTCCTGATGACCTGAGGCTGGGCCATCTCTCCTTTTCCGTGCAGGTAGAAAGGGATGGGGCAGGCAACGCCCATTTACCAGCCCTCTCCTGGGATCTGGGCACTCGCACGGCCATCCTGCGAGGGAGGCTTTATCATCCTGATGTTACGGATGAGGAGCTGAGACCCTCATGGGACTTGCCCGAACTCGGTGATGGTGGGATCTCCATCCACACAGCCTCCGTCCACACAGCCTCGGTCCTGCAGAGGACTGAAAGATCAGAACAGCCAGGAATGTCAGACCTGGGAGCTCCTTGCAGTTCATGTTCCAACATCCTTTTCCTGAGGAAAGGGGAAGCGAATCTGGAGAATAAGAGGGGCTTGTCAGGCCTTTGTAGGAGCCATGACTTCCAGAAACCCACGGAGTGCTTTTCCATAGCTTCCTCCCATGATAATCTCATCATGCCATAGACCTTAAACCCAGGTTGTGGGGCACATTGGCAGGAACCTCACCACACTGGAGAAGGATGAGCCCAGACAGCAGGCTGGACTTTCTCATGGGCACATTCAAGATGCCTGCTACCCCCCGGAGACTCCCAGAAGTGCCTAGGGGTGAGGAGGTTGTGGTTTGCAATGGATCACAAGCCCCAGCAAGGATCCAGGGGCTTCAAGCCCAGGCATCTCGGGTGTCAGTGTCATTGTGCCTCATTGTTCCCAACCACAGGAGGTCAGGCTGGGGGCCACTCCCAGCACAGACTTGCTGGTAATGTGACTGCCCCAGATCCCTCTTCAGAACCCAGTGGCTAAGAGCCTAGAGTCTGAAGTCATCTGCCAGCTCAACCACTTGCTAGCTGTGTGACCGTAGAAAGTCTATTTAACTCTCTGCCTTGGCTTCCTGATATACATTGCAGGGAGGAGGAGAATAATATTATCCATAGCTCACAGGAAGTTTGCAAAGATTAAATTATATGACGTAGTACCCCAAGCATTCTGTGTATATATATGTGTGTGTATATATATGTATACACTCATATATATACAATTGCGTATATATTAATACAATATATACATAAGATATGTTATCATATATAATTTATATATAGTATTCATATATTTATATATCCGTATATGTATGTTCATATTCATATATGTATATATCCCTTAGAATAAAGACTTATAAATGTTAGAGGTTGTTATTAGCTTAAACTTCCTGACAGAGACAGAGGGGATGGTGGTTGGCTGGAGACAGTGGTTCTTCATTGGGGACAATTCCTGAAGACATTTTGGGTTGCCACAACTTGGGGGAAAGGGGAGGATGCTCTTGGCATCTAGTGGGCAGAGGCCAGGGGTGCTGCCAAACATCCTACAATGCACCAGGCAGGACCCATGCCTGCCCGCCCCCCGCCCCATGGAATTAGGGCCCAAATGTCCACAGTGCCATGGGGAGGAAGCCTGGCTGAAGAGCAGGGGCAGTGGAAAGTGGCTCTTAGGGAGTAGAACGGGGCATGGGCCAAGCTGACAAAGGAGTAGGTTTGGATTTCGGGAATAGCTGCCACCAGGAGAACTGAGTGGATTTCCACCGCCTTGTGACTGTTATATAATGGGATGATTCACTGAATGGGGCTCGTAAACCCGCTCTGAAGGCCACCAGCAGGGGGACACGTGGCTGTGGTTTGAGCAGCACAGAAAGAACAGCCATAGTGACCATGTGCAGGTTGGGGTCCTCCTTTAAGCAGGAAAGGGGAGCCCTAGGCAGGTCTCAGCCCTGCTTGTAGCTGGTGCATTCAGACACACACACACACACACACACACACACACACACAGATGGTGCTTAGCTGACAGCACACCACACACGCATAGTTTACATTCTTTAAGTGAAGAGGTGGATTTAACCCACCAGTTAGTATGACAGTGGACAAATGAACTAGTCTTTTTTTGAGACAGACTCTTGCTCTGTTGCCCAAGCTGGAGTGCAGTGGTGCGATCTTGGCTCAATGCAACCTCTGCCTCCCAGGTTCAAGCGATTCTCCTGCCTCAGCCTCCTGAGTATCTGGGATTACAGGCATCTGCCACCACACCCAGCTAATTTTTGTATTTTTAGTAGAGACGGGATTTCACCATCTTGGCCAGGCTGGTCTCAAACACCTGACCTCAGGTAATCTGCCTGCCTTAGCCTCCCCCAGAGTCCTGAGATTACAGGCATGAGCCACCGCACCCAGCCGAACTAGTCTTCTAAAAATAGTGAGTACCTACCTGTTGAAGTCTCCTGTTTTCTACAAATACAACACTCCATCTCTTTCTTGGAGCACATGTGTGCAGGTGTGTGTGTGGTTGCCCCAGTGTACACGTATGAGCACATGTGAGATGTGTAAACTAACAACTCTACAGGCATGTGAGGCACCTCACATGTTGGAAAGGACTTGAGCCTAACCACCAGTGTGCTGCTCTTCACCCTTCTGGAAAGTTCTGACCCTATGCAAACCTTTCCCCTCTCCAGAGCCCTGAGAAATTGAGGAAGGGAGTGGACTGTGGAGCTCTTAGGAATACAGGCCCTTCCACACTCTGAGTGCCTCTGAAACCAGATGAGCAACTGAAAGTTGCTGCATCCACCAATCTTTTTTCTCTGAGAATAAAAATTCTAATCATAAGTCAGTTGGAATTTAAATCAAGCATACCTAAATATTTTCAAAAACAGAAATAAAAGATGGGATAATTATTTTGGAAGAGTTTGTGAATCCTGGGATGCAACCTCCTGTTCCACATCATTTCAAAATAATTGGTTGTTGGATAAAATTCAGCCTCTGGGCATGGTGGCTCACGCCTAATCCCAGCACTTTGGGAGGCCGAGGCAGGAGGAGTTTGAGACCAGCCTGAGCAACCTGGTGAAACTCCATCTCTACAAAAAGCATACAAAAATTAGCCAGGCATGGTGGCATGCACCTGTAGTCCCAGCTACTCAGGAGGCTGAAGTGGGAGGATCACTTGAACCCAGGAGGCAGAGGTTGCAGTGAGCTGAAATTGTGCCACTGCACCCCAGCCTGGGTGACAAAGTGAGACCCTGTCTCAAAAAAAAAAAAAAAAAAAAGAATTCATTTAACAAACATGTTTGCTGCCAACCTTTGTGCAGACAGGTACTCTCATACACACTCGTGCACATGCATGGTCTTGTACGCACCTGGTAAGGTGACCTTCCAGGAAGCTCAGGGCCCCCTGATATGAGCTGACACTGGGTGAGGAAGGTGAGGGCATGAAAAGAAAGGGCGTTTGATATTGATATTTCTCGTGGTCCAAAGTGGCCATCTCCCCTTCACAGCTAAAAGATGGAAGCACAGAGACTTGAAAATATGTTTCTAGGTTCAGTCCGTTAATGCAGTGTCCAGATTTCTTTCTGTCTTTCCTTGCCCTTTCTCCCTTACTTCCCACTTTTCCTGGTGCCACTGAAGCCAGCCACATCCCCTCCAAACTGCACTGTCATAGCTCCTGGCCTGGCCCCTGAAGAGCGTGTGACCTGGGCAGTCACATCGACAGCCAGGGCTGTGCCCTGAGGGTGGATACACTGCAGCCCACAGGGCACTGCCAGCCCCGGGCTCTTGGGACGAGTGCTGACTGGATGCTAGTGCAGGGCCTGCCCGTGGCCCTCCTGGTGTTCCAGCTGGCCTCTCTGTCTTTGCCCTGCCCTCAGGGCCTCTGGGTTTATATTTCACAGCACTGCCTGGCCCAGTGGGATCAAATGTCTGCCGTGCCACACGTCCCAGGAAAGGACTGCAGAGGCCTTCAGATGATCTCCACGCTGCAGTACCCAGAGGTCTGGTTTCTGACCCAGGTGCCTGTCCAACCCAAGGGCTGCCGTGCATTGCCTTTTGGGAAAGCCTGGCCTGGAGAGAATCAAAGCAGGTGACTGCATTTTGCCAGATCTTCTTGGTAGGGCCTCTGCGGCCTGTGTGGTCAGCCCCAGACGACTTGCGCAGCCTCCTCTTCCTCGTGGCTCTGCCTCTGCCCCACCGTCTGTCCATCTGTGTCTGGCCTGTTGAACCCTTTTGGGCTTGGAATGCCCTCTCCCTTGGGCCGTCTGGGCCCTGGGAGTGGCTGGCGTGGGGTTGGTGTGGGCACTGGGCCAGCAGCCTGGCTCCCTTCCTCTTCCCTCCACTCTCTGGAGGCGGGCAGCCCCAGGTCCTCACCTGTGACGCAGGAGTCAGGACTGCAGCAGCTTCCTAACGGGCGGGAGTGAGGCTTCAAAGAGGTAACACTCCAGCAAGTCCGTGACAGGGGCTGCAGGAGACGAGTGCCCAGAAAGTGGAACTATTATTATTTTTATCCTCAAGGCACAAATTAAATGCCATGAGCCCTGCTAAGTGCCAGAAGCAGTGTCAGCTCCTGGAATATAGACTTCCTACCCACAGGAGGTACAGCCTCAGGGAGGACAGCGCGGGAGGGAGGTGGGAAGGAGGGAGTGGGGGAGGGGAGGGGCCAGGGAGAAACAGTAGGGAGGTGGGGCATCTGGAAGGAGGAGTGAGAGGAGGGGTGAGGCCAGAGAGGAGAAGAGGGGTGGGGCCGGAGAGGAGAGGAGGGGATGAAAGGAGGGGATGGGAGGAAGGGGGTGGAAGGAGGGGTGAAGGTCAGGGAGGAAAAGTGAGTGGTAGGGGAGTCTAGAAGGAGGAGTTGGAGGAGGGGTGGGGCCAGAGAGGAGGGAATGGGAGGAGGGTATGGGAGAGGGGATGAGAGAGGGGATAAGAGAGGGGATGAGAGAGGGGATGGAAGGAGGGGATGGGAGGAAAGGATGGAGGAGGGGATGGGAGGAGGAAATGGGAGGAAGGATGGAAGGAGGGGAAGGGAGGAGCAGATGGGAGGAGGGAGAGGAGGGCATGGGAGAGAGGACAAGAGAGGGGATGAGAGAGGGGATGGGAAGAGTAGATGGGAGGAGCAGATGGGAGGAGAGGATGGGAGGAGGAGATGGGAGGAGGGGATGGGAGACAAGATGGGAGGAGGGGATTGGATAGGGGATGGGAGGAGGGGATGGGAGACGGGGTGGGAGAGGAGATGGGAGAGGGGATGGGAGGAGGGGATGGGAGAGGGGGTGGGAGGAGGGGATAGGAGAGGATGGGAGAGGGAATCGGAGGAGGGGTTGAGAGAGGGGATGGGAGGAGGGGATGGGTGGAGGGGATAGGACGAGGGGATAGGAGGAGGGGTTGGGAGAGGGGCGGAAGGAGGGGATGGGAGAGGGGATAGGAGAGGGGTTGGGAGAGGGGTGGAAGGAGGGGTTGGGAGAGGGAATGGGAGAAGGGGATGGGAGGAGAGCATGGGAGAAGGGATGGGAGGAAGGGATGGGAGAGGGCATGGGAGGAGGGGATGGGAGGAGGGGATGGAAGGAGGAGATGGGACGAGGGGATGGGAGACGGGATGGGAGCAGGGATTGGAGGAGGGAATGGGAGGAGGGGATGGGAGAGAGGATGGGAGACAGCAACAGCAGAGCCTTAAACCAAGCACTTCTGAGTGCGGGACGCTGTGTGCCTGCAGATCCATGAGATCCTGATACAAAGAGATTGTGTAAACTGCAATGTTTGGGGTCCATGCGAGAGATGGTGAGAGAGGGCAGGGGAGTCTCAATGAACACATGGGTAAATAGCACCCACCTTATGTAAAGTCAGGCCTCATCCTCCAGCCAGAGTTACTGAGATGCTTGACAGCTGCCGCAGACCCTAGGGAGTTAGATTGGCTATCCTCAAAATGGCCAGCCATCCCTTTAACGCTGTCCCAGACACCTGGCTCCCAGGTCAGAGGCATTGCAGCCCAGGACCCAGGATAAGAAGCACAGACTGTATGAAAATTTCGGGCTGCTCTGTGATGCAGTGACATCCAGCACTGGGTTGGATGTCAGAACACACCACTTGCCTCAGTTGTCCAGTCCCATGCCTCTCCCTAGAGCAGATGCTGCTCAGAGCGTGGTGCTCCTATACATGCAGGAGCCATCAGTGGCCCTGGCATGCTCAGTGGGGCACATGGATGGCCTTTCTCCTCCACACCCTTCCTAGGAAGCCATCAGGATTTCATCCAGATGCAATGATTCTCCTGGCTTTGGGATACTTAGAATTGAAAGAGGTCAAATAATAGCCTTCAAACTCACATTGACCTTGTTCCTCATGCCCACCTGGGTCCCCAGGGCCCCCAAGATCAAAACCCAAGATCAAGACTCATTCTTAGTGAGTCTTGTAGGTCTTAGAGGGTCTTTGCTGAACCAGCCCCGATGTGCTGTAGGTTAGAAGCCTGGGAGGGCTCCACTGGGTTCTTTTCTTTGGGTCCCATTAGGCTGAAGTCAAGGTCGGGCCTCTTATCTGGAGGCCCTGGGGAAGAATCTACATTCAAACTTACTCAGGTGGTTGGCAGTGTTCAGTTCCTTGCAGCCGCAGGCCTGAGATCCCTGTTTCCTTTCTGACTGCTGGTCGGGCCTGTTCTTAGCTCCTAGTGGCTTCTCTGGTCTTTGCCCTATGACCCCTGCCATCTCAGCAATGAGAACCTCTGTTCTCTATTCCCATTGAATCCCTCTCACCCATTCAATCTCTTACTTCCTCTTCTACCAGCCACAGAGAAAATGCTCTGCTTTAAAGGGCTTGTGTAATCAGTTAGACCCGTGGGTAATCTTCCTAGTTCAAGGTCAATTGATTGGTAAACAACATCTGCAAAATCCCCATTGTCATGAAAGGTGACATGATCATAGATGTGACTGCTCACCACATTCACAGCCCCAGGGACTAAGGGGAATCCTGGGGGCTTCTTAGATCTGTTTCTTTCCTAGACCATCTCGAGTCTGTTTCCTTCTCGGCTTTCAGAGTACCACTCTCCTGGTCTTCCTCCTTCTTCACTTCACCTCCTACTTGACCTCGTTAGCCGTGTTCTCCTACCACCATTAAGAACATCAGGAATCCATAAAAAATGATAAGAAAGAGGGCTGGTCCAGGCCACCCAGGGATCTGGCAGAAGCCACCCCAGCCTGGAGTGGACTGAGCCACTCTCAGTTCCTGCTCCAGGCCAGCCTATTTTCCAGGAGCTGGGGACATCTCCTTCCAAGCCCAGTAGATGGAATGACTGCCCAAGGTCAGGTAGTCCCATGGGAGATTTTGGGAAGCTCCGATTCACCCTCTAGTGGACTGTGAGGGGGCAGCTCTGACAGATTGGGGTGCACATTGGGGTGGGTGAGCCAGAATTGGCCCTTTCTCCAGCTTGGCTGGAGAGCATTCAGGAGAGGCCTGGCCTTTGGGGCAGAAAAAGGCCACAGATGCTAGATCTGGGAGTGGTCCTGCACCAGGCATGATAATAGTGACAATAGTGATGTCTTTTGAGCACTTTCTTTGGGCTAGATGCTGAATGCTTTACGTATACCAGCTAATTTCATCTCCACAGCAACCCCAGGAGGTAGGTAATATTGCTAATCTCATTTCATGGAGGAAGAAACTGAGGCTAGGTGAGGGTGAGGGACTTGCCCAAGGCCAGGCAGCTCATGACTGATGAGAGCTGCCAAGGGGTGCCTGACCTGCCATTAGTGTTCTTTTCATGCTGAAGCACGACTCTATCAACCTTCATGCCAACATTAAGAAAGTGGTTTTAATAGGAAGAGACTTTCTGTGTGGGAAGTTGTTAAACTAGGACTGAGGCAGGGGACACCGGAAGAAACTTATTTGGATTCAATACAAGAAAGGGCAGATGTTCTAGTGGTCACAGTGACCCAGAGGTGGATGAGGAGGCTACCGTGGGAGGGGATGAGCTGCCCATCACTGAATATATGAAGTGAAGAGGCCATTCTCATTTACTGAGATCCTAGTATGACAGACACTGTGCTGAGTGCCTTACCTATGTCATCATTAGGCCCTCACAGCTCCATCACATAGGCAATGTTGTTGTCCCCCACTTACAGACGAGGACACAGAGGCTCAAAGAGATTGAGTGATTCATGATGGCTACACAGGTGGTTGGTGCGAGAATCGTGACTCAAACCCAAAGCCGTGCATCTCCGAAGCTCTGTCTGTATGCATACATCTATCGAGCGCCTGCTGTGGGTCCAGTACTATTCTTCTAGACACGGAGACTCCAGCAGGGACAATTCGGTCCCAGTCCTTGACCTCATGCAGATCACATTCCAGTGGGGAGGGAGAAAATCCACAGGAAGGAGTGCTAAAATAGAGCCACACAGGGGTGAGGTCATCAAGGGTAAGCTGCGGTTGCGGTACCTGAGATGGTCAGGGAAGGCCACTCTGAGGAGGAGCTGGGATCTGGAAGACCAGAGGGAAAGAGTGCTATGAAGAGCTTGGAGACTTGTGCTCCAGGCCGAGGGAACCACAGGTGCAAAGGCCCTGCGGCCAGGAAGGAGAACAGAAAAGCCACTGTGAGAGGAATAGGCAAGGAGGAGCCAGGGCATCTGGAGCCTCATCAGCCAGAATGTGAACTTCATCTGTCATGTTTTAAAGTGGTGGTGTGCTGTAGCCAGCTCAGACCAGCTCATAAGAGCCAGTGTTAAGTCTTCAGGCATTTTGCAAACAGGTTGTTAAATTGTGAGTAGCTTGAAATCAGCCATGGCGGGCGGATTGACACCACAGAAACTGATGAATGCCATACATCTTGGCTTTTCTCCCATTCACTGTTGACCTGAACATCACTGGTTTTGGCAGGGAAATGCGGAGATCTGGTTTTCGCTTTAAGACGAGCTCTCTCTGGCTGCCAGGTGGAGAGTGGCCCGCAGGGGACAGGAGCAGAAGGAACAGCAGGGAAGGCCAGTGCTTGCTCCAGGTGGGACCAACATGGGCCAGCGAAGAGAAGTGAAGAGATTCCAGAGACTTTGGAGGCAGAGCTCACAGCCTTGCCGGGCCAACCCCCACCAAGAGATTCATAGCAGGAGGTGACAAGGTGGCATGGAGGGGCATGACTTGAACCCAGGCCTGCAGGGTCCCTAAATTCATTCTGTGCCCCACACCTCAGTGATTCTTCCTAGGAAGGTGATGGTTCTGGGACAGAAGAAAACAGTTGATGATGCCCTGGCTGCCCCTCAGCCCTGGTTCCCTCTGGTCAGAGCAGCCCCTTCCCACACTGCCTCTTGGGAGGGCATCTCCTCTGAGCTATTCCAGGGAGGTGAGGGGTGGCAGGATGTCAGTGTCATAGACACCGGAAGGCCCAGAACTCCACTGTGGCCCCTCGGACCATGACCAGAGCCTCCATCCTCCACCACGGGAAGGCCCTGTCTTGGGAGAACTGAGCTGGAGACAGCCTTACAGTGTCCTAGGACCTGCTTGGGTGATTCCCCAGCTCTGGGACCTGGAGCTTTTCCTGGTGCAGAGCAAGGATGAGGGTAGGGGCACAGGGAAGTGGGTGCTGGGCCAGGCTGAGGGCCTCAGAGGAGGTGGGGCCCCAGCACAGCTTCCTGGGCCCAGGATGCCCTGGGTTTTCCTCTTGTGCTAGAAATGGAAGGAGGGGATAGAGGTAGACTGCTGAGATTCTGTCTCAACGGGGGAGGAGCTACGTCGTGCCAGGTCTTAGTAAAATTCTGGCCGAATCAATAGGCCAAGTTTGTCTCCCTTGCACCCTCTCACCTCTTCCCACCAGAGCCACCTTTGCCAGCCAACCCCAGCAACCTCTGCTGAAGCTCCTGTGCTCTTGCATTAGGGGATCAGCCCATTGTGATCCTCTGGAGGGGGAGAGAAGAGGTGGGCAGGAAACAAAACTAACGCCCATCGAATACCTACGACGGGTCAGCTCTGGGCTGCTTGCTTTCCTAAAGGGTCAGAACAGATACTCTCTTAAAGAGTTGTACCAGTTTAAAAGTTTCCGCTTTTCCCTGCCCCTAAGACATAAAATGTTCGTTCATATCTTTCTAGACTTTCTCCTATGCACACATGGGTTAACTCTACAAAAACGAGAAGATGCTAAGTGTTGTACGTGGACTATCTCGTTTAATCCCTGGGTGCTATTACCCACACTTTGCCTTTCAGGAAACTGAAACTCAGAGAGGTCAGTACTTTTCCTGAGGCCACACAGCTGGTAGCCCTGCCTCAACCCGCAGCCCCACTCTGCATCCTGAGCGTCAATGGCTGAGGAAGGGCCGGCCTTGGCCCTGTTTAGGGGCATTTGGGGCTGTAGAGCAGATGGGGTGAATTCTGCAGAAGGCCTGATCAGGCCCTTCCTTCTGCTGTGCCTGGTGACCCAAGCCTGGGGGCAGATTCCAGCCCCAGGAGTCCTTGTTAAGGTTTTTGAAAAGGGGTCCTATTGCCATTTAATTGCAGCTCTGTCCTTGTAGCAGGTTCCCAGCTCCCAAGATTCCCAGCTGCCTGTAACAGACAGACTTGCCTTGGATTTCTCTTGTCCAAGGCCCAGGGGGTAGAGGCTAGTCTGGGAGGTGAGAGACCTGCGCCCCTCACCGCTGTGGAACCTTGGCAGCTCCTGTCTCTCTGCCTTGATCATTTCTTTTCTTCTTAAGTTCCTTTCACCCTCCATGTAAGTGCTTGAGTCTTCCCCTAATTAGGGAAGGGTGGGGTCTGCTGGTTGAGTGAGGCTGGGGAAGGGGGAGGAAGAAGAGGAAGAGCCAGGGCGGTGAAGAGGGGTCTGAGGCAGGCCTGTGGGTTTTAAGGAGCAGGATGGAGAATAACTACATCTGGAATCCCTGGACCTGGGTCCACATCCCAGCGTGGGTCGTATGCAGTTATGCAGGATCTGTACTCGCAAGAGTCCACATTTGGCTTTATCTTCTGCTATTGCATCTTGAAGTTCTTAATAATTTTTGTGCAAGGAGCCCAGCATTTTCATTTTGTACTGAGCCCCACAAACTGTGTAGCCAGCCCTGTTACCTTGTATTAACTGTGTACCCTTGGGCAAGTTACTTCGCCTCATAGACTCAGTTTTCTCATCTGCAAAATGGAGCAGTGCTACCACCACCCTAGAGGACCGTTCTGAGAATGAAACGAGAGACTCCCAGTAAAGAGTCAGGCAGTGGCAAATCCGTGATAGGACTCAATCCCTGGTGCTTGTGACAGTCACTCTTTAGGGGCCTGGGTGGGAGAAACGGCTCCCAAGGAGCTGCAGCCTCTCCCAGCCTTGTCTGTGTGTTCTCTCAGTGCCTATGGGACACTTCAGGCCAAAAATGAAATTGTCACTGGAAAACAAATAGTGCCACCATCCCCACTCCAAACCTACCTGCCCACCCCCACCTATGGGGTCAAGTGGTTTACAGCCTTGAACTTCTAGGAAGAAAAGTCCTGGAATTTTTGAGCGTGGGAAGGGACGAGGGTCTGGCGAGCCTTCTCCAGCATCTGCTTCCGGCCAGAGGAGGGTCAGTGGTCTGACTGTCCCCAGTGAAGGTCCCATAACCAGAGGTGCTAATGGAGTCTTCCCCAAGAACAGCCTCCCGCTGTGGGACCCCCTATCCATCACTTTCAAGGTCCTAACCACTCAACCTCCCAGATGGTTCTGGATCTTGACTTTCTGGATTAATATCAAAACTATTTTGGGCAAGTTACTTAGCCTCTCTGGGCCTCAGCTTTGCCCTCTGTGAAATAACAGCTTTGACGTCGGTGTGTCATGAAGATGAATGAACCCCTGCATGGAAGTGCTTAGACCTGAGCCACACAGACATGAGTCACTCCCGCTGCCACGCTGCCAGCCTCACCGCCACTCTGAGCCAGACAGCATGCTCAGAAATGCTCTGACCATTTCTGAGTGGGCAGAGATGATGATGAAGCTGCCTCCTCCCTAAGCAGGCTGCTTTCTGAACCAGCTTCGGCTCTCACCCTGTGACTCCTTCCAGAACTTGTTGGAAGCCAGCACTTACTGAAAGTTCCCAGGCATCACGGTGGCCAGGAACTGAAGACTTGGGGGTGATGGGGTTGTACCAGTTATAGGGCTGCGAGGGAAACAAGGCCCCTACAGAATGGTACCCTGGACCTATCCGGAGCTGGGGATGCAGCCCAGTTGTCCCTGAGCCTCCTCAGCCTGTTGTCCCTGAGCCTCCATGGAGGAGCACCTGTGGGTTCTGTTGCTCAGCTGTCCCGATTCCTTGGGAACAGCGCCAGGGTTTGCACTGGGAAACTTCCGGGCCCCAATGCGGGCTCTTAGGATATGACTGTCAGTCAAGCCAAGGGGTGGGCACATGGCCCAGGCTCAGCCAATTGGGCACCCTCTCTTGATTCTTGAGAATGGAGAGGATGATGAAAAGGGGTTGGGAAGGATTCATTCTGGGGGCGCCTCCCTGAGTTCCTGCCGCATGGATCTCCAGGGCTGCCCTGAGCCCCTGTCCTCTCTGGATTTTCAGCTTTTCTTCTGATTCTGCACCTCCCTACAGCCTCCCATGCATCTCTCCTTGCCCAGAGTAGCCCGGACAGTCTCTGCTGCTGGCTGATACCCTTTGACTCCTGCCAACAGCTTCACCAGCCACGGTCCAAACCACTCCCACCCTGATCGCCCCCTTCTGCTTTGAAGGCGCTGCCTACGGTTTGCGCAGGATGTGCAAGCTGTTCCGTGCCTCCGAACCTTTGTCCCTGCCATTCCTTCTGCCAGAATGCCCTTCCCACCTTCTCCTTTCATTCTTATCCTCGTGAAACACCTCGGACACTGCTGACTCTGGGGGACTCCCCCACCCCTCCTTGAACTGGGCTGACTCCTTCTCTGGGCAACCCCAGCCCCTGAGCTCCTCTCCCTCTGCATCCACGTCCCCCACACCTGCATCCACCTCCCTCCTGAGTCTGAACCCAAGGCCAGAGCAAGGACCCTTCACCTTCATTCTCAGTCGGTGCTCAGCACATAAGCGAGGGGCTCTAGGACCATGGAGAGGCAGCCCTGGGCACCTGTCAGGGACTCCTGGGCTGGCTGGGGCTGATCTCACTGCCTGCTGGTAAGGGGTTGTGAGGGGGATGAGTCCAAACCCCTGCCCCTGCCCCTGAGCCCAGCCCCGACCCTGGCCCCAGCCCGAGCCTTTGATCCAGATCTTGCTCCAGCCGTGCCCCAACTCCAGCCACAGACCTGAACCCCCAGCCCTTGCTCTGCCCCTGCAGAGACCCCCGCCCTCCCTCATTCCTGGCCCCCACTCTGGCTCAGGCCCTGCCCTGGCTCCTGCCTCCTTCACCCTCTCTGGGGACCTTCCCCACCCACAACGTTCCTCCCAGTGGAGCCCACACTGAGCTGTGGCTTCCCAGGAGCCATCTGAGGTTGCCCAGCTCTGAGCCAATGGAAGCCTTTGAGGGGGAAGGCCAGGCCAGCCGGCAGGGTGGTGCGTGTGGTGGGGGTGGGGTGTCAGGGTGGGCAAGAGGCCCAGCCCTCCCCACCCCACCTTCCCCGGTGGCACAGGTCCAGTGGCTCCAACAGGAGGTTCACCGCCAAGCTGTAGGCAGGGGCAGTTCCCAGACATGGGTCCTTCAGCTTGCTCCCACCCCCTGCACGGAACCAGGCCTGGTCCTGAGCCATGGGTGGGGCTGAGCCTTGGGGGGGCTGATGGAGAAATGCCTGAGCTGCAGCCACCAAAATCAGGTGGGATGGGGTCAAGGGAGAGTCCCGGGACAGGTCAATTGGAACTGGGCAGCACATAAAGCAGACCAGCCTTGACAGAAAGGACAAAAATAGCCCAAGTCTCACATGGGGTTGCCAGTGCCCTTTCTCCCCATCTTCTTGGGAACGGGACTGGGAGTTGGGGGTGGGAGGTTTTAGGACCATGGAGAATCTGGCCCTCCACCCACAGGTGGATCCTGCAATGGACACATCATAAGGACAGAAGCCAGCATTGTGATGTCACAGCCTGGCTGTGGCTTTGTGCTCCTGGAGCTGTAGGTGAGTCAGCTAGGCCCCTTCCTCCTCCAGTGCCTGTCTACCTATGTTTGATGCTTGGGGCTAGAAAGACTGACCTTGTAGCCCCTCACCTTCTCTCCCCAATGCACTGGGCTGGTTCAGCAGCTGACCAATGAGGGTCATGCTTGCATACTGGCCTTGGGTGAGTGGCTCAGGAACAGTTTGCAAGACCGTGTTGAAGCTACTTGTAACTAGACCATTTTCCCAGCTTGACCATGAGCTTCTTCAAGGCATCTCTTCTCAGTCTCCACTGTAGCTCTGTAAGACCTGTATGAGCTCAGAGCATGTAATGTTGGTTAAGTGAATAAATGCATGGATGGGGGGTGGGTGGGCAGAGATGATGATGAAGCTGCCTCCTCCTTAAGCAGGCTGTTTTCTGAACCAACTCTGGCTCTGACCCTATGACTTCTTCCATCATTTATTTGAAGCCAGCACTTGTTGAAAGTTCCCAGGCATCTTGGTGGCCAGGAACTGAAGACTTGGGGGTGATGGGGCTGTACCAGTTATAGGGCCGCAAGTGAAACAAGGCCCCTGCAGAATGGCACCCTCAACCTCTCCAGAGCTGGGGATGCAGCCCGAAGACCTTGGACTTGGGATTTAATGAGCCCTGGGTCCTCATCCAGTCCTGCCAGATGACCTTAAGCTGCTCACAGCCCCTTTCTGAACCTCTGTCTCCTTTTCTGTGAGGTGGGGATGCTAACCCTGGCTTCCAAGGATCTGAAGAGGAAGCTGCGGCTGTGACTGTCCCTTTTCGGTCTGTCTTCATCCTGCCTGACTCACGGGTCTCCTGTCCTCCTGCATAGCTTGCGGTGGTGAGGTGATGGCAGCCATGGACACAGGCCAGAGAGCTGACCCAAGCAATCCTGGTGACAAGGAAGGGGACCTTCAAGGGCTGTGGCAGGAACTCTACCAGCTCCAGGCTAAGTATGTGTTGTCCCACCCCTGCCCCAGCCCCAGCCCCAGTGCTTCCCCAGTGGGCTAAGTGGCTGGACTTAGCAAACATGTCCCCGAGGAGGCCAGGACAGGGGGTGGATGAGGAGGGCAGTGTGGCTTGGAAGCAAATGGGCGGGGTGGGGCTGAGCAACAGCTGTGACGGGAGAGAGAAGAGGTGTGGCTATTGCCCTTTGGCCTGAGATCTTGGGCCAGTCCCGGGCCCTCTGCAGGCTGAGCCTCTACATCAGGAAGGAGGACTGTGGGTGACCATCCGTCTGCACCTGTCCACTCGGCCCCTCTAAGGCCAGTCTACGAGGTTGCCGCCTTGACTCTTAGTGGTGACCCTGGGTCCTCACCCCATGGGGATGGGAGGTTGGGGAGATAAGACATTTCAGGCTACCCACAAAAGCCTGAATTCGATGCAAAAGGATGTGTCTATGCAAAGTTTTATGAAGAAAAGAGCTGACCCAACAGATTCAGAGGCCTTCCTGATCCCAATACGGTTTAGCACTGTCACGGCTCACAGGGCCCCACGTGGTATCTGTGGGAAGGATGATGTTGTCCTGCACTTTTCAGAATCATACGGATGAGAGAGGGAGGGCCCAGAGAAGCAGAGGGGCTTGCCCTGGGCCACTCAGAAACCCCCAGCACAGCCCCTGTTGGACAGTCAGAGTGGCTTGGGAGCTTGGCCAGCTGGCCAGGCCAAGCCCCACTCTGGTCTCTGCCCTTGACTGCTGACCTTGGCTGGGTCCAGAGCAGGTGACCTGTTGGTGACTTGCTTAGGGATTCCCCAAAGAGTCAAGTATGGTCAGGCAATAGCACGTGGCCGCCTCCCCTCTGGGGGCTGGTGGGGCCCCCACCTCTGATGGAGTGCCCCCAAGGCACTGGGAGCCCCACGCATGACCCTGGCCAGCAGCTCACATCATCCCTGCTGTAGATGGGCAACCCGGGCACAGAGAGGTGAAGCAGCTGGCCCCACGTCACCAGCTAATAGGGGCCGGCCTGTCTCCTGAGATGGCAGCCACCTGCACAGCCTCCAGGGGAGGCACTGAAGACTCTGGCCAGAAAGGCTCAGCCTTCATTCTCCCCCAGATACCTTCTTTGCTGCCTGGGAGATGCTGCTATGGGCGTTTATTTGATCTGCTTGTGGCTCAGTTTGCTCAGCAGTGAAATGAAGGTGCAGAGACTCCTAAGTCTATGGCCAACTGATAAAGTGGTACGTGGCCGGCCCAGTGCACGTCCAAGCAGGAGATCACAGAGGGTGGTCCAGGTTCATTCACAGGGGGTCCTGCGTGACCTGGGAGCCTCCAGGCCATGTTCCTGCATCTGGCTCTACAGGCAGAAGAAGCTCAAGAGAGAAGTCGAGAAGCACAAGCTTTTTGAAGACTATCTGATTAAGGTCCTTGAGAAAATCCCCGAGGGTATGTACACAGCTTCCTCGGAAAGCCCTTTCTCTCCACAGCCACCTACTGGCTGCAGGACTGCGACACCGTGTGTGGCCTCATGGAGCCACGAGCTGCTCATCTACAGAATGGGAATCCACAAAGGCCAACCCCACAGTAGTGGGGAAGGGCTCAGGCAGCCGAGTCTGACTGCTTGGTCCCAACTCCAGCTCCACTGTCGCTAACAGTGTGGCCTCTGGCAAGTTCTCAAGGCCTTGATTTTCTTATCTGTACAATGGGAACAGCAATAATTATGTGGACTAGATGAAGTCATCCTTTATAAGCACAGCACAGGGCCCCACATTTAGCTAGTACCTGGTAAACGTTGGCCATTATTATTATTATTTTGTTTGTCTTTGGTTTTGTGTTTTTGTGTTGCTATTATTAACTAAGAGTATAAGGACATCTGAGATGAGGTTTTCTGTGTTGTTTTATGAGTACTGGAAACTCATTGGAAAAGGGAAGGGGAGTCACACATATTTATTGTTATCATTATTATTTCAACACCATCAATAATAATTATTACCATTTATTAAATATGTACCCTGTGCTAAGCTCTTTAGCAAATCTTTTTTACCCCTCCTATGAGCTTTGCACTACTGTGTCACTCAGGCTCAGAGAGGGTAACGAACTTGCCCAGGGTCACCCAGTCAGGAAGTGGTGGCACTGGGCTCAGACTCTGGTCCGTCTGACTTCATAGCCACTGTACTAAGTGCTAGAATGAGAGGAGCTATGGAAACTCCAAAAACTCTGCCTTGGAGATCAGGGAAGGCTTCCTGGAGGAGGCGACCTCTCATGGGGCTCAAATGGGTGCAGCAAAGGAGAATGACCCTCAGGCAGAGGGAGGGACACAAATGTAGGCAGGAGCCATAGGGCTGCGAGGTGGGTTTAGGGGTGGTGAGCTCCGGGCTGCTGGGCGATGTGGCTGGGAGGCTGGGGATATATACTGAGTACTGAGCCAAGGAGGAGTCAGGGCTGCAGGTCAAGCATGGGGCTTGCGGCAGACCCAGCACCCAGTGCTGCTTGTGGTTTGGGACCTTCCTAATTCAGCAATTCTGCCCTGTTCAACCCATCCAAAATGCATAACCACCAGGACTTGGCACTTGCTCGCTCAGGACAGGAACAATTCCTATCCCCCTCTCAGGCTGCTCCAAGCAGCAACATCTCCTTGAGGGCAGTCTCCCGCCTCGCTCGGTGGTCTTGATCCAGAATCCCTGTCTCAGTCTCTGGCTGAACTTTCCAAGGTTGAGGATTCCCTTGAAGTGGAGGGGGCGGGAGGGCGGGGGGGCGGGTGTGGATGGCAAGCCCGGGACCATCCTACTGTCTGGGGTCATCCTACTGTCATGGACTGTCTGGCACCTCTCAATTTTGTGGCCCCAGCTGGAATTCCTGGCCACCCTGTTGGCATGGCCCACTGCAGGGGCACCCACCCATCCCGCCATGGCGCTGTCTCCGTAGGCTGCACGGGATGGGAGGAGCCGGAGGAGGTGCTGGTGGAGGCCACGGTGAAGCACTACGGGAAGCTCTTCACAGCCAGCCAGGACACGCAGAAGCGCCTCGAGGCCTTCTGCCAGATGATCCAGGCTGTCCACCGGAGCCTGGAGTCTCTGGAGGAGGACCACAGGGCTCTCATGTTGGTAACAGCTGCTTGAAGTCTGCTCCATTCCCCGTGGCCCAGGGAGCTGGGGGCGTGGGGCCCCCTTTCCTGCATAGCCCTGGGGAAGGCCTAGAGGGAGCAGCGGCGTAATGCTGGGGGGCCCTCGGTGGGGCTGTCGCTCCTGAGCCGCCTTCCATATCCCCTTCCTCTCCCCTCTGCTGCCTGAGGCTCAGCTCGTGCCTAACGTTGTTCTGCGTGGTAGAAAAGCCATGTGTCCTGGATGCAGAGGGACTGGAGCTCGGCTCCCAGCTCAGCCACTGACTAGCTGTGTGACTAGTTTGTAGCCTCTCTGAGCCTCAGTTTCTGCATCTGTCAAGTGGGGGCAACACACCCTAGTTGCTAGCGTCCTTGCGAGGCACCAAACACAAACTGCCTCAAAGTAAGTGCCAGAGACATCATTTCCCTTCCCTTCCTTTGTAGTTATCGCATAATAAATAGGACTTCCGCTGGGAGGGATGGGCACTCCAGGTGGAAGAGCCTGCCCTGACAAAGGCGTGGCATCATGAAGATTCATGCTGCCACTGGGACCGGGGACTTCGGGATCCCAGAGGAAGGATGACCAGCCGGTTGGTTCACTGCAAAGGGTTGCTGCGTAGTTTTGGAGAGAGCATCTGCCCCCTAGTGGCAGCGCTGCAAGCCTGCACCACGTTGTACCATTTCTTTGGAGAATGGAATTCATGGATGGGCTGGGCACTGCGTGAAGCACTTTACATGCTTTATCTCACTTAAATATCACGCCAGCACCTCTAGGTAGGTGCTACTATTCCAAGGGCTGGGACTAGGGAAAGGCAAGTCCAGCCATGCTATTCTTCCCATTTTCGAGGGGAGGAAAGTAAGCCTCAGAGAAGCGGGGCCACGGGGGTATGTCCTGCGTCTGTCTTTCTCTCTCTCTTTCTTTCTTTCCCTCTCTCTCTCGCCCCCTCTCTCTCTTTCTTTCTTTCCTTCTTTCTTTCATTTTTTTGGGAGACAGGGTTTCACTCTGTCGCCCAGGCTGGAGTACAGTGGAGTGATCTCGGCTTACTGCAGCCTCCGCCTCCCAGGCTCCAGCGATTTTCCTGCCTCTGCCTTCCGAGTAGCTGGGATTACAGGCGTGTGCCACCACACCTGGCCTGTTCTGTATCTTTCAAATTCCTATCCCACAGGGCCTGGCCAGGGGCATGTATTAGTTCCTTCTCATGCTGCTAATAAAGAAACACCTGAGACTGGGTAATTTATAAAGAAAAAGGGGGCCAGGTATGGTGGCTCACTCCTGTAATCTCAGCACTTTGGGAGGCCAAAGCGGGCAGATCATTCGAGGTCAGGAGTTCAAGACCAGCCTGGCCAACATGGTGAAACCCCATCTCTACTAAAAATACAAAAATTAGCCAGGCATGGTGGTGTGCGCCTATAATCTCAGCTAATTAGGAGGTTGAAGCAGGAGAATCACTTGAACCCAGGAGGCGGAGGTCGCAGTAAGCCAAGATTGTTCCGCTGCACTCCAGCCTGGGCAAAAAGAGTGAGACTGTCTCAAAAAAAAAAAAAAAACAAAATTATAAAGAAAAAGAGGTTTAATGGACTCGCAGTTCTACATGGCTCGGGTGACCTGACAATCATGGTGGAAGGTGAAGGAGGAGCAAAGGCACATCTTACCTGGTGGCAGGCAAGAGAACTTGTGTAGGGGAACTCCCCTTTATAAAATTATCAGGAACTGGGGCTCAGGTAAACTCCATCAGCCTGGACACGCCCTTTTCTGCATCTCTGGTGCCTTGAATGGCCCCAGCCACCCACAAGTATTCCTTCCTCCTATCCTGTCATTGCACAGACCACCCTGGGGACTCAGACCAGGGCATATGCCCTGGAGGGTTTGTTGTACCAAGATGGCCCATTCCCTCTGCCCCAGAGCCTCAAGATCCGGCTGTGTCAGCTGCAGAAGAAGTGCTACCGCAAGCAGGAGCAGTGGTGGCAGCTGAAGCACAGCATCACTTACCAGAAGGACATTGACTTTGACACACACACCAGCAGCAGCTATAATGTGAGTCCAGTCTTTCAGCCTGGGGGTGGGGTTAGGGGTGGGGAAGGGGAAGCTGATGTCTCCATCATCAATCCCAAAACACACAGACACATACGCACGCAGACACACACACACAGAGCCAGACACATAGACACACAGGCACACACACAGCCAGACACACACACCCACAGACATAGTCACAGCCAGACACATAGACACACAGACACAACCAGACATATAGACAGACCCAGCCAGACACATACACACAAATGCACAGACACACACAGACACACACACAGACATGCAAACACACGCACAGACACACAGACACATACACACACAAAGACACATGCAGAGACATACATAGAGACAGACACACACACAGACAGACCCACACCACTTTCTTCTCCTTGGTGACAGTTTGCTTTCAAAGGGCCTCTCTTTGAGGGGTCCGATGTTACTTCACAGATGGGAAAACTGAGGCCACAGATATTTCAGGACAGAGCTCTGCCAAGAACCAGAGCCGGGATCCACCGGCCCAGTCCCAGGGCTTGGTGTTGTGCCGAGCTCTTAGTCCTTGTATAATGTTTGTGGTTAATAATAAGATAACGGTGTTTAAGTGAGTGGTTGTTATGTACTGTCTTCAGTAAGGCTGGTGTCTCTCTGATCAGAGAGTCTGACCTGGAGTAGGTGTTCTTAAATATTGGTGAATTTTACCCACACTCATTTTACAAATGAGAAAAATGAGGCTCAGAAAGAACAAGTCATGGCCAAAGTCCATGGCCATGAATTCCAGGGATTCCAGAATTCAGCTCTTGCACTGCCCCTTACTGGCCTTGGGAGTGTGGTCTGGTCACCCCTGGACCCCGGTTCCTCGCCATAAACGGAGGCAACAGTCTATGTTCTTCTGGCCTCCGGGACTGCGGGAGGACAGTTAGGACCATGGCTTGGGCACAGGGCTGCGCTGGGCACACCTTCCCTGCACAGGATGAGGTCATGGAGTGAGTGTGAGACCTGCTCAGGTCCAGACTGACTGGGCCTCGAGGGATCTGAGTTTGGAAGACGAGGCTTGGGGGCTATTGGCTGCTGACCTCCAGCCAAGGCAAGGGGCTTAGGGAGGGAGCTGGGTGGGTCACAGTCTACAGAGCCCCTTTGAGGTCTCTCTCTCTAAGCTGCTGCAGCAGACCAGGATCCTGGAGGTCTGAAGTCCAGGGCCCCACTCCATGCCCCTTCCCAGTCCTCTGCTTCTAACGAGGTGTGGACCCCGATGCCTCCAGCCAGGAAGCCCTTCTGAAAGGAGTTAGTCCAACCTGCCTCTTTGCAGAGGAGGCTGCTCAGGCTCTGACGTAGGGAGGAACTCAACCGAGCCCCGCAGGAGAGGAATATAGACCATGATGAGAAGGACACTCCCAGTGTCCCAGCTCTGTCCACGACACTTCGCTGGCTGGAGTGAGCCAGGGCAGGGGCAGGGGATGCTGGGAGAGAGCCTGAGCCACCACCTCCTCCTTCTCTTTCCTGCAGGATCAGCTGCTCGGCTACATGCAAATGACCATCACCAACATGGCCCGGCAGTGCTGCCCCTCTGCCCACGGCGTGCCCAAGAGCATGGATCTCTTCTCCAAGCTCGATCTGATTAAGGTAAGGATAGACAGATGGCTGCGGGGCTCCTGACTGCCCCAGGCAAGACTCCAACTTGAGCTAGTCCTGCTCCTTAGCCCAGGCTGCATTTGTGTTTAGCCCCCCATCAGCTCTTCTTTCCATAGCTACATTGGTGCCTGGTGCAGTAAGGTCCTAAGGTCTCTATTAGTCTACAAACTTGAGCACCCACTAGGTGAAGGGTCAGTGTAGAAGGTGCATAGAGGAACTTCCCACCTGGTCTTCATATGTAGCTCCACACTGACACATCACACACAGGCACACGCACACACACAGTACACACCCATCAACATCCATGTGTGCTTTCTGCACACCCACACATGAGACATACACAGACACACCTGCAAATAAGCACACAAACATCAACTTGCACGCACGAAGATACAAACAGGTATGATCACACTTACACATATGAGAACGCTGGCAGCGGGCATTTCAGTGACTGAGGGAGCCTCTTGCACAGGGTCCTCACCTTAAACTTCACACTGTCAGTCCACTGGGCTTCTTTCCTCACCGCCCCCATCAGTCAGGATGCTGTTACTGCAGTAACAGAAAACGTGATCAGATTGGCTTTGATTGACAACACAGCATGTCTTTTTAAAATAATAACTTTATTGAGATATAATTCACATACCATAACATTTAGCCCTTACAATTATGCATGTCCGTGTTTTCAGTATAGTCAAAATTGCACAGCCATTACCCCTCTCTAATTCCAGAACATTTCATCACCCCCAAAAAGATACATTTAGCGTCTGGCTGCTTTCATTTAGCGTCTGGCTGCTTTCATTTAGCATAATGTTTTCAAGGTTCATCCATGTCCCAGCACGAATCAGTGCTTTATTTTTATAGCTGAATAGTCCATGGTATGGGCGTATTTATATGGATAGAACTTTTGTTTATCCATTCATCAGTTGACGGACATCTGGATTGTTACATTCCTTAGGTATTATGAATATTACTGCTAAGAACATTTGTGTACACATTTTTATGCAGAGATATGTTTTCACTTCTCTTTGGTACGTACCTAGGAGTGCAATTGCTGGGTCATCTCTTAACTCTATGTTTAACATTCGAAGAACTGCCAAACTCTTTTCCAAAGTGGCTGCACCATTTACCATCCCCATGATCAATGTACGAGGGTTCCAATTTCTCCACATCCTTGCCAACATTTGCTATTGTCAACTTTTTCTAATTTAGCCCTCCTAATGGGTGTGAAGTGGCATCTCATTGTGGTTTTGATTTGCACTTCTCTGATGACTAATGATGTTGAGTATCTTTTCATGTGCTTATTGGCCATGTGTATCTCTCCTTTGGAGAAATGTCTATTCAAATTATTTGCCCATTAAAAAATTTGATTATTTGTATTTTTTTTTTTTTTGAGACAGAGTCTCACTCTCTTGCCCAGGCTGGAGTGCAATGGCACTTCTCGCTCGGCTCACTGCAACCTCTGCCTCCCGGGTTCAAGCAATTGTCTTGCCTCAGCCTCCCAAGTAGCTGGGACTACAAGGCATGCACCACCATACACGGCTAAGTTTTGTATTTCTATTAGAGACGGGGTTTCACCATGTTGGCCAGGCTGGTCTCGAACTCCTGACCTCAAGTGATCCACCCGCCTCGGCCTCCCAAAGTGCTGAGATTATAGGTATGAGCCACTGTTCCCGGCCTATTTGTCTTTTTTTAGTTGAGTTGTAAGAATTCTTTTTGCATTCTGGATACAGGTCCCTTATCAAATATATGATTGCAAATATTTTCTATCTTGCATGTTATCTTTTTACTATCTTGATGAAGCACAGAAGTTTTGAATTTTTATGGAATCCAATTTGTTTGTTTGTATTTTTGCTTGTTTGTTTGAGACAGGGTCTCAGTCTATCACCCAGGCTGGAGTGCAGTGGCGCCATCTTGGCTCACTGCAACCTCCGCCTCCTGGGTTCAAGCGATTCTCCTGACTCAGCCTCCCCAGTAGCTGGGACTACAGGCATGCGCCACCACACCTGGCTAATTTTTGTATTTTTTGGTAGAGACAGGGTTTCACCAAGTTGGCCAGGCTGGTCTTCAACTCTGACCTCAAGTGATCCACCTGCCTCGGCCTCCCAAATTGCTAAGATTACAGATGTGAGCCACTGCATCCGGCCGAGAATCCAACAGTTTTACTTTGGGTATGTGTATGTATTTGTCCTTTAGGAGTCATATCTAAAAAGCCATTACCTAATCCAGGGTCATGAAGATTTACACCTGTTTCTTGTGAGAAGTTTATAGTTTTTGCTCTACTGTTTAGGTCTGTGGTTCATTTTCAGTTGATTTTTTAATATAGTGTAAGGTAGGGGTCCAATTTCATTATTTCGCATGAGGATATTCAGTTGTCCTGATACCATTTGTTTAAAAAGTTCTATTTTTCCCCTTTGAGTTTTCTCAGGACCCTTGTCAAAAATCAATTGACCGTAATATGAAAAGTTTATTTCTGGATTCTTGATTCTATTCCATTCATCGCTACGCCTGTTTTTATGCCAGTACCATACTGTCTTTATTACTGTGGCTTTGTAATAAATATTAAAATTGAGAAGTGTGAGTCTTCCAACTTTGTTCTTTTCTGAGGTCATTTGGCTCCTCTACCAGGGCACATCTTGTGTCATGAGTGGAAGTTTGGTGCCTGGGTGGGTTTCAGGCATGGTGTGATCCTAGGCTCAGAGGCATCATCAAAGACCCATCCTTTCCATACTCTCCTGTCTTCTACCTTTAGCACTGACTTCATCCTAAGTCAGAACTTGCTTACCTCATTTGAGGCAGGTTCCGTGCAGATATCCAAACACGGGATACTTAGCTCCCCAGGAACCCTGAGGGGCAGGTCTCTTCCCTAGTGTCCAGTGCAACAGTCAGCAGTGAGCAAGCCTGTGGCTCAGTTCAGAAGGACTTCTCCAGGAGCCTCACAGGCAGTACCGAGGCTGCTGCATGGCACAACTCAGTGGGCACCATTCAGTTGAAGTCTGTGTAATTGGCATCCCTAGTTATATACAACTTGGAACTTATTCATATTGCAAAGAAATGAGATTTCTGAGTAAGGACATGTTTGTCTAAATAGTCACAGTGTATTAATTTCATCTTCTTCCCAAGAAAAGGGAAGAAATTATGTGGTGATGTCACAGGGTCCCAAGCAACAATCAGATTGGGCCTCTGGATTGACATCTGTCAGTCACTCAGCCAACATGAATTGAGCCACCTGAATATGCTCAGCATTCTGCTAGGCAACAGGAGATGGAGGCCCATCTGGTCCTTAAGAAACGAATGCCCTTCAGAGAGGGAGGCTGGGGACAGTCAGGGTGGGCTTCTTGGAAGAGGCAGTGAGAAGAGGCAGGCAACCACTTTCAGGAAGTCACACCAGGATCTGGACTCCTAGTCATCCAGCTCTGTCACTCCTGGCTGTGCCACATCAGACAAGTCACCTAACCTCTCTGAGCCTCTGTTTGCTCATTTACCCAGTGGCATTGATACCACATCCTTTGCAGGGCGCTTGTGAGAGTTAAAGGAGAAGTAGGTCAGCCTTTGATGATGCTTTGGTACCTAGAAAGCAGCGTCCAGAGGCCAAAACACTGTCAGGTGAGAGATTTATTTTCCCTCCCAGGAGTTCATGTTGGACAAAATGGAGACTGTAAGACTGATCGCACTGCTCACGGAACCCAAAGTGTGCTGGTCATGGGACAGCTTCGGGGACCAGTGGCTCAGAAGACACCCCAAACCCTTCAGGAAATGTCCAAGGAGGCGGGTTTCCACCCCCAGGACCCCCTTTCCCAGCCCCCATGCTTCAGAGTGCTCCGGCCTGTACTGACCAGCCTGCGCCTTGCAGGCCCCATGGCATCACGACCTCTCCTTACCTGCCTGCCTCCTTTTCTCACCACCAACATCTCTAAGCCAGTGGGAGAGAGTCTGGGGGCATTGAGGGGGTGGTCAGGGTCCTGGGCTCAGCTAGGGTTGGGGGTGCTGCTCCCCATCCTGGGGGATTGGCAGGGATCCAGGTAAGGCCTGCCTGGGATCCGGGAGAGAGAGGCAGGTTCCCGAGTTGGGGGCAGCAGCCAGGCTGGAAGATCCTGGGCTGAAGACTCCCTCCTGGGAGCCGGGGCTACATCTCTCACTTTCATGGTGGGTTCCTGAGACTGAGGAGCTTTGGACGGATGCTTGGCTGTTGGGAATGTCCCAGTCACAGGACACTGTAAAGAGCCACCAGGGCCATGGGATCGATGGGAGTTCACCTTGCCCACAGCAGTCTGCAGAGCTAATGGGGGTGCTGAATGTGTAGGGGGCATCTCATCACTTTCTTCCAGAAGTTGAGTACCAGGTTGGTACCTTCTGCCCATCCTGCAGGTGTCTGAGCTGCCTGAAATGGTTGGTACTCTCAGGGAGACCTTGGCAAGGCAAGGTCCCTCTCTGGGCTGGTTTTTCTACCTGTAAAATTGGGAGAGAGTGTCGGACACAGTGGCTCACACCTATAATCCCAAGCACCTTGGGAGGCAGAGGCAGGAGGATCACTTGAGCCCAGGAGTTCAAGACCAGCTTGGGCAACATAGGGAGAGCCTGTCTCTATAAAAAATGAAACAATTAGCCAGACATGGTGGCACACACCTGTGATTCCAGCTACTTAGGAGGCTGAGGTGGGAGGATCACTTGAGCCTGGGAGGTCAAGGCTGCAGTGAGCCGTGATTGTGCCACTGCACTCCAGTGTGGGTGACAGAGCGAGACCCTGTCTTTAAAAAAAACAGGGGTGGTGGTGAGAGGATATTTAAGCCTCCCACTCCAGTCTGACATTCTAGGTCAAGTTTGGAAAAGCCAGGTCTGCACAGAAGGCACTTGCTTGCTTTCGTTGTGCCACTGGGGTAAAATCATTCTAGCAACCACCACAGCCCCAAAAATAATTCAGCTCTAGAGGTCAGCTGCTGTTAATTTATCTAGGTAAAGGCAGAAAGTTAAGAGCAGCTGCTGAGCTGTGAACAGTGGTGAGTCAGCACATGAACTTTCAAAGGGGAGTTTTAGAAAAGAAAAGATGCTGACTGTCAGCCAAGAACCTCGAAAGCCCGCTTGACTCCAGGTGCTGCTGGGAGAGGGTGGGGGATAAGTCAGGCTTGGCCAGGGAGTTAAATAGGAAAGATACACGGAAGAAGGAAGGCTGATTGTGGCCAGGTTTTAAGAGTAGTAGAGTTATATTTTGGGGTGTTTGTTTGTTTGTTTGTTGTCGTTGTTTTTGAGACTGAGCCTTGCTCTGTGACCCAGGCTAGAGTGTAGTGGCACAATCTCTGCTCACTGCAACCTCCACCTCCCGGGTTTAAGCGATTCTCCTGCCTCAGCCTCCCAAGTAACTGGGACTACAGGCGCGTGCCACCATGCCTGGCTAATTTTTATATTTTTAATAGAGATGGGGTTTCACCATGTTGGCCAGGCTGGTCTTGAACTCCTGACCTCAGGTGATCCGCCCGCCTTGGCCTCCCAAAGTGCTGGGATTACAGGCATGAGCCACTGTGCCCAGTGAGTAGTGTAGTTTTTAAAAGGAGAGCCAGGAGGGAGCCGCTGTTCCGAGTTTCTTGTCTCATAGACCTTCACAGGAAAGAGGGCACCTCAGGTAGGGTTTGAGTGGGATCTCAGAAGGAAGAGGCTGCACTAAAGAAAAGGGACAGAAACGCCGGAGTAGGGACTTGCATTTTGGCTGGAGCATGCGGAACCCCCTGAGCAGTCTGAGAAGGTGGCTGGGGGACCACGTGGGGCCCCAAACACCAGGCTGAGGTTTAGACTCCATCAAGGGCGGTGCAAGGGGAGCCTCACACACTCATGCCTCTCTGTTCTCTGTCTTTCCCACTCTTTCCAAAGCAAGCTAAAGTATCCCATTAATCTTCCCCAGTGCAGAGGATTAAGCTGGTGGCTCTCAGGTTTGAACACGCATCAGGAGGCCCTGTATCAATGCAGAGTGTGGACCCACCTCCAGAGCTTCCAGGCCCTAGAATCTGCATTTCTAACAAGTCCCCAGATGTGGCAGATGCTGCTGGTCCTGGGGTTACATTTTGAAAACCACTGCTTTAGAGTAATGGCAAATCCTACATGCTGAAGCCAGGCACTGCTCCACTGTAACCACCAACTACCCCTGCCTGGACTTCGGAATTCCCTCTGCACGATGGGGCTGGACCGGGCATTCCAGGAGGGCTGCCCTAATCCTGTCTGACCTCCCGGGAGGTGCTGGAGAGAGCACCACCTTCTACGCCCAGGGTGAAGTTCTGTGGCTTGTTGACTGTGCCTTCGAGGGCTCTATGTCATTCTGTCCCCTATCACCTGCCTGCTGTGCACCTGTCGTGCTTGATCTAGCTCAGACATTTTGTCACACTCCTTGGGGAGGAGCGGGATTGGAACAGTTGCTTGGCGTGGCAATGGCCTGGCCACCAGTCGACATTTGCAGCCAGCATCTGGGTACCTTGGGAGCTCCCAGCCTCCCCTGGGCAGGGCTGGGGCCGTGAATTGGACACGGCATTGCGCTTAACAGCGCGGCTACCTCAGGCTGCTGGTAAGTACCAGAATGCTGTTTCTCCTTTCTTGGCTTTTTGTCTTACAGAAAGCTCGCTCCCCCATGACCCTGCACCTTCAAAGCACTTTTCTCATAGGTTCTATATTAGCTGGAGAAAAACCTTCAAGGGCATTTGGAGAAAAAATAAAAAGCACTAGTTCAGGTACCTTACGAAATGTCATTTCATTTGACCTTCCAACTGGACCGTGGGATCCCAAGACACCAACAGTCCCGGGCTTGGACATTTTGAGACCAAGAGCTCATTACCTGCCAGTGAATCCCAGCTTTAAGCAACTTCAAGCATGAGAAAATTCTTCCCACAGACTATCCTGGAAGAATTGGATTATTGCCAAATGGCTGGTGCTGGGGAAGTTGGCTCTTGGGAGGGGGGAATTGGATTGTGTTCTTTTTCAAATTGTGCCCTATCATTCTTTTGAGCAGTGGTTTTCAAACTTTAGTGTTCACTGAAACCACATGTGAGACTTGCTAAAAATGGAGAGAACTGTGGCTTCCTCTTAGAGACTCTGTTTCTAGGGCGAGGCCCCAGAAATCTGGATTTTTAGCATTCTCCCCGGGTGATTCCAACACAGACAGCTCTGAAATCATAGTCAGAGAAACACTGGGCATCTGAATGTCTCTTTCTTTTCCTTCCTTTTCCTCTTCCTCTTCCCTCCCTTCCCTTCCCTTCCCCTCCTCCCCTTTCCTCCCCTCCCCTCCCCTCCCCTTTACTCCCCTCCCCTTTCCTCCTCTCCCCTCCCCTCCCCTTTCCTCCTCTCCCCTCCCCTCCCCTTCTCTTACCTTCCTCTCCCCTCCCCTCCCCTTCCTTTACCTTCCTCTCCCGTCCCCTTCCCCTCCCTTCCCCTTCCTCTCCCCTCCCCTCCCCTTCCTCTCCCCTTCCTCTCCCCTCCCCTCCCTTTCCCTTCCCTTCCTCTCTTTCTTTCTCTCTTTTTCTTTCTTTCGACAGAGCCTCACTCTGTAGCCCAGGCTGTAGTGCAGTGGCGTAATCTCAGCTCACTGCAACCTCCTCTTCCTGGGTTCCAGCAAGTCTCTTGCCTCAGCCTCCTGAGTAGCTGGGATTATAAGCACCTGCTACCATGCCTGGCTAATTGTTGTGTTTTTAGTAGAGACAGGGTTTCACCATGTTGGTCAGGCTGGTCTTGAACTCCTGACCTCAAGTGATCTGCCCGCCTCGGCCTCCCAAAGTGCTACTATTATAGGTGTGAGCCACCGTGCCCAGTCCTGAATGTCAAAAAGAAGAAAACTTGGTCCATATTCACCTGGTCTTCAATAGGGAAGGACTTTGAAAGCATGGAAACGACAGGAGTAACACCCAAAAACAATCTGACAATATAAAAGTTACAAATACGCCTGGTGCAGTGGCTCACACCTGTAATCCCAGCACTTTGGGAGGCCGAGACAGGTGGATCACCTGAGTTCAGGAGATCGAGACCAGCCTGGCCAACATGGCGAAACCCTGTCTCTACTAAAAATACAAAAACTTAGTCAGGCATGGTGGCAGGCGCCTGTAATCCCAGCTACTCAGAAGGCTGAGGCAGGAGAATCACTTGAACCCAGGAGGTGGAGGTTGCAGTGAGCTGAGATTGCACCACTGCACTCCAGCCTGGGTGACAGAGTGAGACTCTGTCTCAAAAAAAAAAAAAAAAAGTTACAAATACATCTACTTCAGAGTGCATCAAAATATCAAAAGACAATAAGCTGGGGGGAAATGGTGAGGAATCTGGGAAAGGATCAATGTTTTTGATATTTATATCAATGTTTTTGATACTTATGAAGTAAAGAAAGAAAAAAAAAATTGACACCAGTTGCTCATATTCAGCAAACCACGAAATAAAATGGCCTATAAACATAAAAATATTTCAACCATACAATTATTGCCTATCAAAATAAAGCAACAGACAAATGCTTTTAAGATGGGCTCACTGTAGAATTGTTTGTATAAACTCCCTGGAAAGCAATTTGCTAAGAGGTCTTGAGAGGCTTAAAAAATGTTTATGTCCTTCAGCTCAGTATGGTCAGCCCTCTGTATACACGGATTCCACACCTTTGGATTCAACCAACCGCAGATCAAAAATATTCAGAAAAAAATCCCATCTCTACTAAAAATATACAAAACTTTATCTAAGCATGGTGGCGTGCGCCTGTAATCCCAGCTACTTGGGAGGCTGAGGCAGGAGAATCGCTCATGAGGGAGGAAGAGGTTGCAGTGAGCCGAGATAGTGGGCAACAAGAGTGAAACTCCATCTCAAAGAAAAAAAAAAAGCCGGGCGTGATGGCTCACGCCTGTAATCCCAGCACTTTGGGAGGCCTAGGAGGGTGAATCACCTGAGGTCAGGAGTTCGAGACCAGCCAGTCCAACATGGCAAAGCCCCGTCTCTACTAAAAGTACAAAAATTAGCTGGGCATGGCGGTGCGCACCTGTTATCTTAGCTACTCGGGAGGCTGAGGCAGGAGAATTGTTTGAACCCAGGAGGCGGAGGTTGCGATGAGCCAAGATGGCGCCACTGCACTCCAGCCTGGACAACAGAGCAAGACTTTGTCTCAAAAAAAAAAAAAAAAAAGAAAAATTCAGGAAAAAAAGAAAAACATTAAAAATTAAAATTACAACAATTAAAAATAACACAAAATTTTAAAAATACAGTACAACAACTATACAGCATCATAGTATTAGGTATTAAAAGTAATCTAGAGATGATTTAAAGTATATGAGGGGATGTGCATAAAATTCTACACCATTTTATATCAGGGACTTGAGTATCTGAGGATTTTGATATGTGTTGGGGGAGTCCTGAAACCAATCCCCCACAGACACTGAGGGACAACTGAAATTCCAGCTCAGGAACTTCTGTCAATAGCACCGAGCTATTATTTGGTTGAAAGTGATAGAAAGCACAACTCAGTTTAGGAGACAAATGAAACGCATTGGCCTCTGAAACTGAAAAGAGCAGGGATTCTTGCTGGAGGCACAGTTAATCAGGAGTACAATGTCAGCAGAATCCAGTCTCTTTGATTCTGAGATTGATCGCCCAGGTCTTGGCTTTATTCTCAGGCTCAGTGTAAACAAGACGCTTCCAGCAACCTCAGGATTGCCAGCACCCTCTGAAGCAGAAGTCAGAGAAGAGAGAATGCCTCTTCCTAGCTACTCCTTGGCCAGTCTCAGGATTCACTCTGATTAGATCACCTTGGGTCATGCACCTCTTTTTAGACAACCGTTAATTAGCCGGGACTAGGCACTGTGTCATTCCTGAACTAATCTCTGTAATGAGGGGGATTCCATCCTCTGGATGGCCAGGCCTGGGCCCAATTTTTGAGATTTAGTGAGATGGAATACCTTTCGTGGCTAGAGGCCATTCCCCGGGAGCCAGTGATGGATGCCACATGAACTACATGGACTCAAACTAGGTGAGGGGCGGTTCCCCCAAAGGGAAATCAGGGCACTGACTCACTGAATTCAGAGGGAGGTTGGACTTGGTACTGGGCAAACAGAAGCAAGAAATGCCCATGACAGATGCCAACAAAGTTTCTGCACAAAGATGTTCATCACATTGTTATAGTAGCCCCAACTGGAACACCCTAAGAATCCTAGAAGAAGAGATTAATGAATTATGCCAAAACATGTTAAGATTCTGCAGCCATTAGCATATTTTCAAAAATATTTAATGTTAGAAAAATGTACAAGGTATAAAGCTAAGTGAAAACAGAAACCAAGAAGGAGTTTTAAAAAGGTAGAATAGAAACTCAATTTAGTAAAAATTGTACATATATAAGAGTAGAAGGAAATCTACTAAAACAATGTTCTAAGCAGGAGGATCAAGACCCTTGGGGAGAGCAGCATATATTAGACCCACCTAGTGTAGTAGACAAAGTGATCAGCCCCAGTAGTGTACATCCACACTCTTGCCAGGCCTCCTGGTGGACAGAACAGTCATCCCCATCTCTTGACTTGGGTTGGCTGTGTGCTTTGGCCCATAAAATATCAGTGGATTATGACACGGAGGCTTAAAACATAATTGTGTAGTGCACTTACCACCCGTGAGCTCACCCATGAAGAGAACCTGCCTCAGGGAGCCCCCCTCTTTCCAGGAGGATGAGAGTCATGTGGTGCAGAGATGGACCCAACCTGCAGCTGGGATGCACCTAAATCAGTCAATCCTCAGCCAACCCACAGACTCATGAGTGAGAGACAAATGCTTCTTCTACCTGCAAGCCAGGGCAAGTTTGAGGTAGCTTGTTACACAGCATGATAGCAATAGCTGCCTGAGACACCTGCACACTTGTTCAAATTCTGTGTTTTCTCCAACCTAAGCATCACCCCTTGTGGGAAACCAGGCCATCCAAGGGCATGGATCCTGTGTCTCAGGAATGCTGGGATGCATAAAAGTGGAGAAGAGCTCTGCCGTGTTAACAGTGGTTATCTCCAGATTGTAGGATTTTTTTATTTTCTTCTTTATACTTTTGTGTATTTTCCAAAGTTTCTGTGATTAACACGTTTTTTTATAACCAGAAAGACTGTATTAAAAAATTAGAAACCAACTCTTCTTGGCACCTCACCAATCCTCACCCTTGGTGTCCCCAAGAACAAGAGGAATTGTCAAATCCTTCACCCACATAACTGTCTTCAAGTCTCTGGAGAAAGGTACTTGGCGCTCCACATATTGGGTTTTCTCAAAGTTCATTAACTCTAGTTCTTGTATGAGCACCTGCCCTGACACCGCCACCACTGCCTACTGCTCTCTGAAGGGGTCCCCTTTGGTCTCTAACTTTAAATCTTGGCGTCCCAACCTGAGTCCTATTCTCCAGGTAAGGAGGCTGGCCAGACAGGGATTGCAGGAAATATCTTGGAGAGGCTTCCCTGCCATGGCCTCAGCTGAAAAGGTGCTGGGCATTCCAGCTCCACTCCCACCCCCTTCACTGGGGGCCAGATGCCCGGCCCAGCCCTGCTCTTGGCTCAGGAGCAGCCAGGCCACTTGGGAGGCCTGTGCTCCCAGGCTGTAAGTGCCAGTCTGGCCAAAGCCACTCCATGGGAATGTCTCAAACATCTCCAAACCTGGGGGTTCCTCCATTTCCCTTGACTGGAGTCTCCAGAAGGTGCTGGCACTGTTGCCGTGCCCTTTGCTGCCAAAACTTGCTCAGCCCTCACTGGCGGCTGCTGGACTTTCTGTAGGACTCAGTCATGCATGGGATGCTGCATTCACAGATCCAAGAGAGGGAGCCTCATCCCCACCTGCTCTCCAGCACCATGAACAGTGCACATGCTGAGGGCAGGAGCCCTGTGTCCTTTATCTCCAACTCCCTGTGCCTACCGGGGGGCTGGCACAAAGCAGGTGGTGCTCGGTGTTGAAGGAACAGGTGCGTGTGTGCATGAACAAGGGAGTTAGGTTCCTCACGGGGTACCAGAATGCTGCTTACTGGCTACCGTGCATCCCTGAGTTGTCCCCGCAACCTGTGAGCCAGAAAGTTTTTCCTAATCCCCTTTTATAGGAGGAAACTGCAGCTCAGTGTGAAAATGTGCCTTGTCTGAGGCTACACAGACAGTCAGTGGTTGAGCCTGGACATGAATTCAAGTGCATTGGGCTCCAAATTGAACCACTGTCACTGTCACAGGACAGTTCAGTAGTAAAGGAACTGTAAGAACAAGAGCTCACGTGTGGGATGCTTGCTGGATGCTAAGCTCATTACAGCTTAGGCAGCTTTCCCTGCAGGAGTGTTTATCCCATTGTACAGATGAGGCTCAGACAGTTTAAAAGCTTTCCCAAGGTCACATAGCCATCATGTCTGCCTCCTTTCAGAGTTAGAGCTCTCAGCCACTATAGGCTGAAGGGAGCATGATAGTGAATCGTGATCTAGAGGCAGATTGGATGGCTCAAGCGCAAATGGAAGACAGCCCACAGACAGAATCAAGGGATGAGTGTGTTATTGTGTATCCCTGCCCAGGTGTGGTCTGAGGACCACATCGTGGGCATCCCCTGAGAGCTTGTGAGAAAGGCCGAATCTGCATTCAAGTGAGGTCCCCAGGCGATCCGTGTGCGCAGTAAGGGTTGCAAGCGCTGGTCTGATTTGCTCTGAGGTGGGTCTGAGTCTAGCATTGCCTTCCAGTGAGAAAGTGACTCTTGTGGACAGCTGGCATCATCCAAGGCTTCTGCTGCAGGGGCTGTGACCCAAGAGACATGAAGACCCTGGCCAGCCAACCTTCGACCCCCAGCTTGCACTGGTGTGGACACACACTCAAGCTGCAGGACACAGGGCGGGATAAGCCCCAGTCCTGAGCGTGCTTTTGGGGAGTTTCCTTCTGCCCTGATGGCCATTTTTCCCATCCCTCTCTTCCCTGGCCACTTCCTGTCTCACCTCCTCCATGAAGCCTTGCGAGTTGTCCCGGCCCTAGGCAGAGACAGCAGAGCTCTCCCTGGGCTTCCAGCCTCTCCCACAGGCTCCTGAGAGCACCTGCCTTGTTACAGTCATCACTTAGTTGTTTCCACTCTTCTCTTCCCCACTGGAAGGAGAAGTTCTCAAGAGGAAAAGCTTTGTCTTAACCACATACCCAGAGCCCAGTGTGAAGCCCAGTCCAGAACAAGCCCTCGGTAAATCTGTGTTGTACATCCTCATGTCCTCAGAACACGTGATGAATGAATGAAATTCTCAAGAATAGGAGTAAATCTCTAAGTGAACATTTTAAGAAAGGTGTAGAAGTCAAAAGTGAGGGATATTTAAGGGGGGGCAGAAGAATATCAGCTACAACTTGGTCTTCGGGATCGACTGTGTCCTGTGCACAGGGCACCACACCACCTCGCGGGATGAGCTGCCTCTCTAGCACCCATTGGAGGAGCCCTGCGCAGCCGGCCAAGTGCCCATGAGTTTTCTAGGGGAATTACTGGGGGAAGAGTTCCCTCGCCCAGCCTCCACAGCATCATAAATCACAGGAATTCTGTCACCTGTCACCCTAGGCTGCTGCCAAGGAATCTGGAGGGAGAAGACTCATGAGCCAAGGCGAGGATGGCATCTGTCTCCCGGGAGCCAGCAGGACTTATCCTGGGCTGAGTGCAGCCAAACAGGCCCATGGGGCCCTTTCAAGTCCCTCAGACTCCCTGGCCCTACTGACCTTTAACATGGAATTGGGATGGGAAGGGCTAGAAAAACAGGATGGGCACCCTAGGGCGGTGTGTTTGTGTGTGTGTGCGTGCATTTAAATTACTGTCTGTTCCTAGATTATTCACGGTGGCTGGATAGATTATCACCAATTCTAGAGAATGGATTTGGGAAGATTTGACTAAAAATAAGATCTCATGATAGCTACAAAATTGGCTGATGAGGGGGTGAGGTCGAGAGCTCTCTAACTTTCTTTTCTTTCACATAGAGCAGTGTAGCACATCACTGAAAGGATTTCAAGGCTGGGCGCGGTGGCTCACGCCTGTAATCCCAGCACTTTGGGAGGCTGAGGCAGGTGGGTCACGAGGTCAGGAGATCGAGACCATCCTGGCTAACACAGTGAAACCCCGTCTCTACTAAAAAAAAAGTACAAAAAATTAGCCGGGTGTGGTGGCGGGCGCCTGTAGTCCCAGCTACTGGGGAGGCCGAGGCAGGAGAATGGCGTGAACCCGGGAGGCAGAGCTTGCAGTGAGCTGAGCTCGCGCCACTGCACTCCAGCCTGGGCGACAGAGCGAGACTCCGTCTCAAAAATACAAAAAAATTTTAAAAAAAATTTCAAAAAGTTGATATAAGACCTCTAACAATTTAAATGTTTCTGTCACATCCTGCACTGGATATGGTGTGAGGGGTCCTCCATCATTATTTGTTTCTGCATGATTGATTTCAATTTTTCTATTTCCTATGAGCACCCATAAGAAATTATGTTAGGCAAGATGCTGCTATCTAGAAGATGAACAAACTTTAATTTTCTTCCAGCAAATACCATAAAGGTGAGAATTGCGAGAGTCGAAAAGCCAGTTTGACAGGAACAAGTGGTCAGCCTGGGAAAGGCAGGTGCTTTCAAGGGCAACCAACACTGATGCCTGGGCTCAGAGGGAGACAGTAATTAGCTCAAGGTCACACAGCAAACAGGCAGCAGAACCCAAGTCTGGCTGACCTTAAGGCTGGGATGCTTTTCCTGATCAAAGCTTCTCAGACTTTCCCCCAACATCCCTAACGGCAAAGGAGAGTGAACTCGGACCTGCAGGGCACTGGCGCGGAGGCCAGAGGGGAAGCACAGGATTTCTTTGCAGTTTCATCAGAAAATTTTATATAAGTGAATTTGCATTCTATTTCATAATGCGTTGCTCTGGTACAAAAATTATGTTTTGTCCTTGTAACAATCTCACAGTAAAATAAGTTATCCAGGAAGCTGCACCTCAAGTCCCACCTGGCAGAGCTCGGAGACCCGGGACCTCTAGGGAGTAGCTGCCCTCACCCCACACAAGCCTCCACTATCTGTAAACACAGGCTCCTGTTTCAAGAAGTTTTTACCAACCACTCCAAGCCCAAGTTTTTCTGAGCTTTGCTCTCCAGGGGCCTGGAGCATTTCTCGAAATCACAAAGCCTCGAACTTTTCCATTTTTTATGTTCTGGGAGATGTTATTTGGGGAATTCCCTCAGGCACTGCGCTCTGCTCCGTCTAATGGAAGCTGAGCTGCGCTGGTGTCGGGTTGCCCCATCCAGCCAGCCAGGTGGGCCCCCACTCTCCTGCAGCTCCACATCCAGCCCACCACCAAGCCCTGTCCATGTCCCCTCCTGCTCTTGGACCTTTTTCCACTTTTCCCCATCTCTGTGCCCCACCTGGACTTGACCACGCCCATCTCTGGCCTGGACCACTACAGCGGCCTCCTTCCTGGTTTTCTGCTTCCACTCTTGCCCTCTCAAACCCATTCTCCTCACAGCAGCCCCAGCAATTCCTCAAATAAACAAATTCAGTCATGCCCACCCTCCCTCTTGCCCCTTCCATGGCTCCCTATTGCCCACATGTCAACCCATTTTCCAACGCCTACAAAGCCTGCATGGCCTTGGCCACCTCTCCAGCCTGATATGAAGCACTCGCTTTTCCCCTTTATTCCTGTGCTCCAGCCAGACTGGCCCCTCCCAGTTGCTAGAATTCACCAGGCTCCTTTTCAGGAGGTTCACTGATGCTGTCCTAGCTAACTGTATTGTTGTCCCTTTAGCCCTTGCCTACTCCCACTCATTTATTCAGGGCATTTTTCCTGAGTGCCTGCTACGTGCCTGGCACTGTGCTAGGTACTCAGTGTACTGTGGTGACCTAGTTCTTGCCCTCTTGGAGCTTATTATCTAACAGGTGGAGAGTTACACGGGAATAATCACGAACTGTGAGAAATGCTAGGATGGGAAATAGCAAAGTGCAAAGGAAGAGACTATCAGGGTGGGGACAGGGAAGAGGACAAATGAAGCCTCTTCCAACTCATCCTTAGACCTCAGCTCAAAACTCACCTCCTCTGAGACGCCTCCCCTCCCCGCTAGACAGGCCAGGCCCTTGCTCATCTGCTCTACAGTTCCCTATTCTCTTCTTCCCCAGCACTTGCCATAATTTGCAATTAGACATTGATTTGTGCAACTAGAGCAGTGGGGAGGAATGTGCTGTAGAATACCTACTCTGCCTCCAGTGGGAGCTTGGGGAGGTGTCCCCATCCCCAAGGCTGTGTTCATCCACACAATCATCTAGAGATGTATCATTAACCCGTGCCATAGAGGAACTGACTGAGGCTGGGAACAAGAGAGGCGGTGTGAGTCATCTACTGCTGCCTAACAAATTATTCCAAAGCTTAGCAAAACAATGACCATTTATTATCTTATTCCTATGGGCCAGGGATCTGGTCATGGCTGAGAAGGGTCCTTTGGCTCTGGGTCTTTCCAGAGGCTTTGATCAAACTGTTAGCCAGGGCTGCAGTCTCACCTGAAGGATCGACCAGGGAGAATCAGCTCCCAATTTCACTCACACAGCCATTGGCAGATGAGGTTCCTCCCTGGCTGTTTGACTGAAGGCCTCAGTTCTTTGCCAGCTGTTGGTGGGGGGATCTCCCTCAGCTCCTGGCCCTGTGGATCTTTCCATAGAGCAGTTCCTAACATAGCAATTGAGGGAGTGAGGGTGAGCCAGCAAGCTGGAAGCCACAGGCTTTGGGAATCCTAATCTCAGAAATGACAGCCCATCACTTTGCTGTGCTGTATTGGTTACAAGCAAGCCACCAGGTCCAGCCCACACGCAAAGGAAAAGATTACCCAAGGGCTTGAACACAGGAGATAGAGGGGGCGGGTAGTCACTGGGAACCATTTAGAGGCTACCGATCACAGAGGTCACATAATCTTCCCAAGGTCTCGTCGCTAGAATGTGCTCCAGCTGCCTTTGGGAGCTGGGCTCTCTGTGCCCACCACAGGGAGCAAGGACAGGGCAGAAACAGGCAGCTTTCTCCAAGCCTGGGGACCTCCTGCTGCTGGTCTTGGCCTTTCTGAAAACCACAGCAAATGCACCTTCTCCCATAGAAACTAGAGATGGTTTCCTGCCCAGCCCAGGAGGCTGAACGGGTTACAAGCATTTGCCATGTGAGCTGAAAAACGCTAGCTTTCAAAACCCAGGCCCTGCGGAACCCACAAAGGGGTGAGTGGCTGGAAAACGGGCCCATCTATTACCCTCCTGGGGCTGTGTGTAAACTGAAGAGGGCGTTATGCCATGGTCCTAACCCAGCCTTACAAAATGACTTCTCCTCCCGATTTTCTTGCCTTACACTTGAAAAGCCATTCATGCCTCCTCTGGTGCCCTCTCTGGGGGTTCAAGAAATCCCACAGTTCTTTTGTTTCTCCTCTCAAAAACGAACTCACTATATATCCTGTATCCCTGGGCTGGTGGAAAATTAACTCTCAGTTATTTGGGGGAACTCCCTCCCCATCTTCACCCCCAACCCCATTGGGGTGGCATAGTCCGGGGCAACTTAGTGCAGAACAATTGGAGGTTATTTCCCCAGGAGAATGTAAGCTGAGTGACAGCAGCGACTTTCGTCAGTTTCATGCAATGATGTGCAGTGGGTGCCTGGCACATAGTTGATGTCCAGTAACTCTTTGCGGAATGTTGAATGAATGCGTTTTGCCTTGTTGCTACACCCCTCACCCAAAACATGCTCCTAAGGGAAGGACAAAGGAGTCTCCGCCAGGCTAGGGGCCCGAGTTCCCTTACGCAATACAGGCTTGTCCTCTCAGGATCCAACATGTGACTTGTGAGTGAGGAGTCACTGTACTGCACTACGAGTCTCTTCTGTCCTAGGACACCTGCTTCTACCCTTCCTGGATTCCAGAAACTTCTCCCTACTCAGCCAGATCCACCTCCCCATTCCCTAATCCCCCCAATCCCACTGTTCTTCCTAGAAAGATCCTCTTTTCTCAAAAACAAAAGCCTCTTTCTCACCTTTGCCCTTGGGGGTGGGAGCCAGGACAGCCATTGGCTCCAGGGCCAGCCCCCAGCTCTGCTCCCTGGGACTGGGGCAAGGGAGGAGTGAGGGGAGGGCTAATTCTAGCTCTTCTTTTTGATCTTTCCCAGCAGTGAAACAACACCTGAATTTGTATCTCAACAAGTTTTCCAGCTCAAGGTTGCAGGAGGAGAGTGCTGACACCCAGCAGAGGAAACTCAAAGTCTGAGCCTGCACTCTGCATGGAGGTGAAGTGCTTTACTTCCTGGGGGCCTGGTCTTCCTACCAAGCACCCTTCCCGCAGCTGGTGGGGTGGGGAAGGCGTTGTCAAGTGAATAAAATAGCACAGTGTAACCAGCATCAGGAAAATGGCCGCTCTTGCCAGCATGGGTGTGGCTGCCTGAAATGCTTCCATCATAGCTTCATTCCATTGATCTAGGGAAACGGCAGAAAACCCCCTTCTCAGGCACCCAGACACCATCCTTGGTGGGGCTCCTCCCTGTAACATGCAAATCTATACCAGCTAACAGAAGCCGTGAGTCTCAGGCCTCGTGGTGACCTTGTCCCCTTTAGGGTTAGTCACACCAGGAGGAAGGAGACTCAGGCCCCGACTAGCCACCAAGCAAAGCCCACATTTGTTAGGCACTTACTGAATGCCAAGTACAATGTTAGTGCTTTTCACGATCATCTCATGTAATCTTTGAGATAGGAATGAACACTCCCACTTTACAGGTGAGGAAACCGAGGCCCAGAGAGGTATGACTTGCTCAAGGAGTAATGCCATGGGAAGGGTGACATGAACATACTTGACTCCGCTGCCCACACTCATAATTACCATGGCCTCCTGCTCCCTCCAAATCCCAATAGCAAGGGATCAGCACCAAAGGAGGACAGACATGGTGGGGAAATTCAAAGGGATTCATGACCATCTGGGCAATCCGGGAAGGCCTCATGGACAATGACCCAGGATTTGAAAGACAGGTGGTATCTGACAAGTGGGCATTCCAGAAGGAGCAAAGGTACAGAGAGGTGTGAAAGCACAAGGAAGTTTCCAGGCCCTCAAAGCCATCCCTATAAGCTCATGTATTATCGGACAAGTGGGGAAGTCAGGGAGAGAAGGTGAGAAAGGTGGGCTGGGGCTCCATTGCAAAGAGTGGGATGACGTCAACCCCGGAGAGCTCTCTGGGTCTGACCAGGCTGAGAAGGGCCAGACCGTGAGTGGCATGGGCAGCAGAACCCAGCCCTCAAATCTTGGGCATCTAGTACCCAGGTACACAGGTCCTTTGCTGGAAGACAGGACACCCAAAGCCTCCTGCTTCTCTGGACTTGTGAAGCCCCAGCTGCCATTCCCCGATCCCTCCACCCAGACACCTGGACAACAGGGAGAAGGGGTGCAGGAAGGTTGGAGCAAATTCATTCCAGACAGAACACACGGATCCCCTGCCATGGGCGGCCCCTAACGACGCTGTCTGCATTTTCGATGCAGACCCAGCTTGAAAACCCACTGAACCCTTCTGCAACTTTTTTCCTTCTAACCAGGCTTTAGAGAGCTTACGAGGAATCTTGATTAGTTAGACTAAGGAAATTACATTTTCCCTGCGAATTGAGCTAAATTTGAGGAAATATTCTGTTACGCATGCACTGAGATTCTTGTAAGATTGTGTGTGTGTGTGTGTGTTTAAAGCCTTCATTACTACAAATATTAAAACAAAACAAAACAAAACATTTTTAACCACCCAGATTGTCCAACCCTCTCACTGAGTGAGGAACCAGAAGACCAGAGAGGGCCTGGGCATTGCCTGGGGTCACACAGCAGTGAGTGGCAGAGCCCAAGGGCCCAGAATTCCTCATGGACTCCAGCCCAGTGCTCCTTCCACACTCCCATGCTGGCTTGGTTTGGAACTGCTGGGGCCTGAAGAAGGGCAGAGAGTGAGCCCAGGACTCGGGGCTTAGTGCAGCCAAACTTGAGGGCTCATCAAAGCCTTGGCTGAAAAGACTCTTCACCCATACCCCTCACTCAGACACCATGGAACCTGGCTCAGTCATTCCTCCACAGAGGGAAGCTAACACGCCTTGGAATGAGCACTGGTTGGGGAGTCAGGAGTCCAGGGATCCAGCCCAGCCAGGCCACTTCTTAGCTCAGCAGCACTGGGCTGCTCCTGTCACCTCTCTGGCTTCCTTGGCGGTTAAAAAAAAAAAAAGAGCGAGAAACCCCCCGAAAACAAATGGGGGTCAGGGGCGGAGGCAGGTAACACAGCCCCTGTAGTCACATGCAGAGTGAATTCGAAACCAGCTCTGGAGTCACACTGCCTGGGACTGAATCCCACTTCAGTGCTATGTGACTAAGGCAAGGAACGTAAACTCTCTGTACATGTTTCCTCATCTGTGAAACAGGGATAATAATAACAGGACCTACCCCCTTAAACCAGTTGTGAGGAAATTAAGTAAGATAATTCTGTATATGTGGAGAGTTCAGGATAGCGCCTGATACATAGTAGGTGTTCTGCATAACTGTGTAAATAACTGTAAAAAATTACCTGCTATTGTTACTGCTCCTTGAGCCTCCATTGACCTCACACTCCCTGCCCAGGACATGATACATGCTTGGAAGACTCAGATGTCTGTATGCCCAGAGCCTAGCCCAGTACCTGGGACTTACGTAGTAAGAGTGGGGCGCGGGGGGCGGGGGCGGGGGGCAGCAGCAGGAAGGGGAATTGCTCAATACACGCTCCTGGAAATATTAATTTTTTGAAGTGGATGCATGCAATGCACTGAGCCCCCCTCCCCTACAAACTCTCCCTCCCACACCCAAGCAGCTCCTCCAGGACTCAAGGGCTGGTGAATGAATCTTTGAATGATAAATATTCCTATTTTGATGTCCATTAATAATGAGCTTGTAGGCAAGATGAGTCATCTAGACCTGGTTCACGGATATCCCTACAATTCCAGAGCCACAGAGTCAACGATCCTGGACATTCATTCATTCAACAAACATTAACTGGGTGCGTGGCAACCTACTGATTCATGAGTTGGAAGAGGATAAAATATTATATAGAAGCCATACTTAATGTTATTGGACACGTGTTCCCTAAGCGCCTATCCTCTGATCTTGTGCAAACTATACTTATGTGACCTTGTTTATGAATTAATGACGGCCAGCTAATCCTTCAGAAGACTCCAATTTTAGGTTTGCGCAAAAGCCCTTCAGCCTTTACAAACGAGGACCTGTCTTTCTGGGTTGAGCTAACTCCTCTGCTAGTTAAAAGCTTTCCTGTGTCTTTAAAAGGGGGAGGCATCCTATCAAATGGACCCTAACGCATAGGCTGAAGGCACGTGAAGTCCCACCCACTTTCTATGACGTCCCGCGTCCCGGCTTCTGATTGCCCGCCTGAGACGTCAATCGCAGGGCGTGTGTCTTGCTGGGACACAGTGGAGGTCTAACCTTTGGTTTGCGGAGCGGTCGGGTGTATTCTCCGCCGCCCCCACGCCCTCGAGGTCCCCGCCACCGAACCAGCGGCGGAGCCCGCCCGCGCCTCCCGCGGCATTCCCGCACCGGATCGCTCCTCGCTGGGGCGGGACCTGGCCTGGCGGCTCTGGTCACTATGGTCAGTGATCGTGGGGGATCGCGAAGGGGGAGCGGGCAGGGGGCGCGGTGGGCGGGGTCGCTGCCGGAGCGGGTGCACCCGCGGGACGGGGGTCGGACGCGAGGCTCAGCCCCCAGCTCGCCCCCGCCGCTTTCCGACCCCCTGAAATACGGAGTCCGGACGGATACTGAGGGCCAAGTCGCGCCCCCCTGTACCCCGTGGATGTGCAGCTGAGGAGGTCCAGCTCGGCCCCGAGCCCCCGCCCCCAGCGTGTCCGCCCCAGGTGGCCCGGGGCGCCGCCTCGACGGCGCTGGGTGGGCGCCCTCGACGGAAGCAGGGACAGGGAGGCTGCAGCACTACGGGTCGCCTCCTCTTTGTTAAGTAGCCCCCCAGTCAGCAGTCCACGGCCCCACCCACCCGACGGCTCGGCCGTCAAAGACCTCCTGGCCCCTGCCCCAACCCCAAGGGAGGATCTAGGGGTTGCACGGGGCACCAGGTCGTCTGCTCCGTGGGCGACTAGACCGTCTCCATCTTTGGAGTCAGGACCCACCTAGAGAGGATGCCTCAAGTTGTGAGGCGCATGAGTTAGGGGTCGGGGAAAAGAAAATACTCAGGAATCCCTGATGGAGAGCCTTGTCTGCGCAGAACGAGGCCCAGAGACCCTCTGAGCCAGGCTAACCCTGGGCTTGGGCAGGTGGGGAAACTGAGGCCAGACAGGGCAGGGCTGGTACTGATTGTGGTGGACCTGGGGCTTGAACCCAGGCTCTGGACTCTCAGTTCAGTGCTCTTTGTGTTACATCGGCTCACCTTCCAGGTTGCCGTGGGGTCAGGCATCCTGCAGGGGACTGGGTGGCATGGCTGCCTAAGACCCTTCAACCCTGAGCAGGGGGAGCCTGTGGAGTGAGGGCTGGGTGGCTTGAGTCGGGGCCACACAGCCCCAGGTTCAAGTCTCACTTCCACCTGTTGGAAAGCGAAGAGGCTTTGGTTGGTCCGCTCTCCCCCTCAGCACCGTTTTGCACATCTGTGTCATGGGAACCATGTGATATGATTAGCTGGAGCTTTTCCTGTGACAACAGAGTCCTGGAAATGGGTGTGCACAGATGCCTGGTTCTTCAAGCTTAGCCTCCTCTCTCCTATGACTGGGCAGGAAAATGGGTCACCACGGCAGCATGCTGCCGGGCTGGGGCATGGGTCAAAGCCTGGTCATGGCCTGGCACGATCTGGGTGTGGCATAGGCAGCCAGGGCACTCGAGCTGGGACTGTCCTTGCCAAGCCAGCCTGCTGCCTGGGGCATAGCTGGGGGCCTCTGGAGCATCTGGAAGCACCAGCTTCCTGCTTCCACTTGGTGCCCAAGGGTTTACCTGGTTGAGCTGCTCCTGGAAGGCAGCCCAGGTGTTTCTGCATCACCCACCAGGGAGTGGTGGAGCTGGGGTAATGATGGGCTTAGCCACCCGGGAGCTGGAGGCTGGCATGCCCTCTGGCCACCACTCGGCAGCTGAGAGCACAGCAGAGGCGGTAGCTGCTCTTTGTGCCATGCAGTGAGGCCGCTCACTCTGCTCCCTATCTGCCCTGACTCAGGAGACTGGAAGTTAGATGGCAGATGGGGTCCAAAGCCCTCACCCCTCACCGGGGGCTTGGGTGCCTTGGCGAAGGATGAAGTGGTTAACCCACTAAAATATGACGTCTGTCTGGTAATCACAGGGGTGGAGGCCATGCAGGGTCTTTTCCCTTCCCTGCACATGGCATTTATTGAGCACCTACTGCATGCGGGGACCATACTGGGCCCTGTGCTGCATGGTGGGTTTTTATGTTGAACTTGCATTGTGTGGATGGTGGTGACAGAAGGAATATCCTTGGAAAATACAGCATCTTCTTTACTTTCCTGTTTCTACATCACTGGGCTAAGCTTGAGGAAGGGCGCCCCGTGGAAGACACAAAGACACTTGGGAAGGTAGGGGTGAGACAAGGACCAGACCTCTGGCAGGGACTGCAAATAGCTAGGGTTCTCGTGCACTCAAGGTGCATTTCATGTTTGACGAATGAATGAGTCAGACATAAGCAGGAAAACCGCAGGGTCCTATTGTGCTTTGTTCTGTTATTTGTCAAACAGGCCCCCAGTGGGCACCTTTGTCAGGCCTGTGCTGGGCACTGTGACACTGATGAGAAAGACAAGGTGCCTGCCCGCTGTAGGAGCTCACTGCCTGCTGGCCAAGACAGCTGGACACAAGCAGTGTCTGAGCTACAGGTCATGCCTAAGAGGCCTAAGGACATTGGGAACACAGTGAGAGGTCAATATGCTCTGAGGGAGTGGGGGTGTTGGAAGGTTCTGCAGAGGAGGTCTTTTGAGCTGAGTTGAAGGATGTATATGAGTGTTCAAGAAGGATTTGGGAAGGGCACATTCCTTTTGGCGGGTGCGGGGGGACAGTGGGCTATCAGGCCTTGAAGCATGGTCAAGAATAGGGGATTTTGGCAAAGGTGAACAGCCTCTGAAGATGCAAGGAGATTGAGGGAGGCAGGGAAATTGAGTCTAGAAAATTTGGTGGGGTCAGGATGTTCTGTGCAGGGCCTCACTTGCTGTGCTGTGGGGTTTGGGTTTTATTCCACCAATGAGGGGGAAACCATAACATAATTTTGACAAGTAAGAGATGGTTGACTTGGACGACCTCTCTGACGATGAAGTGGACACAGGGTTGGAGGTAGCCAGGCTGGAGTCAGAGCCTGGCTAGTCCCATGCATGCATCTGTCTATTCATTCATGCAGTGTGTGAGCTTCCCAGGCTGCCATAACAAAGTACCACAAACTGGTGTAGAGCAACAGAAATGGATTCTTACAGTGCTGGAGGCTGGAAGCTCCAGATCAAGGTGTCAGCAGGGCCATGCTCCCTCTGAAGGCGCTAGGGAAGGTTCTGTTCCAGGCCTCCCTCCAAGCTTCTGGTAGCTCCTTGGCTTGTGGTTGCAGAACTTTGATCTTCACGTGGTGTTCTTCCTGTATGCCGGTCTGTGTCCTAATTTCCTCTTTTTATAAGGACACCAGTCGTATTGAATTAGAGGCCCACCCTACTCCAGTATGACCTCATCTCAGCTAATTACATCTGCAATGACCCTATTTCCAAATAAGATCCCATTCTAAGGTACCAAGGATTAGGTATTCAACATATGAATTTTGGTGGGGGGACACAGTTCAACCCATAACACTCCGTATACATTTCTGGAGCATGGCTGTGTGCCAGGCACTGAGGAGCCAGCACTGACAGGCAGACAAAGTCCCTGCCCCCATGGAATTGGCATTCCAGTGGAGGGAGCCGGGCAGCATGCGGGTAAACAGGCGAGCCTATGAGATCATGCCATGAAGAAATAAAGGTGAGAGGGATGGGGTGGGGCATGGGAAGGCCTCTCTGAGGAGGTGATGCCACCTGCATCTTGGGAAAGGCAGAGGAAGAATCCAGGTCAAAGGAGCAGCCGTGCAAAGGCCCTGGGGTGAGAGTGTGTCTTGTGAAGGAACACAGAGAGGGCCACATGGGGTCAGACATGGGAGGTCGTTGTCAAAAGATTGAGTCTTGGCCTAAGTGAGGGAGTCCACTGGAGGGCATGGGGGAAGGGCGTGCCCTTGCTGGTTAAGCAGCTTGTATTGGCTGCTTGTGGAGAATGGGCTGGGATGGGGGCAGGAGTGGAAACCAGGAGGTCCTTGGGCAGATGTTGGTGCAGCCTCCCTGGGGGGAGATGATGGCAGCTTGGACCAATGGGGAGGTCGGGGAGAGAGGAGTGGAGAAGCACTTCTGGGTCTTGGCATCAGCTCTGCTTGGATGGGGAGCTGGAGAAGCCTGTCGGGGGTGGGGGGCGAGGTGGGCAGGAGAGCAGTCAGGGACACGCTAATTCAGTAATGTTCTCAGACTTCTGAGCAGGAGTGGCTGTGGAGTCAGAGCTCTAGGGAGAGGTCAGGCCCGGAGAGGAAGATCTGAGGGCCTGTTGGGAGGATGCTGTATGAGTCTAGGCATAAGATAAGAGGGAAGGCCCGGGCCCAGGTCAGGGTCTCTGCAAAGCCAGCTAATAACTGACCCGGGGGGGAAGCCTCAGTGCAGGGTCTTGTCACTTTTCTTAGTGGAGCAGCAGAGAAGGGACATGTAGCAGGCTGAACAATGGCCCCAATGATGTCCACGTCCTAATCCCCACAACCTGTGACTATGTTACCGTGGCGAGAGGGACTTGGCAGGTGGGATTCCGTTAAGGATACTGAGTTATCCAGGTAGGCGCGATGACGTAATCACAAGTGTCCTTATGAGAGCAAGGCAGAGTGATGGGGAGGGTGGGGGCCGGTGTGTAAGCCGGGAAACCCGGGAGCCTCTAGAAACGGAAGACAAGAAAATAGATTCTCCTCTAGAGCCCACAGAAGGAACACCACTCTGTCGCCATCTTGCTTTAGGCCAGCAACACTCCTTTCGGACTTGTGGCCTCCAGCACTGTCAGATCGCACATTTGTGTTGTTTTGAGACACTAAGTTTGTGCTCCTTTGTTACAGCAGCCACAGGAAACTCAGGGCACTCGGCTGCCCCCAAATCCATGGCTTCCAAACGATTATCATCGCTCACCTCATCAATACAAAAACTCTGAGGCCAGGCACTCATACCTGTAATCCCAGCATTTTGGGAGGCCAAGGTGGGAGGATTGCTTGAGCCCAGGAGTTTGAGACCAGCCTGGGCAACACAGTGAGATCCCATCTCAGAAAAAAAAAAAAAAGAAAAAGAAAACAATGTTGAGCACTGCATGCATACATATGTCACATATCATACCCCTGAGTACACATCTGAAGGGATATTTCCTTCCAGCCCCTGGAGCAGTCCATAGTGCTGGGCCCATGGCTGCGGGCTGCTTGAGGAGTCCTTAGGTAATGTGGGCAGGTTTCAGGTACATACAGAGGCTTGGGAGGGAAAACCAGAAGACAGTGGGGACTCGTACTTTCCCTAAATTTGGAGGTGGGGCTCGGTACATGGATTAGGGATGGGGTATCAGGGGCAACCTCTCCAGCGTCATGGTGGGAGTTTTATACCCTGGCTCTTTAATCTCAGCTGGCGTTCCAGGGATGTAGGAGGAAGGACCAGCAGACAGCTGTAGTGCTGGCTCCCACCAAAGACTCAAAGCCAGTCTGAACACAAAGCCCACGTCCTTGCGCTTTCTGCTAGTTCCCAGGGTTACTGGGGAAAAGCAGTGATTGAAGAACATCCTTTTCTCACTTTGAAATATATTCCTCCACGCAAGCTGCTAAATCTGTTTCCAAGCCACAGTGCTATCTGACTTAATTAATTAGCATCTATTTGCAAACCAGCAATTAAAGGGCTAAAGTCCTTTTAGGTGGCCTAATTAGGTCTGACAGGACATTGTCAGATGTGGCCTGTCCTTTCTCCATAACATCCTAGAAATTTTCAGCCATGGTTTTAAAAGCAATCACGAATGAGAGTCAGCCAGGTCAAGCATCATGCCTGATTTATGGGCTAGTAAATTGAGGGTGTGCCTGGGGTTCTTCCGGGAGCTTGAGTCTCTGGTCTTGCCAGGGGTGTGGCCAGAGCCCTGCTAGTGGGGAGTGGCAGGGGACCAACTTCGGCGGACTTGGGTCATTCTGGAGGTGCCAGGTGGGGACTTGAAGGGCCAAAGCGAGAATCCCCTTGTCCCCAGGTCCCCCAATAATTACATCTGGGACCACTGGTGCGCTGGAGCTAGCCCAAGGTTCCATCACCTGCAGATGGAGGTAGCCCACCTGCGAGACATTTGTAAGCAGGGGTAGCTCTTAAATAGTGTGGAGTAAAGGGAAAAAAATATCCAGAATATCTATAGAATAGTATTATGCAAACTTAAAATGCATGCATACTTACAAGTCTGTATTTTTTAAAAAGACAAATGCATTTCATTTATAAGAGGTACCTAGAGTAGTCAAATTCATTAGAGACAGAAAAGTAGAAAGGTGGTCGCCAGAGACTGGGGGCAAGGGGATGGGGAGTTAGTGTTTAATGAGTAGAGATTCATCATAAGTACACGGAAGAAAAAAAATGGGTATGGGAGTTTCAGTTTGGGATGATTAAAAGCTTTGGGATGGGTGGGGGCGAGGGTTGCACTGTTGTGTGAATGTACTTAAGGCCACTGAACTGTGTACTTAAAAGTGGTTAAAATAATAAATTTCAGGTTATGTATGTTTTACCATAATTATAATAAAAAACAAATATATCTAGAAAGACATGCCATAGAGACTACCCATAGGGGCATGGGGGCATGGAGGAATGGAAATAGGGATCAGGGACAAAGGAGAACAAAACCTGAAAAAATTCCTTCCTGAGGCTGATGCCCACAGTGTGTCCTGAAGGTGTGGTGAGCTCAGCTCTTAGCAGATGGGAGGGCTCCGAACTGCTATGTAGTATTTTCTTCTTTTTGGAAATGAAGTCTGTTGCCCAGGCTGGAGTGCAGTGGTGCGGTCACGGCTCACTGCAACCTCTGCTGCCTGGGTTCAAGTGAGTCTCCTGCCTTGGCCTCCCAAGTAGCTGGGACTACAGGTGCCCACCACCACACCCGGCTCATTTTTGTATTTTTAGTGGAGACGGAGTTTTGCCATGTTGGCCAGGATGGTCTTGAACTCCTGACCTCGTGATCCGCCCGCCTCAGCCTCCCAAAGTGCTAGGATTACAGAGGTGAGCCACCGAGCCCGGCCCTATGTAATATTTTTCCTTAACTTGGCTCTTTTAAAGAGCTTAAGTAGATTTGTCAAAAATGCAAATTTTATGTTAATAGAGCAAGTGGAAACCTAACTTGACTTTCCTGGCATAGGTGCCACCCCCGTTCCTAATCCACCTTTAAATATTCCTCATTTTAACTGTTGATGGCAGTTTTCTGCATTGAAGTACTTATTTCTGCATGTTGAAGATTAATTCCTTAAATCCATTCCACTCCTCCATTGATTACCTCCTCAGACACCCTGCAGAGGAAATGTAGCTGATTTTGTGTCCTCCTTCTGCCATTTTGGTTTTGGTTTCGGGCAGTCCAAGCACAAGCAGTGTTAACTATAGTTGTTCTACTTTTTGATCTATGATTTAAAAAGACCCAAGCCATCATTTTAAGTCAGCTGTCTGTATAAACAACAAGGCTTTTATACAGTATAAACAAATTGTTAGATAAATAACGGGACTTTGGAATGAAGTCAGAGGGTGCGTGAGTGGGAACGAATTGGGCAGAGCAGGTGCGCTTGTTTTTCAGTATTACCTGTTTGTCCTCTTACCATCCACACAAGGCAGCAGAGGGAGAGCTTTCATTCTGAAATGTATAGAATCCTATGAATATTTGCTGTATTAGCACGCAGTATGAGGGCCAAATTAATTGTACAACTAGCAATTGTTATTATGCTAGTAATGTCAATCTTTCATGATTTAGAATAGACCAAAACATGTTAACTTTTTATAAATTTGCCTTTGAAGTCAATAAATCTGGCTTGGTTTAAGTTAAAAGAAAAAACACAAATGAAAATGGAATGATTTTAAGCTGTAAGTCAGAGGCCTGCCCACTCTTGAGAAGAGAGACTAGCAAAGTAGAAAGGAGTTCAAGGTATGCTAGAGACTGTCTTTCTCCTTGATGCGATCAGAAGGCTTGAAGGAAGTGGAACGGCAAATCACTTTCCTTCCAGATATCACTGATGTATTTTACCACCGTGTCTGGATATTGCCTGTAAATCGTGTCCTGTTCCACCTGTGATGAGCACGTCTTGGGCTAGAAAATGCTGTTGTGGACACTGAGCCCCCAGGATCAGGAGCTGGATGGAGAACTTTCCTGGGTGAGGCCTCAGGGGCAGGAGGTGGGGACCTGGCCTGTTGATAAGAAGGCCCTAGGCTGCCCTGTGTGGAATGTTCCTTTGTGTTTAGCAGCCTTGGTCCCTCAAGACCTCTGTGCTCTGCCTGCCTAGCAGTTTGGCATGGTAGAATTTCCATGGGCTTCAGAGTCAGATAGATCTGCCTAAAATTACTTCTTAGCACAGGGCACCTGACCTTGTCAGTAGAATGGGTATAATACCCATCTCAGGAGGTGGTCTTGAGGATTAAGTGAGATAATGGGGACGTGTCAGCCTCTCTCCCTGAGCCTAGCACATAGTATTTGCACAATAATGGCACCTGTTATCACTTCAGACCTCTTGGGCCTAGGGTAGCAGATTGCCAGATCATCTTCCATGTGTTGACTTTCAGCCTCACGCTCGCAGGATGGCTGCTGTGGACATTGCATCTGCATTGACGGTGGGAAGGAGTAGAACGTTCCATCTCTGTTCCTTTTATCCAAAACCAAAAGCTTCCCCAGAAGTCCCCAGCAGACTTTTCATGGGTCCAGCTGGCCAACCCCAGCTACCTGGCTGCCCATAGCTGCAAGGGAGGCTAGGAAAATGGGAAAGAGGTAGGATTGTTGTGACCTACCCAGTCATTTTTCATCATGTTGTGGGATTCCATTAGTGAGGAGGAAATGGGTCACAGCTGATGAGACAGAAGCCCTTGGCACCTGCCCCCAAGTGTTGTCTGATTCCTCCTGATGGCTTTCCTGTTGCTTTGCCAGCCCACGCTATGATGTCAGGGCAGAAGGAAGGAAGGAGCCTGGGGCTGGATTAATTTCGCAAAGAAGGGTCGGTACAGAGTGGAAGCTTCTGGAAGCAAAATCCAGAATCCCTTCTTCCCACCCCCCAAGTGTTTGCATGCCCTGTTTCTTCTTTCCTCTTTTGGAAACATTCTTCATCCAGTTCTTTTTTTTTTCTTTTCTTTTTTTTTTTTTTTTTTTTTGAGACAGAGTCTCGCTCTGTCACCCAGGCTGGAGTGCAGTGGTGCAATCTTGGCTCACTACAACCTCTGCCTCCCCGGTTTAAGAAATTCTCTACCTCAGCCTCCTGAGTAGCTGGGATTACGGGCATGTGCCACCATGCCCAGCTAATTTTTTTGTATTTTTAGTAGAGACGAGGTTTCGCCATCTTGGACAGGCTGGTCTTGAACTCCCAACCTCGTGATCCACCTGCCTTGGCCTCCCAAAGTGCTGGTATTACAAGCATGAGCCACCGTGCCTGGCCCATCCAGTTCTTTAGGACAATGAATTCATCCTCTATTCTTAAGCTATCTTCTGGGAAGTTGCCCTGAATCCCCCATGTCGGGGGGAGATCATGTTTGGTGCCACCAGAAAGGGCGAAACAGAATAAAGTGTAAGTTCAAGGGAGAGCACAAGCCTGACTCAGATGAGGTGGGGAGATCAGGGAGGCTTCATGGAGGAGGTAGCTTTTATTCATTTGTTTGAAAAATATCTCACCCCCTTCTCCGTGCCAGGCCCTGGGTGAATGGAAGATGGCAGACAGTATGACAAGCTGTCATTCCAGGCCCCCCAAAAACACCCCTGCCCAGTCCCAGCTTCTCTCCTGACCTGATACTGGACACAGGATCAGGGCCAGATGGAAGTTTGCCATCTGTCCCATGTGGAGACAGAAGCAACAAAAGTCATTTAGGCCTCATTATCTAATCTCATGGCCCAGCTTTCTGCTTCTGTGGGCTGAGCTTTGGAAAAAGCTAATCATCAAAAATCCGGATGTATTTCTTCAGGTGGAGAAAGGGGTTTGTAGCATCAGAGGGCTCCTCTCTGAGCAGGATGGTATTGGGTTGAGATCATTATCTAGTCAGTGATGAGGCTGAGAGGCTACCAGGGAAGGCCACTGTGGCCGGTGTGACATGAAAAAGGCCAGTTACAACTGGGTGTCAACAATGATGGTGATAAATGAATGGAAAACTAGATTACTATTTACAAAAATCCCAATTAACAGTGACCATCCACAGTGCTCTATTGCATAAAAATGGTCTCCCTGGGTTGTGTGCAGGAGCCAGCCTCATTTATTTTAAGCTGTAAACTATAAGTGGCTTTAACACCATGTCTCTCACAGTATGTTCATGCTGCAATCAAAGCGGCTCTGGGTGGGTTGGAGGCTAGAGTTGCATCTCCTGCTTGTTTGAGCCCTGCTGACAAGATAGCACAAGGCGGAGACCAGGCCCACGGGGAGTTGGCTGCTAGAACGTGTCTCCTGCAGTTTCCTTCACCCTGAAGCTTCCTTTTGCAGTTGCCTCCTCTCTGTCCGCCAATTTCTTCTCTGGCCTGGAGAGATCCTGCCTGTAGGAGGCTTGTCTTTCTGGGTTGGAATTGACCTAGACCCAGAGCTGGGCTGTAGTGTAAACTTTCGCCGGTAGGTGGTGCATGAAGATGCCCTCCTGCCCTGTGCTCCCCGAGCTCAGATCTCTGACACCTTCTCTGGCATCTCCATGTACCAGTGCCACACACTGCGGCCTCTTCTGGTGACCTTATCACCCCCTATCTTGATTGTTTTTCCCTGTAGACTGTGAGCCTTGTGGGTGAGGGAGTGCTAGACGTCCTTCCTTCTGTATTTCCAGCATGTGACACAGTGCTGGGCATGTGGATGTTCAGGAATTGTTGGATGAGTAAAAGAATGAATGAACGAATGAATGAATGCATGAATGAGAGAAGAGGGATGGAAGGAGACAAAGGGCCTTATCCTCCAGCATGAAGGTTCGTTAAGTTTGAGGTACACATTCTGTGAAATGAATCAGGCTTCCAGTAAAAAGATGAGTTTCCTTATAACCAGGGCTATCTCTTCACGATGGCCCCGACCCTGACTATCCCTGTTCTGGAAATGCGGTGATCCCAACGGGCGTCTAGGATGCTGGTAACATACTCCCAGCATGAGAAGGTGGGAAGGTCTCATTCATTGTTGTCTGTAACCGGCAGTTCAGAGGCCACCAGCTCGGGGAGTCCCGTCCGTTGCTTTTGAAATTGTCACAGCATTTCTTCCTTCCCTATCTTTCAGAGTGAAACATCTTTCAACCTAATATCAGAAAAATGTGACATTCTATCCATTCTTCGGGACCATCCTGAAAACAGGATTTACCGGAGGAAAATCGAGGTGAGGCAGAGGGCAGGGAGAAGAGCATCCGAAACTAAACAGGCTGGAGTTGGGAGTGTAATGGTGATGCCTCTTTGAAGGCCGATAGTTTGGGCCAGGTTCCTGGGCAAATGAAAGGATTCCTAGGATATTTTGATGTTGGACATTTGCCTTAGCGATAAATCCTTTCATTCCAAAAAAAAAAAAAGGATTTTTTTTTGTTGAAAAGTTTAGCACTATCCTAATGTTTTATTTACTCACCAATACTTCATTACAACTCTGTGAGGTAAGTACTTTTATTACCCCCATTTTACAGCTGAGGAAACTGAGGCACACAAATTAAGTGGTGGCCATTTAGTTCATGAGTGGCCAAGCTAGGATTTAAACCCAGGCAGCTGAGTCTCAAGCCACATTCATAACTGCTGTGCTGGGAGACCTCTTGGAGGGAAAGTTTACGCCAGTGAGGCTAAAGGGATTTGTGGGAAGGCTGCAGGGATCGCTCATGGAGCACTCACCCGTGGATGGCAGGAGGAGCTGGGTGCCCACTCTGTCCCTCTGGTAGGAGGCCCTGGCCGCTCTCTGCACTCTGCAGGTCTTCCTCTCGCTGCAGGACAGGCTTGCTCTGGCACTGGCCCCACAGGCCCTTCCCTTCAAGTTCCTCTCAGACACGCAGCACCGTTGCTGGGCCTCATTACTTATCCTCAGAGACTCTGATAGGTCCAGCTTGGGTCAGATGTCCATCAGCAGCCAGGGGTAGTGGTGTGGGCATCATGTGATCCGAACGCCGCTGCGGGGCACTTCCAGGGAAGGAGCTGGGCTCTGCAGCCCACTGACTTTTGTGTCCCCCAGAGCCCTCCTGGGAGATGAGCCAGGGGCTCCAGAGAGTGCCTGCCTCCCCACTGCCAGCTGGCCTCAGGTGGGCCCAAGTCGGCTCTGAGCCTTCTCATGGCTATGGGGGGAACAGGAACTCCAAGACCCCTTGAAAACCATCCTCTGCTGTCAAAATGCTGCTTATAGTCCCATGAGGCAGGAAAGGGGATTCCAGGCCAGTTCAGAGGGACACCTACTTACTGCTAGGAGTGGAGCTGGAGCCCACCCCTCCCGCCCCTGCTCACACATGCAACCCCCTACCCCCTACTTCTGCCAGCTCCCGATTCTCAGTGCTGCTCCCCCAGGAAGGCTTCCCCAACTTCCAAAATCCAGTGCAATGCCAGTGCCCCGTGGCACCCAGCCAGGCACTCCTGTCCCCTCACAATGCCACTGTCTAATTATCCATCTTCCCTCCCGGACCGTAGGCTGCCTGGGGGCAGGGACGGACACACAGGACAATGCAGTGTATTTTTATATCAGGGGAATGAACGAGGGTGGGAGGCTGAGGGGATAGCAGCCTGAAGGGAGGGAGCAGACATTTCCTGGGAGAGATGGGGGGCACCTGGCCAGTCCCAGTGCCCAAACCACACAGAGCCGTTGTTGGTGCAAATGCCCACATTTCTTTCTGTCCCCCTCAGGAACTCAGCAAAAGGTTCACCGCCATCCGCAAGACCAAAGGGGATGGGAACTGCTTCTACAGGGCCTTGGGCTATTCCTACCTGGAGTCCCTGCTGGGGAAGAGCAGGGAGATCTTCAAGTGAGTGCCGGGGCCCCTTGGCCTGTCAGGGCTGTGTTCTCTGTGCTAGGTCAGCCTCAAGTCTCTCGGAGGTTTTCGTTACACTCAGGCTGGTTAACCCAGAGAATGAGCTGAAGAGCTGCCTGGCAGAGGCGTTTGATGTTGGGGGTGCCCAGCTGCCTGCTGTGGTGAAGTTGGGGGCAGCCAAGGGGTGGAGGATGGAATCTGTGACCTCCCAGATGCTTTCCAGCCTCTGCTTCCACCACAGGCCTGGGTCAGCCCAGGTGAGTCGCAGGGAGCAGGTACTTCGTGACCCACTCTGAAAAGAAAAGAAAAGACAAACAAAAAGAAGCTTTGCCCCGGTGTTCTGCATAATTCCTGTTGACCTTGGTGTGGAGTGTGTGTGACCCAGGCATTCAGCTGGCTGGGCCTGTCCCTGAGGTTCATGCTGGAGAAGGTCTGTGTCCAGAGCTGCCCCTGTCATCTCGGCTAGTTCAGGGCTTCTCATATCTGAAGTTTGTACAAGGCGCCTGGTTCTCTAGTCCATAGCAAGAAAAAAAAAAGCAAAGACAAACAAACCCCTGAGACCTGGCTTGGACCCGAATTCCTGTCCAGTGGGAGCAGGGCAGAGCAGGGACTGCTTTTGTCACTGGCTCCCAGGAGATGCTGATGCTGCTGGGCCTCAAACCACGCTTTGAGGAGCAAGGAGCTAAGAGACCCACCTGGCTCTTAACCTTTGGGGGTCTCAGAGCCCTTAGAGGCTTTGGTGAGGGCCATGGGCCCTCCTCATCTGAGACCCGCACCGACATGCTCTCTGGAAACAGTACGGGGGGCAGTGGGTCCCAGAGCACTTCTTTGGCTGAGGCAGGTTTCTCAACGGCGGCATGACTGACGTTTTGGGCCAGATCATGCTCACGGTGGGGGCTGTCCTATGCATTGTAGGCCTATTAACAGCATCCCTGGCCCCCTACCCGTGACATAGTAGTAGTAACCCCCTCCCCAAGTCATGACAATCAAAACTGCCTGCAGACACTGCCAAAAACCTCTTTCGGTGGAAAAAAGTCGACCCTATCTGGTTGAGAACTACTAGGTTAAGGCCATCGTCTCCTGTTCAAAATATAGATGATCTCAAAGAGGGTAGAAGTTGAGCCATCTGTTCCTTGGCTGAACCATTCAGATTGTTTTGCCAGTGACAGACTGGCAGAGCCCCTTTTGATGGAGAGTCAGCTATCTCAAGCCATTCCCCTCCCCAACTTTCTCACAGCCCTGTGGGGACCAACACAGCACAGTGCAGGGATTATGACCCCAACTTCATTTCCCCACGACCCATGTCCCCTGGAGTTGTGCCATGCAGCAGCCCTGGGCTCTGAGGCCAGACCTCACTCTCTTGCTTACTTGCTGTGCGACCTTGGGCAAGTGACCTGATCTCTCTGATCCTGTTTTCATGCCTGTGGAAGGTGGACATTATAACACACTTCAGGGGGCTATTGTGAGGACTCAGTGGGTGATGCTGGCTAAGCCCAGCGCCTGCATTTCTCTCTGCACCAGCCCACGTGCTCTGTTTACCTTCACTCCGTCCTGTCTCCCCACTCCAGTCAGCACACACGGGTGCCATGCTCAGACCCTTCTCTAGGCTGTGGGGATACTGCAGTGAACAAGAGAGACAAAATCCCTGCCTTGTGGGGCTTGCGTCCTAATGGTAGAAGATGCACAGTACATGAGTATCACGTTTGAGGTGTCGGATGGTGATAAGTATTGTGGGAAAAATCAGGCAGGAAGGAGGCCGAGGAGTGCAAGGTCTGGGGTTGGCAGTTTCAAGCAGGGTTGGAGAGGTAAGGGCGGCAGGGCACATAGGGCCTTGGGCCTTTCTAAGGACCTTGGCTTTCAGCCTGAAGGACACGGGAGCCACCGAGGGATTGCGCAGCACGGGGGACCTGCCCTGCTGGCTGCTGTGTGCAGGACAGACGGGGGCGGAGACACAGCCAGGGAGATGTGGTCGGGGAGAGATCCAGAGGGGAGATGGCTGTGGCATGAGCAGGTGGATGCAGTGGGCATGGCAAGAAGTGGGCAGGTCTAGACACCTGTGAAGGTGGCGAAAGGATTCGTGCCCGACTCACATGTTGGACATGGCAGAGTCAAGAATGGCTCCCAGAGGTTTGGCCTGAGAGTTAGCAGGATGGAGAAGCCGTTTGCTGCAAAGGAGGGCTGAGGAATATCAGGAGCTGTGTTTTGCGATGCTGTCTGAAATGTCCGGGAGCCATAGAGTAGGGGTGTCTGGTGGGCAGTGGAGGTATAAGGCTGGCGTTCAGCAGGCAGGCCGGGGCACACAGGTGATAAGTCAAACCAAAAGGCTGCATGAGACCACCAGCATTTTTTCTTTCTTTTTTTAAAATATTTTCCTTCTCTCTTTATTTTTTCTTAAGAGATGGGTCTTCCTATGTTGCCTAGGCTGGCCTCGAACTCTTGGGCTCAGGCGGTCCTCCCTCCTCAGCCTGCATCTTCTTAACACAAAAACCGAGACCATGTCACTCCCAAGCTTGAAATATGCCCCTGACCTCTAGGAGCAGTGGAAACCCCTGACACCAACGCCCTCCACACCAGGCCCCTGCCTCTCCTGCCCCGTTGCCTACCCACCCTGAGTTCTAGGCACAGGGACTCACTTATCCTACACACACCAGAGCTTGCAGGCATGACATGCCGCCTGACGCTGCCTGGGCCTAGGTAGCCCTGCTTCTGACCCGGCTGTGGGTTCCTTGGGCCCCAGGCAGGCTGCTTCACTCACTCCTCTGTAGCTCCTTTCCCCAGTTGAACAGTGGCCATAGCCCTGTCACGGACATTAAGTGATTGACTCGTGAGCACTTGGAACACTGACCTGGGGTGTTCCGTGCTAGCTCTTAGCGTCAGCGTCATGCATCCTCCACAAGCCACTGTCTCCCTGTGTGCAGTGAGCCCAGAGCCACCCAGGCAGACACTTGTTCTCTGCTCAGTGCTGCTGCAGGGCTGGAGCAAGCGTGTTGCAGCAGTATGCTTGTTCCAGCCCTGTATCTTGCATACTTGCTCTAGAAGTATGCGAAGTACTTGTGTGTGCCAGAGGCTTGGAGAACACGCGCCGCCTCTGAGGGCAGCCACTGTTACTACCACATCTGATGAGCAAACAGAGCCTCATAGAGGTCAAATGACTTGCCAGAGGTCCCACACAGGCTTGTGTGCAGCCCCAGCGGTCTGAACTTGCACCCCCTCCAAGCCCCAGTGCTATCCTTCTCCCTATCCCTGGCTTGCCTCTCGGGGGTGCATGTCCTGGCCTGGGGGCTTGCCCCCTTCTGACAGAGCCTACGACTGCATGCTGCTTATCTCCGTGCCCCAGTGCCTGGCACAGAGGGGCCCACAAGTCACTGGCGAGGAATGAATGTGGAATGAGGCAGAGGTTTGGGGGTGGGAGGGGGGGCAGGAGAGCTGGGAGCAGAGCAGTGCACTTCATGGCCATGCAGGGACAGAGTGGCTAGAAGAGGGTGCCGGCCCTTGGAGCAGCCCTGGAGGACTGCAGCTGCTTCCTGGAGCTGCTTCTAGTACTCTGGCCATGGGCCACCTAGCCGCAGCTGAAGACTGAACAGGGGGTGCTGATGAGGGTGGCTCCTGAGTGAGAGGCGTTAGCCAGCACTGACCATCAGATCCTTGCCCTGGCCAGGAGGGGAAACCTAGGCAGCAGGTACCACTGCAGTGGAGGCCTCGTCCTCCCAGGCAGCTCTCCGTTCGCCCTCAGCACCCCTGCAGTCAAGGCGTCATCACCATCCACACTTGCGCCAAAGTGGAGCTTATGGCCAAAAGCCACAGGGGGACTTGACAGGGCTGGAGGGGACTGCGGCTAGAAGCCAGCACAGGCTCCATCCCTCCAATCCAGGCACCTCACCCTGCAATCAGGACAAACTAGTCCTGGCCCAGGCAGGACTGTTAGATATGCCAGGACCAGGCAGGGGCAAGCGGCATCTAGGCAAATACTCCTCCTTCTGAGTTAGGAGACCAGCTTCCCGTCCACACCCACCACCTTCTCCCTCCTCACTGCCCCCTGTCCTCCTACAAGGCACCAGGCTTTTCTGGAGCACAGCACCTTCTGAGGTGGCCCAGGCCTCTGTATTCCCTTGTGAACCTTCTGCCTCCTGGGTGCTGTCAGAGCCTCATCTCCGTTCCCAGGCAAAGTGAGGGGCTGGAGAACTAGGTGTGGCCTTAGTGTTCTGCGCCTGCCAGCTGGTCACCCAGGGCCGCTCACCTGGTCCTTGTGGGAGGCAGCCCTTCCTCCATACCTCGTTGCTGCCACTAAACTTGGGAGTGTCCTGGAGCCAGGGCCAGGCCCAGGCCTGGGTTTCTTGCCATACCCCCTGAGGGCACCAGGACAGGTCCCAGAAAGGGGCTGCGCCATGAGGGGGCCTGCAGTAGGTGCAGAGAGTAACAACCCAGCATGCGCAGAGCAAGGGCCTGTGGAGTGGGTCCCCAAGGGTAACTTGGTGCTGGCAGATGCTTAACAGCCGGCTGTGGGCGTGCGGGAGGCCTGATGTGTGTTGTCAGCCGATTGCTGTGGTGTCAGTATTCAATATTATCATGACTGAGTCAAGCTGCCCTCATGAGGTCACTGAGTAGGGAGTTGGAAAAGATGCAAAATCACACACGCCCTTGTCGTATCGTCTTTCCACCATGCACACACACACAATGCAGCTCAGCCACCAGGGCCCGGCAGGGCCAGGGTGGAGATGTGCACGGTGCATGTGGCTGTGTGTTGGGGGCAGGGGCGGGAGGTTCTGCGGCTGGACTAGAGATGAGGTTGGTGGGCGCAGTGGGTTGAGAGGGGGACGCACAGTTGCCAATCACAGCACTCTCGCTGTGTTTCCCTGTAAACACTCAGTCTTCCCCCTCTGTAGGTTCAAAGAACGCGTACTGCAGACCCCAAATGACCTTCTGGCTGCTGGCTTTGAGGAGCACAAGTTCAGAAACTTCTTCAATGCTGTGAGTTCACCTGGTCCCTCCTTCCACACTGGCAGAGCAGACAGGAGTGGGCACTGGCTGGAGCCCCTACACAGCCCACAGCTCTGCTCCTCCTGGCTGGGGAAGGACAGAGGGTTCCTTCCTGCTTGTGGGGGTGTGTGGGCACAGGGAGCCCTCACCCTATTCCCTCACCCTATTCCATCTCCACCTCATGCCTCCCTATCCAATTAGTGAAGGGGCGGGATCGAGGACTCTCAGACGCTTGCCACTCTGAGTGTGCACGTGAGAATCCAAACCCAGGTAGTCATGGTGGGGAGACCCAACTGCCGCTCCCAAACATGCCTCTGGACTAGTGTACAAACTGCAAAGTCTTGCTAACCCTGGGTTACTTAGCTTAGGCAGAATCTCAGACTGATTTTCTAACTCAACCTGAGAATCTACAAATGAAAATGCACGTGAGGGCTTCACGCGAAGGGAGGGAGCGGAGGGAGAATGCAGAGGGAGGGCTGGGGCTTGCTTGGCCTCCCTAGCTGAGGGCCGGGCGGGCGCAGTTTTACAGTGTGGTGGAACTGGTAGAGAAGGATGGCTCAGTGTCCAGCCTGCTGAAGGTGTTCAACGACCAGAGTGCCTCGGACCACATCGTGCAGTTCCTGCGCCTGCTCACGTCGGCCTTCATCAGGAACCGAGCAGACTTCTTCCGGCACTTCATTGATGAGGAGATGGACATCAAAGACTTCTGCACTCACGTAGGTGCTTGGGGTCTCAGCCCCAGCCCTGGGCTCTGCTCCTGTGGCCCTGTCCTGCAGACTTCAGCACCCATCCGTAGCCAAGGGACTCGGGTGTCACGACTGCCCTTGCAATTCAAACAGAGCTAGGTCAGCAAGCTGCAGACAGGTCCCACCTGAGCTGCCTGAGCTGTGTGGCCTGAGGCAAGTCACTTCCCCTCTCTGGAGATTTCCCATCTGAAAAATAAGGGATTTGGACTGGCCTGTTTACAAAACCACAGTCATAGTCCAAGAGTCACATTTGCTTGACGTGTTTATGATGCATGGTATTTACCAGAAAGAGTTGCCGATATTTAAAAATTAGGCACTTTTCATATGAATATTTGGATTTCTGCTGGAAAGTAAGAAGTACAGCCCCCAGGTCCTTGCTCTTGCAGGGCAGTCTCAGCAGGCACTAAGCAGCAGCTGCCCTCTCTATGTAGGACATACGCCTGCTTGCCACCGCCTCTGCTTCTTCCATCGTCTCTGCAGCACCCGGACTCGCACCCTCACTCACCAGCCTAGCCTCTGTAAACACTTAAGCTTGAAAGGCACCCCTGGATGACAGGGTGCCTTTTATCTCTAAGATTCTTTGATGCCCAACCTGAAAAATGTCTGCCCCCCGTTTCCAGATCCCTCTAAATTAGTAGCCTGCTGTCAGGTGTAACTACAAGGTCTAGAATGGAAAAGATTCAGGTTCGATTCTTGCAATTGTAGCGATTTCTAGCTATGCTGCCTCTCAATGAGGCTGTTTCCCGTGTGGCATGAGAACGTCCATACCCAACTCATGGGATGTTGTGAAGATGACGTCCCAGCACAGAGGCTGTGACCATGACCCTGAGAGCCAGAGCTGAACTCACTTGTCCTCTGCCAGGCCTCCCTCCTAAGCTGGCTTGTTTTCATTTTGGCCCCTGCAGGAAGTAGAGCCCATGGCCACGGAGTGTGACCACATCCAGATCACGGCGTTGTCGCAGGCCCTGAGCATTGCCCTGCAAGTGGAGTACGTGGACGAGATGGATACCGCCCTGAACCACCACGTGTTCCCTGAGGCCGCCACCCCTTCCGTTTACCTGCTCTATAAAACATCCCACTACAACATCCTTTATGCAGCCGATAAACATTGATTAATTTTAGGCCATGCAGTGGAACCTGTCACCTAATGGGACTGCATTCTGAATGGAACATTCCGGCTCTTCAATTTTTTAAGCAATTTAGACTGTAGCAAGAAAATGTGCAGCCTTTTGGGCAAAGCCCCTGGGAACGAGGCCTATCCACTATGGACTATGGTAACTTGGTAGGATTTTTAGTATTTATTTTAATGGAGGGACAAATGCTTTCTAACTGGGCCCCCGACTCCGCACCCCAGTTCGCAGTGAGGCCCTGGGTGGGTCACCTGCCCTCTCTGGACTTGTTTCTTCAACTGGAGGAGGTCCCTGCCTATGCTGACATTCCATTGTAGAAAAATGGGGCCTCTGGTGTCTCTTTACCAGGGGCAGTGCCTCTCTGCGGGGGAGGAAAAGCTCAAGGTTAGCTGTCTTAACCCAAGTGACTTACCAGGCCTACAAAAGAGTCCAGTCCAGTCACTTGTTGGACTGGGCTCTGACAGATGGCCTATTGAGGTCAACTTGAATGTGAGGGCTACGGTGTGGTTTCAAACATTCATGATGGATGTATTTTCCTACCCCTAACTTAAGGAGAAAAAAAAAAAGACTTCCTTTTTTTGCCAAAGTCCAGAAAGGGGCCTTTAGCCTTTAGTAGGAGCTCAAATTGTTGGGGCCCCTCTACCTCTCTCAGGGCTAGAACTGCCTGACTCTTGGTGGACGAGCCCTTCAGGGTTCTGCTTTCAGCCCCACCTGGACAGAGGCTTACAAGACTAGGGTCTGGACCAGAATCTGTGTATTTCTGTCTGGGACCAGGAAGCCGCAGCTGTCCCATCATCCCCAGCAAATCCTAGAAGTGGAGTCTGGATACTTCAAGGATAGAAGTGTTGGCACGCACAGCCATGGACCCAGCTGAGCAGAGCAGACGCTTTGCAGGCTGCCCCTGGCTTCTTCCTCCCTTTCCCGCTTCTGCTCTCTTTATGGACTGGTCAGAGGGTAGGTGGGAAAGAACAGACAAGCCATGGGAAGTTGGCAGTGGGGAGATTTCCACTGTGGAAACCGCCTGGGAATTCCGGCCAGCAGCTTCCTCCTTCAGCCACCTGGCCATACCCCTTAAATAAGCCCCTCACCTTGCTGCCTCAGGACCTTCAAGATTCCATCTGTGGGCTGGCCGGCAAGATGGCACCAGTGGGGACCCACACCCTGGCTGGGCAGAGGTGCTGCTAGCAACCTCTCTTCCTCTATAAGAGGAAATGGAAAATGCAGGGTGTGGAATTGCCCTTTGGGGTCCTTCCTTAATTGAAGGCCACCTTCTCACAGGTTTCATTCTGCAGGGATTTACTGGAATCTATTGGTGCTGCTGCATGAGTCTGCTGACAACCTGACTGCACAAGGACTGGGTAGCAGACTCCTCAGAGTCCTCTTGACACAAATGTCAGATTTGTGTCACTCTTCTGCCTTCGTGAAAAGCCAATAGCACTCTCAGATATCAGGGGATTTTAGTTCCAAGCAGGGACCCTGGTTTCCATACTGCCCTCAGCTGGAGTTTGGATCCAAAGGCTCTGGCTAAGTCATTATGTCACTTTTTCACAGGAATGTAAATTTGACTGTCACCTCTGAATTTGTTCAGTGTCCCACCATGGTCTATGAGAAGTACACTGGAAGCGTGGGGGGAACACATGACATGATTTGTGAATATCATCATCTTTGCCAGACAAGTCTCCAGGGGATCCCTGTTTCCCAACTGAAAGGTGTGAACGGACACACACACAGCCTGGATGACGCCTTGGCTGTTCTAAGGGGCTGTAAGGTGGGCTCTGGGCCTTCCAGCTAGGCTCTCAAGCACAGCAGAAGCCTCACTGGGCTGCTATGTCTCTGTATTTGTGGCTTGTGTGGTAGCCTCAGAAGCAGAGCTGTTTGGCAGACTGGCTGGAGAAATTCCCTCTAGGAGACTTGCCTGTGCTGTGCTTCCAGGTCACAGAGCCCCCCGGAAACTCACAGGGGCCCTCTTCCCAGAAAAGAATCTATTCTATCACTTCAGAATCAGGACACTCAAGCTCTGGCAGAGGAAGGCCAAGTTACTTTCATGGTCTTACCCTCTGCTTTTCCCCTTTTTGCAAAAAACCACTGGCCAAATCCGAACCATTGCCCTTGTTTCCCCCACGTTCTCTCTCAGATCTTTGTCTCGAAGGGAAAACATAGTGGATGAAAAGGTGTGGCAGGCTTTGGCACCTTGTTAAAATTTCTAGTCATCTGTGGATGTTACCTTGCTTGTCCACAGCAGCCAGTCACCCTGGCCAGTCCCACTTCCTGGATAATTCTCTACCCTCACCCCACAGAGCCATCTCTCTCCAGACCAAAAGCTGGAAGGAGAGTTGCTTTGAGAGCTTGTTTTTACAACTGCATGTTTATTATGATACTTTCTCTCCAAAGGAAACTTTTAAATCAATGGGAACAATTAGCAACAGAAAGAGCACAGTCCCTGCTTTTGACTGGGTTCCTATTTTAAGCACAAATGAGAGCTCTGGAGCCAGAATGCCAGGGTTCTAACTTCAGCATTCACTTACTAGCTGTATGATCTTGGCCAAGTCACTTCACCTCCCTGAGCCCCAATTCCCAAGTTTGTGAAATGGCAACAATACCTATGTGTCACTGGATTATTGGTTAAAACAGAATGAGATTCCTTGTGTGAAAATAGCTATTATACCTGACACACTCATCGTATGGGCTCTGCAAAGGGATATTCCCCAACCTGTCCTTCCTGACAGGAAGCATAGGGCACTGCAGATGGGGAAGCATGTCACCTTGGCAGTGACTCGGTGGCTTCCCAAGCAGGAGTGTCAGGGGAACCATGAGAGAGAGTCTAGGAGCAAACACATCACCACCCTGAGCAGATACAGGAGTGGGGAGGGGGCTGTAACTCAGTGAGTGGCTTCCAGGGGCCCCAGGCCCTGCTGGATGTGGGCCAAGCCCTACAGCTTCCCTAGGCAGTAAGTAAAAACATTCTCCTAGCATTAAAATGGTTTCCATAACTACTTTTGTCCTGGCTTCTTAATACTGGGTACCTGGCATGCAGCCAAGAACTCTGCTTTTCCGTGGTGCTTATGTATTAAGTAGATTAGCTGGGGAGGGATATTCCTTGTTTAATGGCAGATCCAGGACACTCCGGAAGCTCTGCCCACCAACTTCACCTTACCAGGCGAGAGTAGCACTGCTTGGAAGGCTGCTCCTGCCTTTTAAAGCCTGTCTACGTATTAGCTCCTCCACCAAGGAAAAGAATTTGCTGTTAGATGGCTAGGGCAGGACACGGACAGTCATCAGGGGATCTATGTTTGGCTTATGGCAAGTGGCTTCACTCCCACGGCTCAGGTGCCATTAGGGGATATTAAGCCCGCTTACTAACCCCACTGACCACCACTGCATCATTTGGAAAATGGAGAGTCTCCCTGCCATTCTCTGATAGCTGTCAGTCAGGAGCTGACCTCACAGACGGGCAATTTCCCCTCCTATTCCGGTCACTGGTGACACTGGGGGATGGGAGGCCATTCCTTGGCAACACTTCTGAGACTGAAGTAGTTTTCTGAACTTGTCCTGGGCCCAGAAGGAAGATACTAATCCCACCTCTGCTACTTGGCTGCTGTGTGGCCCTGGGCAAGTCTCAATCACTGGGTGTCTATATGCTCAAGTACAAAAAACACTAATAAAGACTTATAGATGGGCACAGTGGCTCACACCTGTAATCTCAGTACTTTGGGAGGCTGAGGCAAGAGGATCACTTGAGGGCAGGAGTTTTGAGACCAGCCTACGCCAACATAGTGAGACCCCATCTCTACTAAAAAAAAAAAATTCAGCCAGGTGTGGTGGTGTGTGCCTGTAGTCCCAGCTACTTGGGAGGCTGAGGCGGGAGGACTGCCTGGGCCCAGGAGTGTGAGGTTGCAGTGAGCTGTGATTGTGCCATTGCACTCCAACCTGGGCAATGGAGCAAGACCCTGTCTCAAAAAAAAAAGAAAATTATTTCTCAGGACCTTCAAGACTAAATGCTAATTAGATAAAAGTGCCAACCATGAGGCTGAGAGAGGCTAGCTACTTAGATCTTGGGGTATCTTGGTCCCTTTGTGTATCCTCTTCAATTCCCTAGCACCCCTTGAACTAAACAGCTGTATTGTATTGTGCCCCGACGAATACCTGTTTGGAAGCCAGACAGCTGTGCAGAAATCATCTATGCTTCTCCCATGGTTGTGGGAGTTGTGGATACTCACCTACACTGATCCAGACAAAGCTGGGGCAGCATCAGGAAGTCCCTAGTTCCCTGAGCACATATTTATACCAGGCTGACCAAGCCTTGAGTTCCTCTTCTCCCAAGGAGCTCAGCTAAGGGAACACAGCATGGCAAGTGCTATGAAGAGGGTAAGCACGGGACACTAAGGGAGCCCCAGGAGAAGCACTGCTTCCCCTTAGAGGCTCAGGACTAGAGGACCCATGGCAGTGCTCCAGGATGGAGAAGGCCAAAAGGCAATCCAGACCGAGGGAAAAGCCTATTCTGCACAAAGGCTCAGGACAAGAGAAGGGGTGCATGGAACCGTGGGCAGGAGCCTGCTCTGTCAAACAGGAGGGAGTGGAGACAAGGCTGGGGCTAGATCCTGAGGGCTTCACACGCCAGACCTAGCGACTGTTACTGTTGGCTCTGTGATGTGAGGGAAGCCTGAAGACAGCAACCTCATCCCTGCCCACCTCCCACGGTGGCTCAGACAATACCCAGGAGAGTGGAGAGAGCTAAGGAGCTATTAGGGTGCTGCTCTGGGTAAAGCAGGAACATGCACCTCTTGAACATTCCAGCCTCTTGCTCCATTCACACTGTCCAATCTTGGCCTGCAGCCAGAGGCCTGACACTATTCCTGTCCTTTCAAGGGCTTAGCACTGTGCTGGCCCAGGAGAATCACTAAGTTAATAATGAAACAAACTACACCACCACCCCCATCTTCTATCTAAAAAAAAAAAAAAAAAATCAGGATGACACAATGGCTCTGACCATTGTTTTTAATTTATGAAATCAAGTTTAACACACAAGAAGCCTATAAACACTGCAATACAGAAAAATTAAGCTGCTGCATTGAATTCTTACTCCAAAACAATGCAAATCTGCATGAGGTCTCTCCCGCTATGGGTGTGAGTGGAAGAGAGGGAGACTTTTTTACCTGGGGTTGGTGGTGGAGTGAAACACAAGGGTGGGAGAGGTTTTGCAAATAGCCAGAGAACAGAAACCAATGTGCAGTCACTGACACACTTGACCAGTTAATTTGCACTTGTACTTGGCTGTGGCTGTTCCGGCTGTGGCTCCTTCGGCTTCTTTGTCTTCTTCTTCTTCTGCTTGGAGAGACAGCTCAAAGCAGACTCGCTCTTACTTGGGGCAGACACAAGCAGGGGCGGCTTGCCAGACTGAGTGGGATACTTGGTTTTCTGGCTCTCCGTAAACAGTGGCTGGGACAGCAGGTGGCGCAGCTCCTTCTTCAGAACCTTCATCTGCTTTTGTCTCCGACGTTCTTCTTGCTGGTCAGCTTTTCCTCCTTGAAACACAATACAAAAACGATCCTATTTACTATGGTTTGTAGAAACATTTTGTTTCCCTTGATGGGTAACACAGTGAAAAATGTTTTAGAACTACTTTAGGGAGGCAGGGTTCAAAAGTTCTCTGAAGAAGCTAGTGGTGGCTTGGCAGGGGCTGTAAATGGATAACGTCTAACCATTTGCAGGGGATACACAGGACCGCTCTGTCCTTTTTTACTCCATAAAAATCCTCCAAGACTGGAATTATCTTTACAGATGAGGCAACTCAGGGTTAGAGAAGTCACCTGGCTCACATCACAGAGCCAGTCATCAGACAGAGCCCAGAACCCAAGTCTCCTGACTGAAGATCACTTTTCTTCCTATGACCCACCCACTTACTGCCCACCTGGGGTTTGGTGAGTTCACAATTACAACCCCCACCTCCCTGCCGCCCCAGGAGACACTGAATGCTTCTTTGTAGCCCAGCTCTCCTATGCCTTGCCACCAGTGCTGTGACTGCACATGGAGAAGCTGGCAGAGCCAAAAGGTTCCACCTCAGTCTGTCCTCAGGAAGGGAAGCCAGGGCCTCCACATCTTCGGCCCAAGCCCCAACCCTGAGCCACCAGAAATAGCTCACTGTCATCAAGCCCACTGGTTTGGCTCCTGGCTTCCATGCTGAGCAGACAGCAGTTAAGTCTGCCTCTGAATTTGCTGACTTGGGCACCGAGGTGTCAACATCTCTGCTGAGCTGCATACTTGGTGGTGTGGAAGGAGCATGGAGTTCTAGATTTGGTTCTACCACTTTTTAGACCAGGAGTTTTCTCAAGCAGGGACCGGGCAGATTCATCCCTGAAGCCTCAGCCTGTGGTCACATATAGAGTAGCAGCTCTGGAAATGCCTTGTGACAGAGCTGTTTCCCTGCACAAACTGCCTCTGCTGTGGTATCTAGTTTCCATATGTAAAAGAAGAGTACTTCCTGCTGTGTTCATGTCATGAAAGTGGAGAAGATCAAATGAGATAATGGCATGGAAGTGCTTTGTCAGCTTGGAAGGCAGGTGTAGTAGGAACCATAATGACAAATAACTTAAAATGTAATACTTTCTATTTGCCAGGCAATGCTATAAGCACTTAACATTTTTTAACTCAATCAGTCTTCACAACAATCCCATGAAGTAGGTAGTTGACTACTTCCATTTTATGGAGGAGAAAGCTGAGAACACAACAGAGGTTAAATAACTTGACTCAGTCACATAGTTAAGGCAATGAGCCGGCATTCTAACACAGGCAGCCTGGCCAGAGAGCCTGCTCCCTTCCTCACTGTACTCCACTGCCTGTCCATGTAAGAGGAGGCAGCTGAGGGCACAAGACAGAGACAGAGGAAACAAAGACTGACCGAGGGCAGTAGGCTCACCTGGGACCAGGGCCTGTTAGCAAAGAGGGGGAAGGACGCCTTGCTGATTTTGACAAGACCCACAGTAGTAGAGATGGTTCCAACAAAGCAAAAGTTAAAGAGAGATTTCAACTTCCTCAATTCCCATCCCGCCCAAGGGCTTACCCTTATACATGTCTTCTTCCAGCTCAATCTCCAGGGCAGCTGCTGCCTGCTCAATCCAAGAGTTGTGCAGGCAAGCCTGGAAGTTCCGATACTCAGATTTCTCAATCTGTCGAGCTAAACGGATTCGCTCCTGGGGGGAAGTAACAGAAAATATTCATCTGAAATAGAGTTCAGGCCTCTGGGAAGCAAAGTCTCACTTGAGTTGTGTTTGTGTGTTTAAGGCAGGTATCACTCTGCTGCCCAGGCTGGAGAGCAGTGGCATGATCATGGCTCACTGCAGCCTCAACCTCCTTGGATCAAGCAATCCTCCCACCTCAGCCTCCCAAGCAGCTGGGAGGCACCACCATGCCTAGGTAATTTCTTTTTTTTTTTTTTTTTTTTTTTTTTTTTCGTAAAGACAGGGTCTCAACTGTGTTGTCTAGGCTGGTCTTGAACTCCTGTGCTCAAGCAATCTTTCCACTTCAGCCTCCTAAAGTGTTGGGATTACAGGCGTGAGCCACCGTGCCCAGCAAGTAGTGTTTTTAAAAAGCTCTTGAGCCGGGCATGGTGGCTCACACCTGTAATCCTAGCACTCTGGGAGGCCAAGGCGGGCGGATCACCTGAGGTCAGGAGTTCAAGACCAGCCTGACCAACATGGAGAAACCCCGTCTCTACTAAAAATACAAAATTAGCTGGGCATGGTGGCGCATGCCTGTAATCCCAGCTACTTGGGAGGCTGAGGCAGGAGAATCACTTGAACCCGGGAGGCGAAGGTTGTGGTGAGCCAAGATTGTGCCACTGCACTCCAGTCTGGGCAACATGAGCAAAGCTCCGTCTCAAAAAAAAATTAAAAATTAAAAATTAAAAATAAATAAATAAAAAGCTCTTGAGATCAGTGGTGAGATGCAGTTCAGTTCCTGTTGAAATGCATTTATTGCTTCCTGATAAAAGTCCAGTGGGCAACCATTACCCGTCTGTGTGTACACATCTAAACACAACTGCCAGCTTTCCCAACAATCAACCTGAACAGCCACATCCTTTGAAAACCCTTACTGGTTTGACTGCCAACCTATAGGTAACCAAAGTGAAGTCTTTACGCAGATGCCACAGCTTGCTTCCACAGCTGAGCTAAGATAAAACATTTCAACTCTCCCTCTAGAGGGTTTTGGGGTTACAGTGCAGTGGCAAAATGAGAAGGATCTTGTGATGTGGGGAAAGAAACCAAGGGAAGCCTGGGTGGCTCCTAATCCTCCTTACTAATGGGAATTCTCTATGATTTCCACTTTTCCATCCTTATCTCCACCCTATTTCCCCACACAGCTAATATTCCTTTTGAGCCAGAGAAGCCAACATTCCTTGAACTGTGCCATGGTTTTGCTCCCTCAATTCCTGGAATTCCACCTCCTCTGTACCCTTCCACATCTTTGCCAGCAGGAAGCTGGGATAGAACCTCTTCTCCTCCCAATGTAACCATATGCCCAGTAATTCCATACTGCTCCACTGTACCTGAACTTTATTCACAGCTGGCAAACCTCTGGGAAGGAGAACCCACCCCACTTTGGTCACTAATACAGTGTCCCATGGTAAGCGGCACCTACCTGGGGAATGCCTGCTGAGTTAAAACCCAAAAGACAGAATTTACTGGCACCTGCTCCAGGGATGTGCCAAACCTGTAGCATCTGCCTCAGCAGGAAACACTAACCACACTGTCTACAACCCTCTGACAGGATATCCAGACAGCCATGACCACTGCACTGTCTGGTGAGGAGGGGGGACTTCAGGGCCAGAGAAGGAAGAAATGGTTCAGGGAGAAAATGCCTCCCACCTTCAGTCACTCCCCTTTTCTCCCTTTTCCCAGGTATGTTGCTCTCAATCCTTTCTACAAGTCTCCTTGTTCAGCTGTTGGCAGAACCATTCCTTAGTTTTCAAGGGTTATGCTGCCAGAGTCCCACAGCAAGGTGCTCTGCAAGGGAGCAGCACAATCCCTTCATTAGCACTGGGGTTTTAACTGCTTTCTACCTTGACCACATCCATGTATTTTGTCTGCACGGGGAACAGTGGGATATCCTCATCTTTCTTGAGCGTTTTGTAAATCTTCTTAAAGTTGATCACATCCTCAGGCCCAATGAGCATCAGACTGAGGCCTTCATTGGTAGCTCGAGCAGTTCGACCACTTCGGTGGACATAAATCTCCGAGGTACGTGGGACCTGCCACAGGAAGAACTGGGAGATCAATACATGGCCACTGCCAAACACTGGTCCTCTCCTCAGGGCCACATCCCCAAACCAGACCCTCCTACCTCCCAGCCAGGCAGGTAGAAACTTCTGCAGCATTGTAGAGCAATCTAGCCCTCCTCTCTTAGTCCCACATTCAAAATGTTCCCAGGTTTAGCCCATTCACTGTGTAGGCTCTTCCCTCCCATGCCCCTGACCCTGGTTCAGGTCCTCAGGACCATGCAGCCAGACCACAGCAGTCACTTCTTATCCAGGATTTAAGCAGCCCAGCTCCACAGACCATGTTAATCCCTGGGTTATACGGTCTCTACTCCTATATATATTTTATCCATAGATAATGTGGCATGGTTGCTAACACACCCACTGAGCCCCTGGCACACACCATTAATCAAGCACAACAGTCTTCTCCACTGGGCCCAGATAACATCTAGGTATCCTTTTCAATACAGTACTTTAAGTAGCCACTATGAACTGTTCATAAGAGTTCTAGAAATGAGATTTGCCTTTCTTTACTTACAGGATAAAGGCCCAACTCTTCAACCTGACACTCAGCGCCTTTAGTGACTTGCCCTCAACTTACCCCTCCAGCCTCAGCAACTATTCCTTTCCCAACACATACCCTCTTCTCACTGTGAGCCAAGTGCCCCTGAACACTGCCCATTTCTTTGCTCCTTCCTTTAATGCCTCTATATGTCCAAATCCTCTTCACCCTTAAATGCCAGGCATGTTTTTAGAAAGTACTTTCCAACCTCCCAAACTAGAAGTTACCTCTCTCTTCCATTGTATTTTGTAATTTTCTAATACCTTCTGCCTTAAATTATGGCTGTGGTCATCTCACCTCCTCTGCTGGATCCAATACTTCTTAGGGGCTGGGACTGTATTTGATTCATCTTGACTCCACAAAGGTTGACCCAGCTCCTTCCCCAAAAAAGGGAAGACTATAGAGATTTGCTAAACCAAAATTAGCACCTGTGATACAGTGAAATATGTATTTGCTCTTCATCCTGTTTCCTGGCAAAGGAATCTCAAAAGTAATGTCTTTTTGTATACTAATGACAAACTATTGACTGATGGCTGATAGCCCCCCAGGTAGTTTCAGGATGGGGGCTGGTCACCAGAAAGGCCAAGGCAGGATTAGAAGGTTGGGACTTGCAGCACTACTTCCTAAAGGCCAATGGCTTAATTAATCATCTTACCCAATGAAGTCTCCATAAATATTCCTAAAGGACAGAGTTTGGAGAACTTTTGAATAAGCTGAATATGTGGACATTCCTGGAGGGTGGTGTACCCAGGAGGGGCATGGCAACTCCATGCTCCTTCCCCTGTACCTCAGCCTATACATCTCCCCATCTATATTCTTTGTAATATCCTCTATAATAAACTGGTAAATGTGTTTCTTTTAGTTCTGAGAGCTGCTGTAGCAAATTAATTGAACCCAAAGCGGGGGGTCATGAGAACCCCAACTTGAAGCTGGTTGGTCAGAAGTTCCAGAGGCCCTGACTTATCGACTGGTTGCGGGGAGGAGGGACATCTTGTGGGATCTGAGGCTATCTCCAGGAAGACAGCATCAGAAAATGAAACTAAATTAGAGGACACCCAGCTGGTGGCTGCTGCTTGATATGTGGTGAAAAACGCCCACACATTTGGTTACAGAAGTCTTCTATGTTGATTGTTGTTGTGAAGTGAGAGAATGGGAAAAAGCACTGTGAGTTTGTTGTTTCTCTGAAACAGCAGCCTAAAAGATTTTTAAAAGCACAAAGAGGAATTAAAGAGGAAAAATGATAATGCCATACCAGCTACCATTTATTGAGTACTTACACTGTGCTACCGGCTTCATCAGCATCAGCTCAATTTAATTCTCAGGATAACCCTATGGGGTAGCTAGTTGTTACTTCCAGTTTACAAACAATGACACTGAAACCAGAGGTACTAAATAACTTGCCTAAAGCTAACCAACTATGAAGCAGCAGACTGGGGATTCAAAGCCTGGCAGTCTGGCTCCGGTGCCCATACTCCTAACCAAAATTTTATGCTGATATTCACTAGATGCACACACTAATATTACTGCTACTATCAATGGCAGTTAACATGAGTAAGTGCTTGCAATGTGCCAGGTGGCTTCTTAAGCTCTTTATACTTAGTAACTTATTTTACCTCAGTAAGAACCCTAAGAAGCAGGTACTCACTGCCATTTAATACATGAGAAAACTGAGATACAGAGAGATTACATGACTTGTTCAAGGTTACACAGCTGGGATTTGAGCCCAGAGAGATCTAAACTACCACACTCTTCTATTAATACTTCTCTACATCAGGGTAACCAATTACATGCTTAACTTATGCCCATTTCACAGAAAAAACTAAGACTCTAACCTGACAATATCAAGTAGCTTGGAGAGAAGGGCTACTTGACATGAGACAAAGCAAGGTTTTCTGGAGACCAAATCTCAGCAGTGTTGCAAAAGTGGGAGTAGTGGGCACTCGATGCCAGTGGTATTCTCTGATGCAAGAGCCTTGGAACCAACAATTCCTCCTCCCTCCCCCAACCTTTGCCTTAAAAATTCCCCATTCAGTGCAGGCAGATGCCTATAAATTTTCAGATGCCCCTACCTGGTAATGGATGACATGCTGGACTTTAGGAATATCCAGACCCCGAGCTGCCACATCTGTTGCCAAGAGAACACAGCTGGGGTAGAGAGAGAAAGCTTATTAATAATAACTAACAGCTATCTTTAATCAAATTCTTACCAACTGCTGAGCATCCTAAACATTACAGTCCTTACCAATACTCTGTAAGATATCACTTGTATACCCTTTTACAGAAAAACTGAGGCTCGGAGAGATTAACTTCCCAAGCTATCTACATGGCTATTCAGCTGTGGAGTCTGGATCCAAATTTGGGACTCATTGACCCCAACCAACATGCCATACTCTGCAATGATAAAGACTCCCTTCAGTGAGTTAAATGAGGCCATACATATTCTGGGTCAGTGACTCCTCTCCTAGCACCCTCTCATTTACTTCCTCCCAGTGGCACACAGACTTCCTTGCTCTTCCCCAAACAAACCAAGCATGCTCTCACCTCCAAGCCTTTGCACTTGCTACTCCTTAAGGCCTTAAAGGGTCTTGCCTCAGATGTCCATATGACTCACTTCATTACTTTCTTCAGCTCTCTGCTCAATTCTCACTTCATCAGAGACTGACCACACATACCCAATCTCTTTTCTCCAACCCCTGCTCGACTTACTTCTTAGGATCACTTGGCAGACTGTGGGCTTACTTTGCAATTTATTATCTCCCTCTACTAGAATGTAAGCTTCATGAGAGCAAGGACTTTGCATTACTCACTGCTGTTATTACCACCACAGAGAACAACATCTGGTTCATGGTAAGCACTTGATAAATGTGTTGGATGATGTTTCTCAATGTGTGGTTCATGGAAAGTCAAAAGTACTTGAGGTGCTTCAAAACATAAGACTCTGGCCCTTCAGGGTCCTCACTCCCTGCATGTCTGAGCTGAGGCCGGGAAATGCAATGCAAATCCTAGTTTGTAAAACATTAAACTACTGCTCTGGATCAAGGTCAGCAAACTTTTTCTGTAAAGAGCCAGAGAGCATTTCCAGCTTTGTGAACCACACAGTCTCTATGGCAACTATTCAACTCTGCCGCAAAAGAGGATATTGACAATACATAAATGGGTCTTGCTGTGTTCCAGTAAAACGTCTACTAAAAAAACAGGCAGCAGCCAGGTGTGATGGCATGCACTGGTAGTCCTAGCTACTTAGGAGGCTAAGGTGGGATTGCTTGAGCCCGTGAGTTCAAGTCTAACCTGGGCAACATAGCAAGACCCCATCTTAGAAAAAAAAAGGGCAGCAAGCAAGATTTGGCACGAGGCCTATAGTTTGCCAAGCCTTGTTCTAAGCTAATCTCAGTAAACCACTGATACTACTTACCAATTTTTAAAAACCAGTAAATCAAACACTTGTTCTAGAAACTAATTACCCCATGACCTGACAAAACACTGGCAAAAGACACTTTGTAGTCTGCCTCAACTTTCCAGGCCCTCATCTTGACAATCTGCACCCCATTCCCTGAGCATCAGTCTGGTCCAAAGGCAGATGGACAAAGACATCAGGAATAAGAAATAGCATGGGCTCTGAGGTCCGACAGGCTTGTCTGAGGCCCAGCTCTACCACTTCCAGGCAGAGAAACCTTGGGCACACTGATCAGCTTTTCTAGACCTCATTTTTCCATCTATAAATGAGAATAGTGATAATGGTAATAAGTAGTAAAGGGACTAGAAATTATTAAAGCTAACATTTAGCAATATATACATACTATGTGCTAGAGACTGTTCTAAACACTTTACACGCATGAATTTACAATCAATCTTCATAACAACCCTAGAATGGGTTCTATTATTATCCAAATAATGAGAAAATTAAAGTACAGAGAAATTAAATAACTTGACCACCTAAGGAGTGACAGAACTAGGATTTGATTTCAGGCATTCTGGTTCCAGGATCTGTGCTCTTAACCATGAATCTATTCTGCTTCCTCTTAAGGATGTTAGGAGAGTAACTGAATGTGATTCTGAATCTAAAGTGCCAGCACAGGACCTAATCTATTGTCTATACATTCAATATTATGTATTGTCACCTATATTCATTAGTATTGAAGTTTCTGTATGGCATTTAACTGCAACCAAATTCACTAAATGACAGTAACCTTGCCAAATGCTGTGCAAAAAAAAAAAAAGGCTACCTACTACTGAGACAAGGCCCCTATGACAGAAGGTGGCTTTTCTACCATTTCCCCACCATCCTGACCCCTTTTACCCCAGTAACTAACTAGAGGTTAAGCCTCTGGGGACAGTCCTAACTTACTCTTCCAGACGGGCAAACTGCTCCAGGTTTCTGAGCCTCTGCTTCTGGTGCATACAGGCATGCAGGGTCAAGGGCATGATATCAAGGACTTTGAGGAGCCCAGAGAGGCGTTTGATGCAGGAGATACTGTTGGCAAACACTAAGCTGCGGCCTGGATACTGCATCAGGAAGTAGTACAAGTAGAAGTCTTTCTCATCAGTCTCACAATGGATCTTGGTCTCTGTTAGCGTCTCCACCGTGGCCTCATTCCTTGTGAGGTCAATGACCTTGGGCTTGCCCCTCATGCCAATTTTCTGCATAAGGAGGTCAAGTTTGGCTGTTTTATCCATTTTCTTGGTGTGCTTCTTATGAAGGATTCGAGCAGGAGCCTGATGCACCAGGGTGAGTGTGGCAGAAAAAACAAGCGTTTGTCTCTTTGGGTTGTATTGGGAGTCATTGAGCATCTCTAGCAGCTGTGAGAGCTCAGCAAAATGGCCTTTCTCAACCATCCGGTCAGCCTCATCCACTACCAGGCACCTGCAGATCCAGAGAGACCCATATCATTGGTCAGCAGCGGGTTAAGAGGAATCATCTATAGCACACCCTACACTCATCCTAAACACACACACACACACACGTACACACCCCACTACCACCACCACCATCAGGCCCTCAACTAATCTCCCTCATGCACTCTTGGCTTTCTAAAGGCCAGGGTCTGGATGATACCACACCATAGCATTCTGCGATGAGAAGAAGGCATTGCCCACACCATGTCACCTAAGGCTCATTTCAGAAAAGGCAGTGAGGGGGAAAAGAGAAGTGCCATCTATTACCTGAGCTGCCGAAGGTTCCTCAAATGATAATGCTTTTCTTTAATTAATTCCCACAGCCGGCCTGGAGTAGCAACCACAATCTCAGGACGACGGTTCAGCATCCTCTGCTGTTTCTGCGTGGACATTCCACCAACCAAAATAGCAGTTTTAATTCCTATGGGACAGAAAACATAAGGGACACTTATTCAATCTGGGTGATCATTTTCTTACATGGCTGACACAGGCACCCCAGATTAGCAGAGACAGACATCAGCACAGTGTAATGCCCTAGAGCATTGCTAAAAGAGCAGGCCTGGCCAGACTGTTGACGCCACTCCTAGAGGGCTTACCAAGTCTTCTGTGATCTGAGCTCTACTTCTTCAGCCTCATTTCTTTTCTACTCCCTCCCCTCCAACCACACCAAAGGGGCTGAATTTGAACCCAGGTATGCTTACCTCCAAAGCTCTGGGAAAACGGAGCACTGGGGCACCATAATGCTGGGAGGAATATGACCTGCAGCTGTGCTACACCTCTCCTAGGAAGCCCTTCCATTCCCTCAGTTAGAATTATTCTGAAAGGTCCACTAATGCCCTGTTGTTTTCGTCTCTGGTGCAGAAATTCTCATAGTATCATGTGGGTAAAGGGCTTAGCAATAGTAACAACTTGGTAATTAATTGCTGCTTTCATTATAAAATTAAGATTCCCAGAGTGAAGCCCTTCCCAGAGTGAATTCCCTGAGAGAATTAAATCCTAATAGCTTAGAGCAGGGATCAGCCAACTTTTTCTGAAAGGGTCACTAGTGAACATTACTGACCTCATAGGCCAGATGGTCTCTGTCACAACTATTAACTCTACTCAACTTCACCTTTGTAGTACAAAACCAACCACAGACAATATAAAACCAAATGGGTGTGGGTGTGTTCCGGCAAAACTTTATTTATAAAACCAGACAGTTTGCTAATCCCTGCCCTGAGCATCTACTGTATCCAATAAATTTCCTATGCATCCACAATGGCACCAACCATGTATTATCCTTGAGGGAACTGAAAAAATGTCACTATATCAATTTTCTGTAGGGCTTAATTGTCTGGCTTATAGATGAGAGTGGCTTACCCTAGAGGGCAGGAGCCACAGCTCATTCATCTTTACCAACGAGCATTTGGGATTTACCTAGAAAATATTTATTAAATGGAACTAAACCTCACCTGTAAACCTGGCCACAGCATCAATGTGCTGTTTGACCTGGACGGCCAGCTCTCGAGTGGGAGTCAGAACCAGTCCAAGCAGAGGACGCTTTGGATATGCCTTACAGGTGGCGCTTTTGTCATCCAACTCCTGTTTTAGATTTCCAGTCTGCTCTTTATCAAGATTTTCCTCCTCATTCTCATTCTGTTTGGGAACAGGTTTCTCCCTGATCAGGGAAGAAGGCCCTTCACCAGCATCATCGTCACCAAAGAGCAACGCCTGGTCTGAGACAGTGCCTCCAGTCTTGGCTCTGGCCTCGGCTGCAATATCACTGGGCAGTGCTTCACTCTCAATTACAGTATCGTCAGGCAATGCATCAGACTCAGCTTCAGCCTTGCCTGGTGATCTAGTCTCAGCTCCGGCCTCAGTTCTGGTCTCTCCAGGTGGTGCTTCGGTGTTACTTGGAGGAGGGGCAGCATTCCTCTTCTGCCACTGCAACACCGCATGAATCATTGGGATGGCAAAGGCAAGAGTTTTCCCACTTCCTTAAAAGTAAAAAAACAAAACAAAGTAAAAACAGTGTGAATCAACAGATGAACATACTTTAGTCTGGAATTCATTCTTTTGCATAGAATAAGGTAGCCAAGTGCCACCCTGACCGACCCAAAGCTCCTCCACTCTACACAGATTTCCCCAGAAGGAACCAGAAGGCACATGTAAATTAGAACCCGAGGAAAAGTATGGCAGGCTAGCACTGAGGTCTTAGGTCACCAGTAACGAATTACAAATGTCCAAGAAATGAAACAATAAAGAGAGAAAGGGCAAGTTTTGGGTGTATGTGTTGTTTCTGTGAGGAGCAGGAAACAGTAATCCATACAATACTTTCCCAAGACTTTTCTTTGGTGAGAAAGGAGTAAAAGAAAATTTTCTTAAGTTTTCAGAAAATGTAAATATAAAACTTTTGTCTATGCCTGAACATTTTCAAACTGGCCTTTGAATGTACACAGAGTCCAAATCATCTGGGTGGTCAAAACAAAACATCTCAGGCTGAGAATTTAAAGAAGTTCCAAAGTGATAATGCCCTAGGCAGAAGCCAATAAATGCTTTCTCAAGGGAGAAACCATTACCATACATCTCCAAAAATTTTCACAATTTTCAAAGGAAATAAGCAGCTCTCAGTAAAAAATAACCACACACACAAAAATAAGATACTATAAGGAAAAAAGAGAGCAAAAACAGACACATGAAACTTTTGATAAGAAGAACAGCAGACTTATCAGAAACAATGAAAAGCCAGAAGACAGTGTAGCAATATTTTTTATTTGAATGCCTAAAAATAAAACCCTGACAATCTATAACCCTACACCCACTCAAAACAAAATGTGAAATAAAGACTTTAGGCATATAAAAGCTGAAATAATTCACCAGCAGCAAATGTAAGCTATCAGAAATATTAGTCTTTCATGCAATAGCAAAGATAACATAAAATGAAAATCTGGATGTACCCAAAGAAATAAAGAGCAACCGAAACAGTAACTACGTAGGTAAATATTTAAAAACTTCTTTTTATGGCCAGGCATGGTGGCTCATGCCTGTAATCCCAACACTTGGGGAGGTCTAGGCGGGAGGATCAAGACCAGCCTGGGCAACATAGTGAGACTCCCATCTTTAAAAAAATTTGCCAGGCATGGTGGCACACTCCTGTAGTCTTCGAAACTTGGGAGGCTGAGGCAGGAGGATTGCTTGAGCATGGGAGTTTGAGGCTGCAGTGAGCCATGATCGTGCCACTGCACTCCAGCATGGGTGACAGAGGGAGATACTGTCTCTAAAAACAAACAAAAAAACAAAACCCCTTATTTTTCTTATTTAAACATCTTTAAAAATAATTGTTTAAAGCAAATATAATAAAAATGTATTCTAGAATCTCTAACACATATGAAGTATACAACAAAAAGCACAAAGGAGGGGAGAAATGGAAAATACTCTTGTAAGGTTCTTACATTGTATGCGAAGTAGTAAATTACTTGAGGGTAAACTATAATAAAAGATATATACTATAAACCCCAAAGCAATCACTAAAAAGACGTTAAGAATTATAGCTAATAAGACAACAAAAAAGATAAAATGGTATCTATGCATATATATGTATTATAGTCCCTGTCCCTAATTCTTGACACAGAGCTTCTAAGAGCCTTGTAACTTTCTCAGTGACAGGGGCATCTTTTGTTGAAATATTTGGTCTTAGTCCTCTGTTGCTGATATAAAACCTTGTGATACCTTAAAAATATCTGTAGTAGTAAGAGCATCTTTTTGCATGTTAATAAGATGACTAGTGGCTGGAGTCCCTAGACAGCTTCAGGATGGGGGATGGAACTTTCAGCTGCCTCTCCCCACCAACCTCCAGGGAGGGAAGAGGGACTGGAGACTGAGCTCAGTCACTAACAACCAATGATTTAATCAATTATCAATCATGCCTATGCAATGGAACCTCCACAAAATCTCTAAACGATGGAGTTCGGATAGATTCCAGGGTGGTGTACCCAGGGACCATGAAAACTCCATGCCCTACCTCTCCTGACTTCCAACCCCGCCCCATACCTTGCCCTAGTCATCTCATCCATCTGGCTGTTTCTCAGTTACATCTTTTATAATAAATTGTTAAATACAAGTAAAGTGTTTCCCTGAATTCTGTCAGGCATAGCAAAGTGCTGAACCTGAGGAAGGTGTTGTGGGAATACCCAATTTGTAGCCAAGCTGACCAGAAGTACCATTATTTGTGATTAGCATCATTAATGGGGGCAACCTTGTGGGACTGAGCCCTTAACCTGTAAGGAATGACACTAGCTCCAGGTAGATAGTGTCTGAATTGAACAGAATTGTAGGATAACCAGTTGGTGTCCACAGAGTTGCAGAGCTGGTTGTGAGTGTGGGAAAAACCCACACATTTGATGCCAAGAGTGTTCTGTGGGTAGAAAATCTTTTTTTTTTTTTTGAGACACAGTCTTGCTCTGTCGCCAGGCTGGAGTACAGTGGTACAATCTCAGCTCACTGCAACCTCCACCTCCAGGTTCAAGCGATTCTCCTGCCTCAGCCTCCCAAGTAGCTGGGACTACAGGCATCTGCCACCACACCCAAGTAACTTTTGATTTTTTTTTTTAGTAGAGATGCAGTTTCACCATGTTGGCCAGGATGGTCTCTATCTCTTCACCTCGTGATCCACCTGCCCTGGCCTCCCAAAGTGCTGGGATTACAGGTGTGAGCCACTGCACCCGGCGTATGGGTAGATCTTAATAGTATCTCTCTCTCTGACACACACACACACACACACAAATTCAGTGCCAAAGAAGGAAACAAAGAAGAGCTGGGACTAATAGAAAAGTAACAGATTTAAACCTAACCACTGATGCTGCTCCCGGGATCACTGCAGACAGGAGGGAGGACTAGATTGCAACTCCTGAAAGAGCAGCAAGGGGAGGCTTGCATTGTGAGTTTTAGCTCCAGATTGACTGCAAGAACAAACCAGTAATCCTGAGAGGAACCACAGACCCTCTGAAGGAACTGGACTGCTCCAGCAGGACCCAGGAGACCCCCAAATACCGTGAGTGCCCCAACTGTGGAGAGGAGGGAGGCTCTCCTCTCCCAAACACACACCCCCACTAGAGAAGGTGAAGGTCTGTTTGCAGGAGAAGTTTCTGACTTTACCTGGAGCTGAGTCAAGTTAGAGAGCTGAGCGAAATACAGGGGTAGAAGAAGCAGCAGAAAGGCCCTGGGAGCTCGCTGGGTCCCCAAGCAGCCCATTCCTGCCTGGCACCACAGGGATCCACTGGGAGGGTGGCCACAGGAGCTGGGGGCAAAACTCCACAGAAAGAAGGCATTCTCTAGCCAAATTCTGTAACAATTTGATTTAACAATCTGAACAGGACCAGAAGCCTCCTGGCCAGAACTCGGGGGAGGGCACGAATCCAGACTTCACAGGTAGGGGAAGAACTAAAGCCCCTTTTCTTTCAGAGCTGGGAAGCAGATAACCTTGGGCAAGTTTTCAAGCCCTCCTCCCGGAAACAGACTGGGGCTGTTGGGGAGGACACGGTGGGAGTAAGACTGCCCTTCGGTTTGTGAGGGAGCTGGGTGAGGCCCATGACTGCTGGCTTTCCCCCATTTCCCTGACAACCTGCATGACTCACCAGAGGCAGCCATAATCCTCCTAGGTACACAACTCCAGTGACCTGGGAATCTAACCCCCATCCCCCACAACACCCACAACAAGACCCACCCAAGGAGAGTCAGAGCAGGCGTAGACCTGCCCCCACATGATGGTCCTTCCCTATCCACCCTGGTAGCAGAAGACAAAGGGCATATAATCTTGGGAGTTCTAGGGCCCTACCCACTGCTGGTCCCTCTCCATACTATAGCTGATGCTTTCTGGAAAGTGCCACCTCCTGGCAGGAGGCCAACTAACACAAAAACAGAGCATTAAACTACCAAAGCTAAGCACCCTCACAGAGTCCAACACACCCTCAGCCATCTCCACCGGAACAGGCGCTGGTATCCGTGGCTGAGAGCCCCATAGACGGTTAACATCACAGGACTCTGTGCAGACAACTCCCAGTACCAGCCCAGAGCCGGGTAGATTTGCTGGGTGGCTAGACCCAGAAGACAGACAACAATCACTGCAGTTTGGCTCACAGGAAGCCACATCCATAGGAAAAGGGGGAGTACTACATCAAGGGAACACTCCATGAGACAAAAGAATCTGAACAACAGCCTTCAGCCCTAGACCTTCCCTCTGAAACAGCCTACCCAAATGAGAAGGAACCAGAAAACCAACCCTGGTAATATGACAAAACAAGGCTCTTCAACAGCCCCCAACAAAAAATCATACTAGTTCACCAGCAATGGATCCAAACCAAGAAGAAATCCCTGATTTACCTGAAAGAGAATTCAGGAGGTTAGTTATTAAGCTAATCAGGGAGGGACCAGAGAAAGATAAAGTCTCAATGCAAGGAAATCCAAAAAATGATACAAGAAGTGGAGGGAGAAATATTAAAGGAAATACATAAAGAGAAAACAATAAAAAATTCAGGAAACTCTAGACATACTTTTAGAAATGTGAAATGCTGGGGAAAGTCTCAGCAATAGAACTGAACAAGTAGAAGAAAGAAATTCAGAGCTCAAAGACAAGATCTTCAAATTAACCCAATCCAAGAAAGACAAAGAAAAAAGAATAAGAAAAAATGAACAAAGGCTCTAAGAAGTCTGGGATTATGTTAAATGACCAAACCTAATAATCGGTGTACCTGAGGAAGGAGAGAATGCTAAAAGCTTGGAAAACATATTTGGAGGAATAATTGAGGAAAACTTCTCCAGCCTTGCTAGAGACCTAGATATCCAAATACAAGAAGCACAAAGAACACCTGGGAAATTCACTGCAAAAAGATCTTCACCTAGGCACACTGTCATTAGGTTATACAAAGTTAAGACAAAGGAAAGAATTTTAAGAGCTGTGAGACAGAAGCACCAGATAACCTATAAAGGAAAACCTATCAGATTAACAGTAGACATCTCAGGAGAAACCCTACAAGCTAGAAGGGACTGGGGCCCTATCTTCAACCTCCTCAAACAAAACAATCTTCAGCCAAGAATTTTGTATCCAGCAAAACTAAGCATCATATATGAAGGAAAGATACAATTGTTTTCAGATAAACAAATGTAGAGACAATTTGCCATTACCAAGCCACCACTACAAGAACTGCTAAAAGGAGCTCTAAATCTTGAAACAAACCCTGGAGACGTATTAAAACAGAACAACCTCTTTAAAGTATAAAGTAAAAATCACACAGGATGCAGACATACAAGTTAAAAAGCAAAAACAAAAAAACAAAACTAAAGTACACAGGCAACAAAGAGCATGAGGAACGCAAGGGTACCTCACATTTCAATACTAACATTGAATGGAAATGGTCTAAATGCTCCACTTAAAAGATAAAGAACTGCAGAATGGATGCAGAACTCATCAACCAACTATCTGCTGCCTTCAGGAGACTCATCTAACACATAAGGACTCACATAAACTTAAAGTAAAGGGGTGGAAAAAGGCATTTAATGCAAATGGACACCAAAAGCAAGTAGGGGTAGCTATTCTTATATCAGACAAAACAAACTTTAAAGCAACAATGGTTAAAACAGACAAAGAGGAACATTATATAATGGTAAAAGGCCTTGTCCAACAGGAAAATATCAAAATCCTAAACATATATGCACCTAACACTGGAGCTCACCAATTTACGAAACAATTACTAACAGACCTAAGAAATGAGACAGACAGCAACACAATAATAGTGGGGGACTTCAATACTCCACTGACAGCACTAGACAGATCATCAAGACAGAAAGTCAACAAGGAAACAATCGATTTAAACTATACCTTGGAACAAATGGACTTAACAGATATATACAGAACATTTCATCCAACAACTGCAGAATATACTTCTATTCAACAGCACATGGAACTTTCTCCAAGATAGACCATATGATAGGCCATAAAATGAGCCTCAATAAATTTAAGAAAATTGAAATTATATCAAGCACTCTCTCAGACCACAGTGGAATAAAACTGGAAATCAACTCCAAAAGGAACCTTCAAAACCATGCAAATACATGAAAATTAAATAACCTGCTCCTGAATGAGCATTGGGTCAAAAACAAAATCAGTTTGTAAATTTAAAAATTCTTCAAACTGAATGACAATAATGACACAACGTATCAAAACCTCTAGGATACAGCAAAGGCAGCACTAAGAGGAAAGTTCATAGCCCTAAATGGCTACATCGAAAAGTCTGAAAGAGCACAAACAGACAATCTAAGGTCACATCTCAAGGAGCTAGAGAAACAAGAACAAACCAAACCCAAACCCAGCAGAAGAAAGGAAATAGCCAAGATCAGAGCAGAACTAAATGAAATTGAAACAAACAAACAAAAAAACAAAAGATAAACAAAACAAAAAGCTAGTTCTTTGAAAAGATAAATAAAATTGACAGACCATTAGCAAGATTAACCAAGAAAAGAAGAGAGAAAATCAAAATAACCTCACTATAAAACAAAACAGGAGATATTACAACTGAAACCACTGAAATAAGAAAGATCATTCAAGGCTACTATGAACACCTTTACACAGATAAACTAGGAAACCTAGAAAAGATGGATAAATTCCTGGAAAAAAAACCCTCCTAGCTTAAGTCAGGAAGAATGAGATACCCTGAACAGACCAATAACAAGCAGCAAGATTGAAATGGTAATTAGAAAATTACCAACAAAAAAAAGTCCAGAACCAGACGGATTTGCAACAGAATTCTACCAGACATTCAAAGAACTGGTCCCAATCCTTTTGACACTATTCTACGAGATGGAGAAAGAAGGAACCCTCCCTAATTCATTCTATGAAGCCAGCATCACCCTAATACCAAAACCAGGAAAGGACACAACCAAAAAAGAAAACTACAGACCAATATCCCTGATGAACATAGATCCTAAAATCCTTAACAAAATACTAGCTAACCAAATCCAACAACATATCAAAAAGATAACCCACCATGATCAAGTGGGTTTCATGCCAGGGATGCAGGGATGGTTTAACATATGCAAGTCAATAAATGTGGTATACCACATAAGCAGAGTTAAAAACCAAAATCACATGATCTCAATAGATGGAGAAAAAGCATTAGACAAAATCCAGCATCCCTTTACAATTAAAATTCTCAGCAAAATTGGCATACAAGGGACACACCTTAATGTAATAAAAGCCTTCTATGACAAACCCACAGTCAACATAATACTGAATGGGGAAAAGGTGAAAGCATTCCCTCTGAGAACTGGAACAAGACAAGGATGCCCACCTACTCTTACCACTCCTCTTCAACATCGTCCTGGAAGTCCTAGCCAGAGCAATAAGACAAGAGAAAAAAAATAAAGGGCATCCAAATCAGTAAAGAGGAAGTCAAACTGGCACTGTTTGCTGATGATATGATCATTTACCTTGAAAATCCTAAGGACTCCTCCAGAAAGCTCCTAAAACTGATAAACAATTCAGCAAAGTTTCCGGATACAAGATTAACGTACACAAATCAGTAGCTCTTTTATACACCAACAGCGACCAAGTGGAGAATCAAATCAAGAACTCAATCCCTTTTAAAATGGTTGCAAAAAAAAAAAATACTTAGGAATATGCCTAACAAAGGAGTCAAAAGACGTCCACAAGGAAAACTACAAAACACTGCTGAAAGAAATCACAGACAACAGAAACAAATGGAAACACATCCCACGCTCATGGATGGGTAAAATCAATATTGTGAAAATGACTGTTGCCAAAAGCAATCTACAAATTCAATGCAATCTCATCAAAATACCACCATCATTCTTCACAGAATTAGAAAAAACAATTCTAAAATTCATATGGAACCAAAAAAGAGCCTGCATAGCCAAAACAAGACTAAGCAAAAAGAACAAATCTGGAGGCATCACACTACCTGATTTCAAACTATACTATAAGCCCATAGTCACCAAAACAGAGTGATACTGGTATAAAAATCGGCACAAAGACCAATGGAACAGAATAGAGAACCCAGAAATAAACCCAAATACTTACAGCCAACTGATCTTCAACAAAGCAAACAAAAACCTAAAGTGGGGAAAGGACATTGTTTTCAACAAATGGTGCCGGGATAACTGGCTAGCCACCTGTAGGAGAATGAAACTGGATCCTCATCTCTCACCTTATACAAAAATCCACTCAAGATGGATTAAGGACTTAAACCTAAGACCTGAAACTATAAAAATTCCAGAAAATTAACATTGGACAAACCCTTCTGGACATTGGCTTAGGCAAGGATTTCATGACCAAGAACCCAAAAGCAAATGCAATAAAAACAAAGATAAATATCTGGGACCTAATTAAACTAAAGAGCTTCTGTACAGCAAAAGGAACAGTCAGCAAACTAAATAGACAACCCATACAGTGGCAGAAAATCTTCACAATCTATACATCTGACAAAGGACTAATATCCAGAATCTACAGCAAACTCAAACAAATCAGTAAGAAAAAAAAATCCCATCAAAAAGTGGGTTAACAACATAAATAGACAATTATCAAAAGAAGATACACAAATGGCCAACAAACATGAAAAAATGCTCAACATCACTAATGATCAGGGAAATGCAAAGCAAAACCACAATGTGATACCACCTTACTCCTGCAAGAATGGCCATAATCAAAAAATCAAAAAACAGTAGATGTTGGCAGCCAGGCACGGTTGCTCATGCCTGTAATCCCAGCACTTCCGGAGGTTGAGGTGGGCAGATCACCTGAGGTCAGGAGTTCAAGACCAGCCTGGCCAACATGGTGAAACCCCATGTCTACTAAAAATACAAAAATTAGTCGGGCATGGTGGCAGGCACCTGTAATCCCAGCTACTTAAGGAGGCTGAAGCAGGAGAATCACTTGAACCTGGGAAGCGGAGGTTGCAGTGAGCCAAGATTGTGCCACTGCACCCCAGCCTGGGCAACAGAGTGAGCCTTTGACTTAAAAAAAGAAAAAAAGCCGGGCACAGTGGCTCACACCTGTAATCCCAGCACTTTGGGAGGCCGAGATGGGCGGATCACCCGAGGTCGGGAGTTTGAGACCAGCCTGACTAACATGGAGAAACCACGTCTCTACTAAAAATACAAAATTAGCTGGGTATGGTGGCGCATGCCTGTAATCCCAGCTACTCGGGAGGCTGAGGCAGGAGAATCACTTGAACCCGGGAGGCAGAGGTTGCAGTGAGCCGAGATTGCGCCATTGCACTCCAGCCTGGGCAACAAGAGCGAAACTCCATCTCAAAAAAAAAACAATGTTGGCATGGATGTGGTGAACAAGGAACACTTCTATGTCCTGGTGGGAAAGCAAACTAGTATAGCCACTATGGAAAACAGCGTGGAGATTCCTTAAAGAACTAAAAGTAGAACTACCATTTGATCAAGCAATCCCACTACTGGGTATCTACCCAGAGGAAAAGAAGTCATTATACAAAAAAGATACTTTCACACATAATTTTATAGCAGCACAATTCACAACTGCAAAATCATGGAACCAACCCAAATGCCCATCAATCAACGAGTAGATAAAGAAACTGTGGTATATACAGGATGGAATACTATGCAGCCATAAAAAGGAATGGATTAACAGCATTTGCAGTGACCTGGATGAGACTGGAGACTATTATTCTAAGTGAGGTAACTCAGGAATGGAAAACCAAACATCGTATGTTATCACTGATATGCAGGACTAAGTTATGAGGATGCAAAAGCATAAGAATGATACAATGGACTCCGGGTACTTGGGGGGAAGAATGAAAGAGGGGCAAGGGATGAAATACTACAAATATGGTGTAGCGTATATTGCTCGGGTGATAGGTGCACCAAAATCTCACAAATCACCACTAAACTGGCACAGTGGCTCACGCCTGTAATCCCAACACTTTGGGAGGCCGAGGTGGGCAGATTACTTGAGTTCAGGAGTTCAAGACCAACCTGGCCAACGTGGTGAAACCCTGTCTCTACTAAAAATGCAAAAAGTAGCCGGGCATGGTGGCACATGCCTGTAGTTCAGCTACTTGGGAGGCTGAGGAAGGAGGATGGCTTGATCCCAGAAGGTGGAGATTGCAGTGAGCTGAGATAGCACTACTGCACTCCAGCCAGGGTGACAAAGCAAGACTCCGTCTCAAAAAACAAACAAACAAAAAAACTTGCTCATGTAACCAAATACCACTTGTACACCAATAACTTATGGAAAAATTTAAAAAAATTAAAAATAAACATCTAAACATAGAAAAGGAAAAAAAAATTTAAAATAAAAAACAGAAATGTGAAAAAAATAAATAAATCAGGTATGCTATCAGTCAAAAAATAAATAAGTAAACCCACCATTATCAATAATCATTAAACGTAAATAATCTCAGTAACTCAATTAATTTTCTTTTCTTTTTTTTTTTTTTTTTGAGATAGAGTCTCACTCTGTCACCCAGGATGGAGTGCAGTGGCACAATCTCAGCTCACTGCAACCTCCGCCCCCTGGGTTCAAGCAATTCTTGTGGCTCAGCCCCCCAAGCAGCTGGGACTACAGGCACATGCCACCACGCCTGGCTATTTTTTTGTATTTTTAGTAGAGACAGTTTCGCCATGTTGGCCAGGCTGGTTTTGAACTCCTGGCCTCAAGTGATCCACATGCCTTGGCCTCCCAAAGTGCTGGGATTACAGATGTGAGCCACCATGCCTGGCTTCAATAATTCAACTCAAAGACACGAACTGTCTGATTAAACAGCAAGACCCATTTATATGCTGCCTATAAGAAATTCACATTAAATATAAATAAGGGAAAGTAATAGTATTGAAAAACACATACCATGCTAACCCCTTAATCAATAAAGCTGGACTGGCTGCATCAATACCAAAGGACATTTTAGAACAAAAAAAAATTACTAAGGATAAAGGGGGCCATTTCATAACGATAACAAGCCAATTCATTTAGAGGATATAATAATAATCTAATATTTTAATCCATAAAACATGTATTCACATAAACTGATTGTCAGAATACATGAAACAAAAACTAATAGAACTGCAAGTAGAAAACAGTCACTCAAGAAAAAAATAAGTGGCCGGGTGTGGCGGCTCATGCTTGTAATCCCAGAACTTTGGGAGGCCGAGGCGAGCAGATCACGAGGTCAGGAAATTGAGACCATCCTGGTTAACACGGTGAAACCCTGTCTCTACTAAAAATACAAAAAATTAGCCGGGCATGGTGGTGGGCACCTGTAGTCCCAGCTACCTGGGACGCTGGGGCAGGAGAATGGTGTGAACCCAGGAGGCAGAGCTTGCAGTGAGCTGAGATCGCACCACTGCACTCCAGCCTGGGCAACAGACCGAGACTCCATCTCAAAAAAAAAAAAAAAGAAAAAAATAAGTAACACAAATATCTCTAATCTATTAAACAAAGTAAATTTGTAGTCAAAAATCTTCCTACAAAGACAAGTGCAGGCTCAGATGAATTCTACCAAAAATTTAAGTTGGGTATAAAATGTCAATCCTGTATAAATTCTTTCAGAAAACTGAACAGAATACTTCAGAAATCATTCTGAAGCTACATTACTGATTCCAACACCAAAACATTACAAGAAAACTACAACTATCCCATGAACATAAGTTCAAAAATTCTCAACAAAATTTTAGCAAATCAAATCCAACAAAATATAATTAGAATAGTATATTGTGACCAAGTTCAGTTTATCCCAGGAATGTAAGTCTAATTTCATAATTGAAAATCAATGTCATTCACCACATTGGCAGACTAAAAATGAAAAACCACCTATTTCAATATATGCAGTAAAAAAGCATTTGAAAAATATCCAACATCCAACCCTGATAAAACCTCTCAGCAAATGAGAAATCAAAGAGAACTTCCACAACGTGATAAAAAGCACCTACAAAAAACCTACAGCTAAGATCAGACTTAATGGTGAAAGACTAAATGTTTTCCCCAGAAGATCAAACACAAAGCAATAATGCCCACTTTACCACTACAATTCAAAATTCTGCTAAAGGTGTTAGCCACTGCAATACAACAAGAAAAACAAAAGGCATCCAAGACTGGATAATGATCATCTTTGCAGAAAATACCATGGAATCCTCAGAAAACTACTTGGTGGAACTAAGTTGCAGGACACAAGATCAATATACAAAAATCCATCATATTTCTACTTATTGGCGACAAACAATCGGAAATAAAAAATTTTAAATTACCATTTACAATAGAATCAAAAATATAAAATGCTTAAGGATAAATCTAACATAAGATGTGAAAAATCTATATACTGAAAATTTTAAAACATTGCTAAGAAAAGTTAAAGATCTAAAGAAATGGAGAGATACCATATTCATAGACTGGAAAATTAAATATTGTTAAGACGTCATCTATCCTCAATTTGCTCTGTAATCAACAGAATCCCAATCCAGATATCAGCTTACTTTTTTTGTAGAAACTGATATAACGGATTCTAAAATCCATATGGAAGGGCAAAGGCCTACAACAGTCAAAATAACTTTTAAAAAGAACAAAGTTAGAGGACTCATACTACCTGATTTTAAGACTTATTATAAAGCTATTATAACCAAGAGAATAAGAAACTGACATAAAGACTAGACAAACAGATCAATGGAAAACAAAAAGACTCCAGAGAAAGACCCACACCTATATGGTCACAGACTTTCAACAAAGATGCAAAGTCAACTCAGTGGAGAAAGAATAGTTTTTCTACAAATGGTGCTGAAATAATTAGCCATATGCAGAAAAACCCACAAACTTTGATCCATACTTCTCACTCTAAATAAAAGTTAACTCAATAAGGATCAGAGACCAAAACATAAAACCTAAGACTATTAACACTTCTAGAACAAAACACAGGAGAAATCTTTGTGATCTTGAATTAGGCAAAAGGTTCTTAGATAAAACACCAACGGCACCAAAAGCATAAATTCATAAAAGACAAGGCTAATTTGGATTTCATCAAAATAAAGACTTTCTGCTCTTTGAAAAACACTGTTAAGAGAACGAAAAGATAAGCCACAAACTGGGAGAAAAATTTGCAAATCTCACATCTGATAAAGGACATGTATCTAGAATACACAATGAACTCCCAAAACTCTACAACAGAACATCCCTATTTTAAAAATGGGCAAAATAATCAAACAGACAAATAAGCATATGCTAAAATGCTCTACATTGCTAGTCACTAGGGAAATGCAAATTCAAATGACAAGGAAATAATAGTAAAATTTTAAAAGTCTAAAATAAAATTAAAGACTGAGCATACCTAGTTATTGACAAGAATATGGACCAACTTGAACTCATACCACCTAGTGACAACGTAAAATGGTATAATCACTTTGGAAAACTCTTTAAAAGTTACATTTACCACAAGACCTAGCCATTCCACACCTAGGTATTTATCCAATAGAAATTAAAGCACATATCCATACAAAGACTGGTACAATAGTATTTACAATAACTATATTTGTAATAGCCAAAAACAAGAAAAAGCACAAATGTCCATCAATAGATGAACAAACTGCTCTACCCACACATTGGAATACTATTCATCACTAAAAAGGAATGAACTGCTAGTAATTGTAATAACATGGCGTAATCTCAAATTATGCTGAGTCAAAGACTCAGATACCACCCCCTCCAGTACATATTATATGATTTCATTATATAAAATTCTAGAAAACGCAAATTAGGCCGGGGACAGTGGCTCACACCTGTAATCCCAGCACTTTGGGAGGCCGAAGCAGGCAGGTCATGAGGGCAGGAGTTTGCGACCAGCCTGACCAACATAGTGAAACCCCGTCTCTGCTAAAAATACAAAAATTAGCCAGATGTGGTGGCAAGTGCCTGTAATCCCAGCTATTCGGGAAGCTGAGGCAGGAGAATCACTTGAACCCAGGAGGCGGAGGTTGCAGTGAGCCGAGATTGGGCCACTGCACTCCAGCCTGGGTGACAGAGCGAGACTCCGTCTCAAAAAAAAAAAAAAAAAGAAAGCAAGAAAATGCAAATTAATCTATAGTGATAGAAAGCCTATCAGTGGTTGCCTGAGGAGGAACAAGAACTGAGGGAGGGAGGGAGGGACAACAAAAAAAACCCAGGGTATCTTTTTGGGGGTAATGGATATACAGTTGACCCTTTAACACAAATTTGAAGGTAGGGGTCCACTTATACACAGAATTTCTTCCACCTCAGCCACCCTGAGACAGCAAGACCAACCCCTCCTCTTTCTACTCAGCCTACTGAAAGTCAAGATGAAGATGAACACATTTATGATGATCCACTTCCATTTAATGAATAGTAAATATATTTTCTGTTCCTTACAATTTTCTTAATAACATTTTTTCTCTAGCTTATGTTACTGTAAGAATAAAGTATATAATACAAAATATGTGCTAATAGACTGCTTATGTTATCTGTAAGGCATCCAGCCAATAATAGGCTATTAGCGTTTAAGTTTGGGGGGAGTTCAAAATTATACATGGATTTTCGACTGCACAGGGGACCAATGCCCCTAATCCCCACATTAAGGGTCTATTTATTATTGCATGGGCAGTGGTCTGTTCACAGCCCCAGATGGATGACTTATCCAAGTCGTTTTGAATTCTGGACTTGTAGATTCACAACCTGACAGGAACTGTGGTATACATCCAAATGTCAATCTCTGGCCACAACGGCTCATATAAACCTTGTTTCTGCCTTCCACGGACTTACTTCCAGGACTCTGCTGCACATACCAAAGCAGTGTAGCAGAATGCTTAACAACACACAGAACTAGCCTGGAATCCATACACTACCATTTCAGTTGTGTAATTTTAGGGAAGCTGTCTATGCTCTGTGAGGCTGAGTTTTCTCATCTGTAACATGGGAATAATGGTACTTACCCCAGGGTGGTTGTGACAACCGATTTCATCAACATAAAGCACTTAACACAGTGCATGACACATCTTAAATGCTCAGTAAATGTTCTAAGTTATTATCTCCATTCCCCTTTCCTGTAGTTCCTCACTCTTCCATCTATATGACTGCCACAGAACATCATCCTGAGTTTCCTGACCACTGTTCCAGAAACCCAAAGCACGTGTCTACTGAACACTTAAAATGTAGTTACTCTAAAATGACATGTGCTGCAAGTTTAAAACACACCAGATTTTGAAAATTTAGTAAAAAAAAAAAAAAGAACATAAAATATCTCACTAGTTTTTAACTTTTAAAAAATGTGACTCCTAGTAAATTTTAAATTACTTATGTGTTTCACATTATACAGTCACCCTTCTGTAACCGTGGGTTCTGCATCTGTGGATCGACAATATTCGGGGGGGTAAAAAAAAAAAAACTGTATCTGTACTAAACACTGTACAGACTTTTCTTGTCATTATTCCCTAAACAATACGGTGTAACAATTTACATAAGACCTATGTTGTATGAGATATTATAAGTAATCGAGAGATGATTTAAAATATACAGGAGGATGTGCCTATATAGGTTATATGTAAGCACTACACCATTTTATATCAGAGACTTGAGCATCCCTGGATTTTGGTATCCAAGGGAGGTCCTGGAACCAATCCTCCATGGATATCAAGAGATGACTATATGTATTTCTAATGGACACTGCTGGTCTAAACAGACCAATAGTTCCAGGCAGTACTAGTTCCTCCCCCAAGTCAGCAGTCTAGTCTATCCAGCAAAGTCAACCTGTCATTGCTTCCAAAAGTCTCGCAGGAACCTCAAACACAGCATAGTCCTAACACTTCATAGCTGAATCTGTTTACAAAATCCACCCAATGACTACCCACCACACTCAAATCCTTCCAATGACAAGAAACTCATCAACTCCCAAAGCAGCAACCCTTTTCACCTTTGCACAACTCCTGAGAATTAGACAGTTCTTCCCTATACTCATGAAGATCTACCTCTCCAAAGGGCTGATCTTAGCCTTGCCTTACCCCTTTGAGCTATTTAGAAAAGGCTCAAGAACAGCAGAAACTACGATTTGCAGACCACTTCCAATGTACAGTGTAAGCTTTAGTTTACTGTGGCATTTAACCCTCACAGCAATGCAAGAGGTAGAAACTGTTATCTCCATTTGGTTGATAATGGGGTCTACAGAGCTGAGAGAGATAAAAGTGATCTGGCTAGGATACCATTCAAGAAGAGCATATTTCAAACCAGAGGGGCTGACTTCTAAACACCTTTATTCAGCGTTGCTTTTGTGGTTATGTTCTTCAACATTCTTCTCTCTCCCAATTATCTGGCCTATTAGCAGCTATGGGCTCAATCCAGAAGCAATCCTGCTTTGGCCAGAGTTGCCCTTACCTGTCTCAGCAGCCCCAAGGATGTCCAGTTTGTCACGGATGGCAGGTGCCAAGGTCAGGGCTTGGATTGGTGTGGGTGCAGAGAAGCCTAGAAAGCTGAGTGCTCGGAGAACCGGCCTGGGAACAAACAGGTCCTTCCAAGCTGACACATCTGCTTTCTGATCATGAACTTCAGGAATCCATGTCTTCGCTTTTTTGGGCACCTTGGCAGCAGTGCTCTGAGAAGGCTCCAACCCTTTTTTCCCTTTATTTTTCTTCTTTTTTGGAGCAGTTTGGACCAGGTTTTCTGATGTCATCTCCCCAGCCTCCGGATCATCACAAACCATGTCATCTCCCTGGGCCTCCAGCTCAGGATCTTTCACTTCAAATTCTTTCTGGGTACTGGTTCCTTCAGTTGCTACATTTTTACTTTTCTTCAACTTGATCTTTTTCTTTGGTGAGCTAGACTTTCCCTCCTCCTCCTCCTCTTCTTCTGAAACAGCTTGTGCCTTTCTCTTGGGTGCTTCCTTTGAGAAGAGACTGGAGGGATTCTTGGCAGGGGAGACCAACTGGTAATCTGTCAATTCCTCAAAGCACACCAAGTCATCCATCTGTCCATCTGCAAACATATTTGGGTCAATCTTCACTTCCTTCCATTTTCCCACAACTTTGATTCCCTTTGTCTGAAATTTGCCACAGCTTGACTGCTTTGGCCTTGATTTTGTGTCCTTCAACTTCATGGTTGCTGAAAAGGAGATACATGTTCTATTAGGTTGGTGTCTGAGAAGCAGAGGGTTCTGATGTAACAAATATTTTCTAAGCAACTAGGCCCTACAAAGAACTGAGGATACAAAGATGGCTATCACACAGTTGCTCCCACCTAGAGAAGAACAAAGAATACCACAGAACAGACAGCTTTGCCTGGAACACAGGGTACACATGTGATGGAACAAAGACATATGAGCTAGACCTGGTTTGAATTCCAAATCCAACACTTACTGCCTGTGTGACCTTGGATAGTGCCACCCACTCCTCTCTGAACTTCAGTGCTCTCATCTATAAAAAGGGGGGAGGGTACCTAACAATATCTAAGTTGTACATTTTATGTAAATAAAGAAAATTATGTAAAGCACGGAGGATGAAACCTGCCACACCTAAGTCGTTCTGAAGGCAGAGTAAGAATCTCAGGGGTTTTTCTTGTGGGGGCAGGAGGGGTGAGCTTTATTAAAAGCGTACTGCGCTTGCTTCCTTCTCAAGCCTTGCCTGAGAGAGCAAATGCCTGCTCCACCATCCTTTCCTTTGCCAAGCGTCTTAAAACCCATCCAGTTTCTTCATCATATTTTAAGTGGCTTAATGGCCATTTAGGCCCAACTCGTTTGGGTGGAACTCGATCCAGGTTTTTCCTTTTCAGAAAGGCCAAGAAAGATAACAGATTCCGTGAAAAAGACCAAGGTAAACTTTGGTTCAAATCCAGATCCACCACTTGTCAGCTGTGGCTCTGCGGTGGACGTATTAATCTCTGAGTCTCTTATTTCCCAGTCTGCACAATGGGAAAAACGAGGACATCTGTCCCACAGAATCCTTATACGCCACTACGAAAAAGTGACGCACGTCAAAAAAAACCGCTGAGCATGGCGCCCGGCGAGGAGAGCACGTTCGCACACAGTGCCCGCCGGACCCGCTGCGCCACGGCAAAAAAACAAAAAACAAACAAAAAAAAACACAAAGAAACACGCGGGGTTCAACAAGGAGAGGGCGAGGGGTGCCACGCGAACCGGGCGAGGACACGGAGAGCGCCAGGCAGAGTAGAAGGGCCTCTGTCTCCTCGTGACGCCGGTCCCGCGCGGCCCTCTCGCTTTGTCTCAGGCACGAACGCGCGCACGAAACCGAGAAACCGAGAAGCCGAGAAGCCAAGGCCGTCAGGCTCTGATGACCGGACAAGGAGCCCAAGGCGCGGGGACCGTGGCACGCAGCTCGGTTGGACGGCTTGGGCCGGCGGCCGCCCTCTCTGGACCCGGGAACCCACCGGCCCAGAGCGACCCGCGATAGGAACCCGGGTTCCTGGCCTCAGCCCCTCTCCAGAGTCGGCTCCAACCCCGCTCGTTTTGGTACTCACCGTGTGGAGACGCCACCGCAGCTCCGTCAGTCGCGAGTGAAGAACCTCAGAAACCGCCGCTGTACCTCAGCTGCAGCAGCAACTGCAGTTCCGGGGCGGGACCTCCACGCACGTACTCGTGCGCGCTGGGGAGGAAGTCCCGCCCCTATGGCAAACTCAGCTACCTGATTGGCTGCCTCGCGGACCGCAGCAGTGCCGGCGGGAGAGCTGGCTTGGGGCGCTGGCACCTCCTCTTACAGCTTTACTCCTGCCAGCTTGGGAAAAGGCCGGAGAAGGTGAAATTCTGTGTGCTCCCTCCGGCGAGAGACTTTGTCAGCTCCCGCACAGTAACGTAAGTTTTCTTGTATTCTTAGTGTAGTTTCGTTACCGGAAAGGGGTCTCGATCCAGACCCCAAGAGAGGGTTCTTGGATCTTGCACAGGAAAGAATTCAGGGTGAGTCCGCATAGCAAAGCAAAAGCAAGTTTATTAAGTACTTTACTCCGTAGACAGAGTAGGGCGTTCCCGAAGGTAAGAGGACGAACGCGTCCATCCTAGGTACAATGCTCGTACCTAGATCATAGGGAGATGTGCTCTGCTACAAGGGTGACGTGTGATGAGTGTTCCTTGTATTGTAATTGTTTTGGGGCGCCATGAGCTGTGCCCATATAAGATACAAACGTAATTGATAAATGTTGTGTGTGTTCAGACTAATCCACTGACAGGCCGTTCTTCCTTCTCTCTCCCTTTCCTTGGGTCTCTATTCCCTGAGACACAACAGTGTTGAAATTAGGTCAATTAATAACCCTACAATGGGCCTCTAAGTGTTCAAGTGAAAGAAAGAGTCGCACATCTCTCACTTTAACTCAAAAGCTAGAAATGGTTAAGCTTAGTGAGGAAGGGATGTCAAAAGGCAAGATAGGCTGAAAGCTAGGCTGAAAGTTTGCACCAAAAAGTTAGCCAGTTTGTGAATGCAAAGGAAAAGTTACTGAAGGAAATTAAACATTTTACTCTAATGAACACATGAATGATATGAAAGCGAAACAGTTTATTGCTGATTTGGAGAAAATTTTAGTGGTTTGGATAGAAAATAAAACCGGCTACAGCATCCCCTAAACCCAAAACCGAATCCAAAGCAAGGCCCTGATTCTCTTCTATTCTATGATGACTGAGAGAGGTGAGGAAGCTATAGAAGTTTGAAGCTAGAAGAGATTATTTCATGAGGTTTAAGGAAAGAAGCCGTCTCCAGAACATGAAAGTGTAAGATGAGGCAGCAAATGCTGATGGAGAAGCTGCAGCAAGTTATCCCCAAGATCTAGGTAAGATCGTTGATGAAGGTGGCCACTGAACAGCAAGTAGTCAATGTAGACAAAACAGCCTTCTATTGGAAGAAGACGCCATCAAGGACTTTCATAGCTAGAGAGGTCAATGTCTGGCCTCAAAGGCCAAGCTCACTCTTTTGTTAGAGGCTAATGCAGCTAGTGACTTTGGATTGAAGCCAGTGCTTGTTTACCATTCTATTATAAAAATCTTAGGTCTCTTAAGAATTACGCTAAATATAATCTGCCTGTGCTCTGTAAGTAGAACAACAAAGCCTGGATGACAGCACAACTGTTCATAGCATGGTTTACTGAATATTTTAAGCCCACTGTTGAGGCCTACTGCTCAGAAAAAAGGATTTCTCTCAAAGTATTATTGCTCATTGAAAATGTGCATAGTCACACGAGAGCTCTAATGGAGATGTATAAGGAGATGAATGTTGTTTTCATGTCTGTGAACACAAGATCCATTCTTCAGCCCATGGATCAAGAAGTAATTTTGCATTTCAAGTTTTATTACTTAAGATACATTTCGTAAGGCTATGGCTGCCATAGAGAGTTATTCCTCTGATGGATCTGGGCAAAGTATATTGAAAACCTTCTGGAAAGGGTTCACTATTTTAGATATCATTAAGAACATTTGTGATTCATGGGAAGATGTCAAAATATCAAAATTAACAAGAGTTCGGAAGAAGTTGACTCCAGTTCTCATTGATGACTTTGAGAGGTTCAAGACTTCAGTGAAGGAGGTAACTGCAGATGTGGTTGGAAATAGCAAGAAAACTAAAATTACAAGCGGAGCCTGAAGATATGACTGAATTGTGGCAATCTCGTGAGAAACTTGAATGGATGAACAGTTCCTTCTAATGTATGACCAAAGAAAGTGGTTTCTTGAGATACAATCTACTCCTGGTGAAGATGCTGGGAACACTGTTGAAATGACAATGAAGGATTTAGAATATTTCGTAAACTTAGTTGATAAAGCAGTGGCAGGGTTTGAGAGGATTGACTACAATTTTGAACATTCTACTGTGGATAAAATGCTACCAATTAGCATCACATGCTACTGAGAAATCTTTCATGAAAGGAAGAGTCAATCCATGCAGCAAACTTCATTGTTGTGTTATTTTAAGAAATTGCCACAGCACCTCACCTTTCAGCAACCACCACCCTAATCAATCAGCTGGTTTCAGAAAAAAAGAAAAGTATATTATGGCAGAGGGGGACACAGTCAAAATGTTAATAATTGGTGAATTATTGGTGCTAGAGTAAGGGTACGTGAGTGTTCATTGTACTATTCTTTCAACTTTTTTGAGGTTTAAAACTTTTCAAAATAAAGAGTTGAGTAAATTGTTTTGATTTAAAAATTATGAATTAAAAAGAAATTGGTTTAAGCCAGGTGTGGTGGCACATCCCTGTAGTCCCAGCTATCCAGGAGGCTGAAGAGGGAGGATCGCTTGGGCTCTGGAGTGTGAGTCCAGCATGGACAACATAGCAAGACATCATCTTTAAAAAAAGAAAAAGAAAGAAGGAAAGAAAGAGAGTCAATTTTAATTTTTAAAAATGGGGGAGGGGGAGATGTCAACCAAAAGCAAAATGATGGCAAAGTTTCCATTATAGTAGTGGAAACATAGGTATTTTTTTTCCTTCTTCTCAATATTCTAATTTTAAAAAATAGTAAGAATAAACTATTTTAATGTTATTCTTATTTCAAAGATGAAAAAACAGATGCAGGAAGATTAATTTGCCAGAGTCATACAGCTAATGTTACAGAGCTCAGACCTGACTTGGAGATCTGTGACTTTAACTGGGTGCAGTGGCTCACACCTGTAATTCCAGCACTTTGGGAGGCCCAGGCGGGTGGATCGCTTGAGCTCAGGAGTTCAAGATCAGCCCAGGCGACATGGTGAAACCCCGTCTCTACAAAAAATGCAAAAATTAACCAGGCTTGGTGGCATGCGCCCTTAGTCCCAGCTACTTAGGGGGCTGAAGTGGGAGGATTGCTTGAGCCCAAGAGGTCAAGGCTGCAGTGAGCCATGTTCATGCTGCTGCGGGATAATTAAGAAACCAAAGGGACCGAGGGGTTGAGGAGGAATTATTTAATTATTTAGGTGCACAAACCCAGTCAGATTAACATCCAAAGGACTGAGCCCTGAACAAAGAGTCAAGCTACCTTTTAAACATTTCGTGGGGCAGGGGGAGATTTGTGCAGTGGGAAGCATATTACAGAAGCGAGAAACAAAGACAGTTATTCAATTGAGACATGGCATTACATTATATCTTACTTTTCAAGGAACAACACGTTTTACGACTTGAGAGTATCTGTCTAGTGACCTTGCAGCTGCACAGCTAGAGAAACAGAGTCTTCACAATGCCTGGGAAAGGGAGAGATAAGGCTCACTAGCCTCAGAAAGAAAAACAGGCAGTTAATTTTAAAGGACTCCAGCCCTTTCTCTTCCTCAAGGGAAATTGGGTTTTTTTACATACAACCGAGTTTTTGCTTACACAGTTTTTAATTTCTTTTAATTCCTGTTCCAATGCCAGTATACTCAGCCTGAGTGACAAAGCAAGACCCTGTGTGGGGGAAAAAAAAAAGTAATCAAGATCAAGAAACCCTATAAGGAATGTGTCCCAGTTTCCAAGGGACCCATGCAGAAGCCTCCATTGCCAGTGGCTGAAGTGGGAGTACTTATGAATGTGTTGATTGACTTTCCAAAAAGACTGAAGGGTAGATGTGGGCTGAGGGGAACCAAGAATGCATATGGAGAAGTTGGAACAGTTGAGCTCATATATTTCCCAGCAAGAAAATGGCTCATCTAGCCAGGTAGGGCATCTAGAAGGGTGGGGGAATCAGATTGCCTGGAGTCAGGTCTGAGCTCTGTAACATTAGCTGTGTGACTCTGGCAGATTACTTACTCTTCCTGCATGTTTCCTCATCTGTAAAATGAGAATAATATGGTTGAGAAGACTAAACGTAAATGCATGTAAACTTCTTGCTGCAGTGCCTGGCACATGGTGAGCTCAATTGACCTTAGCAATTCCTTTTGTCATCACACATTTCTTTATAAGCATACACATACCTTTCATATAGTATAAATATGAAAAGGTGATAAGTTGGGGGAAAACACATTTCGGCGAAACATCCCACAGTGTTAAGTAGTTGTTTTAAGGTGATGGAACTGAGTGTAATTTTTTCTTTTCAATATTTCAATTTTAATGTGATTATTTTAATTATATATATTATATGGAGGTATAATTAGTGTACAATAAAATGCAGAGTGCAGCTTTTCAGTTCAATGAATTGTAACATTTCCATATCATCATATAAGTATTGCACAAAACAACATAAAGAACATTTCCACCACCCCAGAAAATTCATTCATCCCCATTTCCAGTTAGTTTTTATCCCTACCCAGAACACAAATATATTTTAATTTAAAAATTAATTGGCAACTATTTCTTAAATGGGAGCCATTTTGGTATTTTCATTTATTGTAAAAGTGACTTATGCCTGAGGCATTGTAATTCATCTAGCACCAAAAAACATACGTATGTATAAGCATTCTACATGGGTGATATAGTTTGGATATTTGTCCCCACCCAAATCTCATAGTTGAATTGTAATCCCCAATGCTGGAGTTGGGGTCTGGTGGGAGGTGTTTGGATCATGGGGGCAGATGCCTCATGAATGGCTTGGGCCATCTGCTTCATAATAAGTGAGCTCTCACTCTGAGTTCATGTGAGATCTGGTGGTTTAAAAGTGTGTGGCGCCTCCCCTCAATTCTCTCTGACTCTTGTTTTCACCATCTCATGTGCCTGCCCCCCTTCCACCTTCTGCCATGATCGTAAGCTTCCTGAGGCCTACCTAGAAGCTGAGCAGATGTCAGCAGCATGCTTCTTGTAAAGCCTGTGGAACTGTGTGCCAGTTAAACCTCTTTTTTAGATAAATTACCCAGTCTCAGATATTTCTTTATAGCAATACAAGAATTGCCTAATATAATGAGGTCTTCCTTTACCAGTGTTTTGTAAGTTGCCTCTTTCACTCAACAATATCTAATGAACCATTCCCCATTGCCAATAAATATTAATCTATAACCAGGGACGGATCCATTCTATTTAGGACCTGAAGCTTACATAATTGGTGGGGCAGAGAGCTTAAAAAAAGAGAGTTATAATACAAAATACCAGTAACACTATAATGTCACCCCAAACCAGGGGAAGTATGGCAGAGGGAAGCCAGATTGGAAAGCAATTACAAGACAACAGCCCTAATCAATTACTCTTAGAAGAACTTTTGCAAATAATAATAATAACAACAAAGTGAGCAATGGCTAGAGCTGCTCTTAGGGTCTTGGAAGGAGCCAGTGCAAGTGAGGGTCCCTGAACTCAGGCTTCTTTTGCTTCGAGGTAAACCCATTTCTGCTTCTATCATCAGTAGCTACATATAATTATTTATATAGGAGTATAAAATTTTATTTATTCAATTTTTGTTACTTCCCACTTTTGCTGTGTCAACCTAAATAACAAACAGAGAGAAGCCCTCTAAAAGAAAATGACATTTGAGAATACGGCATTGCAGTGGGAAAATTCATGCCATAGTAAACTATGTACATATTCAAGGATGTAAAGGAAGACAAAGGTTTTTAAAGGAAAAATGAAGACAATTATGTAATTGTTTTGAAGCCAGATTAGAAAGCAATTAAAAGACAACAGCCTTAATCAATTACTCTTAGAATAACTTACTTTTACAAATAATAATAATAACAACATGTTTGGCTATAAGGATTAACAGCAAGGGTGACACCAGTCTGAGGTTGGGCAGGTAGTTTCTGGGCAGATGTGCTCACGGAAGTATTTTTTGTGTAAGGTTGTGATGGCCTTTGTGCAAGATTGCAATTTTTGCAGATGATAGTTTTGTTCTCAGGCATACAAAAGCGTGAAAACCCTCTCTTCATGGATTTTCCCTAGCTCTATTTGTCAGAGTTTGGGTGTGTTTTTTGTTATTTTTATTTTTATTTTTGTTTTGTTTTGAGACGGAGTCTCACTCTGTCACGCAGGCTGGAGTGCAGTGGCGCATCTCGGCTCACTGCGAGCTCCGCCTCCCAGGCTTCACGCCATTCTCCTGCCTCAGCCTCCCGAGTAGCTGGGATTACAGGCACTCGCCACCACACCCAGCTAATTTTTTCTATTTTTAGTAGAGATGGTGTTTCACCGTGTTAGCCAGGATGGTCTCGATCTCCTGACCTCGTGATCTGCCCGCCTCGGCCTCCCAAAGTGCTGGGATTACAGGCATGAGCCACCGTGCCCAGCCGATTGTCGTTTTTTTTTTTAACACAAGCAACTCCATTTTGACTCTGACTGCTTTTATAGTTGTCATCAAAAACACGGTGATCATCATTCATGTGCAGATATTTGTGCACATCTCTGATTCTTTTCTTGTGATGAATTCCAAGAAGTAAAATTTCTAAACCAAATAAGCTTTCACTACATGCTGTCAAATAAAGTATGGGTTAGAACACGCCATACCCAGCAGTGAATGAGGATCACTACTCCTTTCCTCATGCAAACACTGCATGTTCCAGTTATTTGCTTCCTGAGGCAGATTATAAGGATGTAGTCACTCAGCTCTGTTTCACGCTCTGCTGTGAACCCTCAAGGATGGAAAGTTAATGACTCTATTCCCCTGGCTTCCCCATATGCCAGTTCTGCAAATGACCTGAATTGTGCCAAGCTGACTCCCCTGTGCAAGGATGTGAAGGTGGAAGGGACACAGGGGCTGTGCTTCGGCTTCTTCTACTGCCAAGCATTGTAGTAGGGACTTGTTTTTTTGCAGTAGCAGAAGCAGAGTCCCAGGATCCATTTCTTACGTTACTATGCGAGATGCAGAAGGTAAGTTTTCATTTTACTGGCATAGATGCCCCAGAGCCAACAGGTGTGGCAGTGGCTTCCCGATATCCCAGTTTCGTGATCATGGCACTGGCTGAAGCATTCTTGGTGGCCCACTTTTAGGGTGGAGCCACATTCTGGGGTTGGGGCATTCCTGGAACATCAGCTTAGACCCTCCTCCTCCAATCCTGGAACAATCTTTTTTTTTTTTTTTTTGGAGACAGAGTCTTGCTCTGTCGCCCAGGTTGGAGTGCAGTGACACGATCTCAGCTCACTGCAAGCTCCACCCCCTGGAACAATCTTATAGTCACCTAATTCCCTGTGTCAAAACCCACTCTGCTTAAGTTGGCTGGAGTGACTTCTGTTATCTGCAGCTGAACTCTGACTAATAGATGCATGTGACACACATACAAAATGTTACCTCCTTTAAATCTTTTACTATTAGTAAGATTGACCATCTTTTTAAGTGTCTATTAGTCATGCGTAATTCTGTCTTGGGGAGCTGTCTCCTAGTCTTCGGAGTTCCTTGTTAAAGGCAGTTCCTTTTAAAAATTGATTCATAAGGAAAACTCTCTTTGAGTTGGGGATACTAATCGTGCAAAAGTATTATTTTGTTTGGTTTGTTTTCCCCTCAGTATGTCACTTGTCTCTTAACCTTCATGATAAATCCATTTTTCACCACGAGGGACTTTGTTCATGGTGTTTTTTTGTTTGTTTTGTTATTTTGTTATTTTTATTTTTAGAGAGAGTGTTTTGCTCTGTTGGCTAGGCTGGAGTGCAGTGGTTGGGTCATGGCTCACTGCAGCTGTTACTGGATAGAGGTCCCGATGCATATCCTAAGAGAAGGTTCTTGGATATCATGCAAGAAAGAATTTCAGGTGAATCCATAAAGCAAGAGCAAGTTTATTAACAAAGTAAGGGAATAAAAGAATGGCCATTCCATAGTCAGAATAGCAGCTTGAGCTGCTTGAATGATAATACTTATAGTTATTTCTTGATTATATGCTAAACAAGTGGTGGATTATTAATGAGTTTTTGAGGTGGGCAATTCCTGGAACTGAGGGTTCCTCCCCCTTTCAGACCATATAGGGTAACTTCTTGATGTTGCCATGGCGTTTATAAATGGTCATGGTGCTGCTGGGAGTGTCTTGTAGCATGCTAATGCATTATAATTAGTATATAATGAGCAATGAGGATGACCAGAGGTCACTCTCATCACCGTCTTGGTTTTGGTGGGTTTGGGCTGTCTTCTTTACTGCATGCTATTTTATCAGCATGGTCTTTGTGAACTGTATCGTGTGCCTATCTCCTGTCTCATCCTGTGACTAAGAATGCGTAACCTCCTGGGAATGCAGCCTAGTAGGTCTCAGCCTTATTTTACCCAGCTCTTATTCAAGATGGAGTCACTCTGGTTCAAATGCTTCTGACATATTTACCCCCTCCCTTTTACAAGGAAACCCTTAAGCCTAAGGGTTGTAGAAGTATGTAGATCCATCTTCTGTAATTTCTTCAGACTGAATAGGGGCGATGATATTCCTGCCTAACTATTAGGGTCTCTTGTATTCAGGGTAGAGTGGAGCTCAGTCAGAAAGTGTCGGTATGGCAAGGACCATTCATAACTCTTGAGTTCCGACAAAAGGTGATATCTGGAAGATTAGTAAGTGTTCAATTTAAGAAAACATTGAGTAAGCTCATCCTACATTTCTATACAAAGAGTACAACAGCAACATATTCCACAACAGTAAAGTAAAATAAGCAAAATTATCCCAAGTAAACTGAATAAGAAGGCTTTCCAGGAACTGGGCAATTGTTGGAACCAAGCTGATATGGGGGTCTCTAGCTGATTCCAATATGTGCCCAAATTAGAATATTGATCCAGATTTTTACATTACCCATCCCTCTTGTTTCTTCTGAGCTGCAGCCAGAGATCACCGATTGGTTCACAGGAATAAGCAGGGTCAGTCTAAATTGCAGAAAAAAACTCAAAAACAACTGATGAGACTAGAATTTAATAACTGGTGTACCACAGTTTTTGAAACCTAATTTTTCTCTCTCCAGTCCTCATTTTAGTATAAAACAAATCATAATTTGACAGATTTGGTTTATTATACCTGGCCTGATTATTTGTATAAAGTGCAGCAAGAATGATTATTTTTCACATAGGCTTTTTAAATTGACTTTGGTGGAACTTTGTTCCATGAAAGGAATCTCAGATAAGACATTTTTAAAGCTGAGGCCAGCCATGGGTTGGTAGCAGATACCTACGAGTTTGGGTAAATTCCTCTCCTTAAGAGGTTTCAAGATAACTTGGGGCTCTTGGGCCTGTCAGAAAGTGACATTCTTTGGTCAGGAACCCTGTACAGTGACTGTGTAGGCAAGATACGAGGCTAGTTTTCCCAAGGGGCTTTTATTGGCTCTATAAGTCAAGTTTGATTCCTTAAGGGAAAGCACATCATTACAGTCAAAGCCTTGGTAAAATAACCGATGTCTCCAATTGCATCCAATTGCAAAATGAAATGGATTCTTATTGTACTTATGCAGATAACTATATTGCCATAAATTAAGAATATGCAGTTTCCAAATTCTGGAGAAATCAGGTAGAGAGAAGCAAATATACTCCAAATTTTGTTCACAGTAGTATACTTTACTCAATTATCAAAAGTTGTAAATAGCTCAAAATAAAAATTTTTTTGGCTCTGTAAAAGATCAGGAAAAAGTCAGAAAGATTGGTTCAGACTTCTGTTAGTTTAGTTCATGCGCTTAATTCCTGTTCTGTCTGATGCTCATGAACATTTCAGCTCTCCATGAAAGTCCTGAAAGATTTTTTCTAACATCACAATGTCCAAAGTTATCAGAAACCTGCATCCAAGAGCATCTGTCAAAGTCCTATAGCTGATTAAGGGTCACCTTTTAAAGAGGATCAAAACAAGGTAACAGTTGCCTGTGGATGACAAAAAGTTTTAGGACAGCCGCTATTATAGCCACAATTGGCTAGAAATTGTGGTTACTTCTATGGCATACAACAATTTTACATAACAATTATAACTATTAGTAGCATACACTAAGTCATATCATGATTATAGGAGTTTCCCATAATTTTAGAACACATACCAATAACTTAGTTATACAAATACAGCCAAGAAAGCCAAACACCCAACCATTTCATATTTAACCATGCTTCCTATATGATTTTTATACCAAATAAGGCAAATATGTCATTTTTGGACTTGAGGAGACCTAGTATCTAAAAGATTAATTAGGAGGTCAGAAGAAGACATAATTTATAATTTGATTTTGGAAATTTTGCCAAATATCAGAGGTTTAAAACACTTGATATTATAAAATCAAATCCCAGGTCACCATAAGTCATTTACTTAGCTGAAACAATAACTCAGAATTTTTTAAAAGGCAAAAAACCTTTACTCATTAATAGAGGGAAGATTTAGCTTTCCAAACAATCTCTTTCCTTTCCCTTCTTTTGTCTATAGCTTATTCAAAAGGCAAACAAAAATCTTTTTTTTTTTAATATAACATGAAAATCAGCTGGGTGTGGTGGCTCACACCTGTAATCCCAGCACTTTGGGAGGCCAAGGCAGGTGGATCACCTGAGGTTAGGAGTTTGAGACCAGCCTGAGCAACATGGTGAAACCCTGTCTCTACTAAAAATACAAAAAAATTAGCCACGCATGGTGGCGGGTGCCTGTAATCCCAGCTACTTGGGAGGCTGAGTCAGGAGAATCGCTTGAACCTGGGCAGTGGAGGTTGCAGTGAGCCGAGATTGCACCACTGCACTCTAGCCTGGGTGACAGAGTGAGACTGTGTCTCAAAAAAATAAAAAAAAAAAAAGAAAGAAAATCTTAAGAGAGAAAGCCAGATTTCACCCTTTGCGTTAGTGTACTATTGATATCAAATTCAATCCTTAATAAAACCTGGCCGTGCGCTCTGGCTCACGTCTGTAATCCCAGCACTTTGGGAGGCTGAGGTGGGCGGATCACGAGGTCAGGAGTTTGAGACCAGCCAGATCAACATGGTGCAACCCCGTCTCTACTAAAAATACAAAAATTAGCCAGCTGGGTGGTGCGCTTTTGTAATCCCAGCTACTCAGGAGGCTGAGGCAGGAGAATTGCTTGAACCCGGGAGGTGGAGGATGCAGTGAGCCAAGATTGCACCACTGCACTCCAGTCTGGGCAACAGAGCGAGACTCCATCTCAAAAACAAAACAAAACAAAACAAAAAAAACTTTACAGACAAATCAATCTTAATCAGTTTGTCTATGAGGCAAGATTCTCATAAACCTTTTATAACCCTTTACAAATTCTTGTTAAAGAGAAGATCAGTGCTCTAAGAAAAACTCTGTTGTGCTTTTATTCCAATGTTCAATTTACAGAAAAACTGAAGAATACCTGATATGGTTTAGCTGTGTCCCCACCCAAATCTCTTCTTGAATTGTAGCTCCCATAATTCTGATGTGTTGTGGGAGGGACCCAGTGGGAGATAATTGAATCACCGGGATGATTTCCCCCATGCTGTTCTCGTGGTAGTAAGTCTCATGAGATCTGATGATTTTATAAGGGGTTTCCCTTTATGCTTCGCTTTTCATTTGCTCTTTGCCAGCCACCCTCCTGGGTTCAAGCGATTCTCCTGCCCCTGCCTCCCAAGTAGCTGGGACTACAGGCGCACACCACCATGCCCAGCTAACTTTTGTATTTTTAGTAGAGATGGGGTTTCACCATGTTGGCCAGGAAAATCTAATTCCAACACATCCCAATACCAGGAGCATTACTTTTCCCCTCAAAATGCCCTTCTTGGAGATGTGAGGAATTCAAAATCCTCCTTTTCATCAAAATTTTTGACTGCATTTCTTTTCTTTTTTTTTTTTTTTTTGAGATGGAGTCTTGCTCTGTCACCCAGGCTGGAGTGCAGTGGCATCATCTCAGCTCATTGCAAGCTCTGCCTCCTGGGTTCACGCCATTCTCCTGCCTCAGCCTCCCGAGTAGCTGGGACTACAGACACCCGCCACCATGCCCGGCTAATTTTTTTTTTTGTATTTTTAGTAGAGACGGGGTTTCACTGTGTTAGCCAGGATGGTCTCGATCTCCTGACCTCGTGATCCGCCCGCCTCAGCCTTCCAAATTGTTGGGATTACAGGCTTGAGCCACAACGCCCGGCCCTGACTGCATTTCTTATGAACTTCATTTTGTATGGAGAACATCCCTCCATCCCACATAGAAGATTTATAGTATGAAACATTCTACACTAGCTGACAAATGGCATGGAGCCCTACTCCCATATTTGTGATAAGCAGGAAGTCAGCATGGATTGGTGGCTAACAGCATGATCTCTGACCAGGGGCCCTGGTTGAAATCCTTAGAGCTGTGGCCTTGAGGCAAGTTAATGAACCTTGATGTGCCTTAGTTTGGTGACAAATAGGGAGTTAGTAGATATGTACTATTGTTTTTTGCATTTGCTTGTTTCTGTCCTTTTCCCCTACTGGAACAAATTTCATGAAATAAGGATGTGTCTATCTTTTTCTCTTGAGTCAGTGCTCAGGAGCTTGGTAAATATGTTTTGAATGAAAGAATGAGTGAAGAGAAAAAAAAGGAAAGTGAGAGTCTCAGTGTGAAGTCTGCGGAGAGAGGAATACAGAAAATTAAAGAAGTGACAGAATCGGGGTGGGAAAGGCCCTCTGCTTGGGATATCCTCTAATGTCCTGGAAATGAGGCTGTGTCCCTTTTGCAAGACAAGGAAAGGAGGGAAAATGAGCCCTGCACCCCAACCCCAGTCCTGCAACGATGCTTGACCAAACTTGGGTTTGAGGCCCAATTTAGGAATGTTAGAGTCCTTCCAAAGATTCAGGGGGTTAGAGGTCCCTCTCAGTAAAGTCTCTCTTGGTTAAAAATGGATTTGGCACTACGAGGTATTAACTGCTACTCTCTTTGGGTTAATCTGCCTCGCACTCTTTGCTGATGGCTGTGGGTGGCAGGATTGAGCATGTACAGGATCATGGGACATTGGGAGCTTTTTTC